>NC_000005.10:150354611-150654928 GCF_000001405.40 Homo sapiens | reverse complement strand
GTCTCGAACTCCTGACCTCAGGTGATCCGCCCGCCTCAGCCTCCCAAAGTGCTGGGATTACAGGCGTGAGCCACCGCGCCTGGCCGACTATTATTAAAGTTGGACTTAGGGAAAGACCCTCTCAGCCCCAAACCATTTGCCATGTTGCCATGGTCACCTCATCATCTTTCCTTGGATGCCTGAACAGGGAGGAAGATGCCCCTGACAGATGGAGATACAAAAGGAAGTCGGGCCATTCCTCCCTAGGCAGCACACGCCCCTCACTGAGCTTTTTCACAGCAATGGGGAGGGGAGTGTGGTTTTGGAGAGGCCAAGATGGTGAACAGCTTGGAGGCTATGAAGCACTGGTCAGCGATGCAGAGCCATACCTGTTTCCTATGTACTTAAGGACTTTCAGTCTACAAACTTCATTCTCATCCTTTATCTCATTAGGTTTTCACAACAGACTAGTGAGGTAATTAGCATTACCACACCCATTTTACAAATGATGAAAATGAAGCTCAGAGGTGTAAATAACAATCTAGTGTGTTCTGCCCCACCAGGAAGTGTGTGTGTGTGTGTGTGTGTGTGTGTGTGCTGCTCAAAGGCTACATGTTTAAGCGGTTTGAACTGGTTTGAAAGTGGAGGGCTTGGGAATCCCTGCCTAACATGTATCTCCTGAACTTTCCAACTGTTCACCCAATCAGATTCCAGCAATAACCAGTCCACCTTGCCATTTAATCCAATCCAAATTCACTAGCAGTCATCCACCAGAGTTCAGAGCTAGCCAGTCCATTCCATGCTTCCTACCCGATCAAAATCTAGAACCATCCAAAGATTTATTCTTTCATCCAATCAGTGATCAGCCATAACCAAGCCAGTCATCCTCTCATCCAACTGAGAGTCTTCTAATTCCTCCCAATCCAAAGGAAATAGACACCAATTGTATGTTTTATCCAAACAGAATGTAGCAGCTGCTAGATGAGCCCAGACTCCAAACTGGAGCCCTTTAACCTAAAGAAGAATGTTATACAACAGCCTGAGCAGGACATTTTTCATGGGATACTAATGCTGGAGTGACCCTTAGAGACTCCCTAGGGACATCCAAGCTCCCAGTCATCAAGCTGAAAGTTAAGGCTCAGCCTGGGATCCCACTGTTTTCTTCCCAGGGTCAGAATTGTGTATACATGAGCCAGAGACACTGGGAGCTTCTCTGTGCCAGTGGAACATCCCAGTCAGGCTGGCCGCAGAAGGCAGACCCCACAGTTTAGGGAGAGGAGCTGGGAGGAAGGTCCCAGCTCCAGGGCTAGAAGAGGAGGGCTAGGGCCAAATGCCAAATCAGGGTGGGCTCTGGCATGACCCA
Source organism: Homo sapiens (assembly GCF_000001405.40). Classification (NCBI taxonomy): domain Eukaryota; kingdom Metazoa; phylum Chordata; class Mammalia; order Primates; family Hominidae; genus Homo; species Homo sapiens. Next base: position 150,653,586 of record NC_000005.10, on the reverse strand, counting down.
ACACCTGACCACAGTGCCACCCTGAGCAGGGAGGTAGGGCCTAGAGTTCATGACCCAAGCCAGTCAATAACCACCCAAGGCAGCGGAACCTGGGGTCTTCAGCCAGGAGAGTAGGCTGCACAGGAGAGCTATGATAACTACCTAAAAATCTCTAAAGCATTGTTTCTGCCTTTGGTGGCCACAAGGGGAATGCTGAGGCCAACAAGTGGAAGAAATAACAATTCAGCCAAGACTACAAAACAGAAGGGCTCAAACGGGATTGAATGTTGAGGGCAGTGGTAAGCAGATCCCCATCATCTGGAGATGGGCCAGAGCCTGACCTCACCCTAACAGCCATGCCTGGGCACTGACTCTGTGTGTATGTTTTTGAGTCGGGGGTGTGCACAGTACGAAAAGGCTGCAGGAAATCAGAACTGTTCACTTTCTGACAGAGAGCTCAATGCACCGTGCACACCAGAGCTCCTTGGGAATGCGGTGGGTGAAAATTCAAAAAGTAGCATCCACTCAACCCAACCCCAGACCCAAAGCAGGGCACATGTGTGGGGTGAATACATAAGTAGAACACAGTCAAACCTGGACTGTCGGAGACCAAATGGTCTCTGACCTCCTTCTGTAATCCTTTCACTGCACAGAAGGGGAAACTGAGGCCCAGAGATTGGAAGAGGTTGTCTGAGGTCACACACGAATCAGATGCAGACCTGGGGCTAGAACCCAGCTCTCCTGACCCTTGATGGCAGTTCTTTCCTCCCCACCAGGGGCAGAAACTCCATGCTTTTAGGATCCAGACAGTGAAAACAATGGCAAATGTGGGAAATGGCCAAATTTAGATAATGGGGAGCAGGGAGGGGACCTGAGGGAACTGGAGAGCGAATGCTGGCTAGAGGAATTTCTATTCCACTTGTAAAGAACCCAAACAAACCTCAACGAGAAGAGGTAGTGCATTTTCCCCAAAAATCCTCTAAAGTATTTTTGGCCAAACTCTGAGGGAAGGAAAGAACAAAAGGTTGCGATTTGCACAGGGTTCTGGCTCCCTGAGTGCTGTAGAGAGGAAGCCCTCATTTCCAACCCAGCACACGTCTGTACCAGTGCAGAACCAGACACACGGCAGGTGCAGGCAGCACGCAGGACACAGCCACACTTTCACACACAGTAATTGAGCAGGCCCACTCCACTTCCCAGGCTAGAATCAGGCAGGAGGAAGGGAACCCTGACCCCTAGCAGCACGGAAGAAAGAAAGAAGCAAGACGGATTTGAGGCAGAGTGTATTGAGAACATGAGAGAAAACAAAGTTGGGGGCAGAGCTCAGCCTGGCCGCAGGAGCTGCAGAATGAAGGGCGGGCTCTTCCATTGGTGGCCCTCAAGGGTAGAAGGGAGCAGGGGTCCAGGGCAGGGGCTTCACTCTGTTCTGGGAGAGGCCAGGCCTGAAGGAGCTGAGCTCACTCACAACTCCCCCACGCATACCCCCTCGATCTGTGTGAAATGAGCTCACTAAGAAGGCACCCCTGTTCCCATGGAGACAAGCCCAGAGCTCACAAAAACTGCAGGCTCAGCCCAGCATGGGCACTGCCTCCACCACCCCTTGCCCCACTGGGGAACCCAGAACTAGGGCTGGGAAAGAGAAGTGGGTGGTCCTCGGCCCCCAGCCTTGCGAAGCTTCCATCTGAATCCTGCCACTTGTGTCTGTATTCTCTCACCCCCCACAAAGCCTGGTTTGGTCGGGGGCTGTATCATATCACCTCCAAAAGTGTCAGAGGCGATGGGAAGTCTCCAGCTACCTGACTTAACACCCTCACTGTATGAATGTGGAAACTGAGACCTACAGACACACATGCAGTTGGTCTGTTAGAATCCAGGTCTCAAGTCCCAGATTTTCCTCAAAATTCTAAGATCTCCTCTGTCCCTTCCCACTGCACTGCTATGCACCTGCCCCAGCTCCTGCCATGCTCCTACTGTCCCCAGGCAATCCTGAGCCTAAGCCAGCCCAGCCCAGCCCAGCCCAGGCATCCCTTGGCCTCCTGCAGCAGCTCATTCCAACCCTTCCCTCACCAGGTCACCCTCACAGCCATCTAACGCCACCTGTCCTTTGGCAATAGCCCATTTCCTTTCTCTTTCTTCCCAGGGGACTGTCTTGTCACTTACAAGGCCTTTCTTCAAAGCACCAGCCTATCCTCTCAATCCTCACAGATTGTTACAGCTAGAAAAGCCCTCCTTGTATAAATGATAAAACTGAGGCCCAAAGAGAATGTGAGTGGGCCAAAGTCACACAGCAAATGAGAAGGTGACATGGGACCGGAACCCTCCTCTCCTGCCTCCCCCTGGGCCCCGTTCCACTGCGCTGAGGTGGCTTCTTTTAGTCAGGCAGATCTTGGTTGAATCTGAAGCCAAAACAGCCAATGGATACATGGCTAGGGGCCACCCTCCCTGTGGCACACCCACATCTGCACAGCCCCCTACAGGGCTCTCCTTCTCCTGGGGATCCCCTGGGACGTCCCCCACCCCTAGAGCGGTGACAGCAAGCCAGGTAGAACTGGGGCTGAGGCCTGGGCCCAGTGATCTCCCTAAAACAGAGCCAGGCCTCAGAGGGGGCAGGAAGAAAAGCGTCAGACAGCAGTGGTGGGCCGAGTCCGCAGCCAGCAGAAGGACCCTGGAGGGGAGCGCAGGCGGAGGCGAGGCAAAGCTCTCTGAAGCAGCGGAGAGGAAACGGTGTCCAGAAGGCAGAGGCAGAAGAGACAGGCCCATGGAGGTGAGAATCCAGCAACAGGAAGAAAGACGCCAGGAGCTTGAGCCTCAGGAGGGAGGCCCCCCTGGGGCAGCTGAGGAGGCAGACCCTCGGCTGGCTGACTCCACAGGCACTGGCAGGCTCTGTCTGCTCCAGAAGTCCCTGTTAGGATCCCCTTCTAGGCCACTCCCCCAGCAAGACGCTGGCATCAGACTCTGCATCCCTACAGCTCACAAAGGCCAGAGGATGCCCCTCTACCGCATCAGGGCTGCCAGACAGTTCTCTCTCCATGACCCTCCTCCCCGCTCAGACATGGAGTCCGACCCCTGTTGTAGTAGGGGAGGGGCGGCTTCAGCTCAGAGAGGGGAGGCGACTCGCCCAAGGTCACAAAGCCAGCTGGTGGCCGCATCTGACCTTGAACCATGGACTCCCCATTCTCCTCACTCAGCTCTGTGCCATTTCCTGCCACATCTGCTCTCCATCTGGCCCTCAAGGAGGGGAACTTGACCGGCAGTGGGACCCCCGTGGGGTTCGTTACTTGAAGCAGAAGGAAGGCTTCCACACCTGAGCCTCGATCCCGGCGTTCCGGGTAGAGAAGGAGGGCCTGGGGGCCTGCTTGGCTCGGGGAGACCACGCCCTGGAGGGAGACACGGGGGAGATGTCACCGCCGTAAGGAGGGCTCACGGCAGTGGGCTGCAGGCTGTCCTGGCCGGGGGAGGTGTAGAGGCCCGGTGAGGAGCGCGAGGGCCGAGGCAGGGCAGGAGATGGAGGGAGAGCCCCCTTGGGCAGGTTGGGCACCAGGTCCAAGGAGCTGGGCTTGGCGGGCGAGGCAGCTCTTGGTGAGACCTTGGCAGGCTCCTTGATAGGTGAGAGGACAAAGAGCGAGGGGCGCAGCTGGTATGGCGGCTGCTTGGTGGGCTCTGGGCGCAGGACCCCGTTCTCAGGCAGGTAGCCATGGTAGAGGGAGGCAGGCGGGGTCCGGGCTGGGCTTCGGGATGCCACTCGGAAGGCCCCGGGGGCGTTAGTGGGGTATTTCCAGGAGGAAGGCAGGGACATGGTAGGTGATGGGCAGCGGGCCAGCTCTGGCGTGTGGCTTGAAGACTCGATGACATATTTCTCCATCCGTGACTGGCGGCGGGCGTAGAGCTCAGCTCCCTTCCCAGAGGCCTCGGAGAGGTTCTGGTTGGGTTTGGGCTTCGGCTTGGCCTGGATGCGGGGTGACTTGAGGCAGGAGGCCCACTCTGGTACCACCTCCTCCGCCGCCGCGGGGCTGGCCCTGTCACGAGGTGCTGGCTCCTGCTGGAAGTTGGAGGCCTCGGCCCCCAGTGCGAAGGGCTCCTCCTCCACGCCTACCTCCCCCTGGTCCCTCTGCCGCCGCTTCTCATCCGCTGTCTGTACCAGATCCAGCAAGTCTGGATTCGGGGTCACCTTGGGCTTCTCCACGAAAGTAAACATGGATTTGCGGCTGCCCCGGCGGGCCATCGACTCCTCCAGAATGCCCGTCTTGCTGGCAGGAACCGCCTGGCCCTTCAGATGAGAAGACTTGGGGTCGGAGCTGGGATACAGGACAGAATATGAGGGAGGAGACCTCACCCAGGAAGCCAGAGGGGCTGTGGACAAGGTCTCAGTGTAGGTGGGGGGTGCAGTGAAGTTCCCCAAGGGGCGTCTCTCTGAGGCCGGGCTTCGCTGCCCCATCATCCTCCTTTCCACCATGGGGCTGCGGGACATTATGTGTCTCTGTGGCCGGGGGCTCCTGTCTGGCAAACTGGGGGGCTGGGGAGCCGGGGCCTTCTCCCCAAAATGTCGTCTCTCTAGCATGGGGCTCCTCTCCATCTGGCTGGTGCCCCCTGGCGCCTGGATCCCAAAAGGCCTGGCCGTCCTGTTGACCACTGATGGGGGCTTGGCCAGTGTGAAGTGGACCTCACTGTAGACCTTGGTGGGCGTGGTGGCAGCTGCTCGCCCAGACATCTCTTGATCTGCTGACACCACTAGGGTGTTGGGCTGGATGTCAATGAGCAGGGAGCTGGACATGAAATCTGAGGCTGGGGGCCTGGAGCTGGGGATGAGCGTAGCTTCTCTGGAGAAGGTGCTGGTGGTGGTAGCTGGAGTTGATACCTTGTCAATTAGGAGTGTGCTGCATCTCACCTCCTCAGCCGGTGCCTGGGGTTGCCCATCAGCACACAGGGTGCTGGGTTTGGAAGCAGGCCCTGTGCCATTAGATGGGAGTTGGGCCTCTGAGGAATTCTGTTGGATGCTAGAAAGTGGCAGGCTCTGTGGGACAACAGTTGCCGGTGGGTTCTGATTGACATCGGTGGCTGGCGGATTGTGGCTGCTGTTAGAAGTTGGTGTGGTGAGCGTGGCACTGGGCGAGGCAAGGTTTTGGTTGACATCTGCAGCTGGGCTGTGGACCTCAGCTGGAGGTGGGGCCGGTGAGGACTGCTGGGCCTCTCGGTTTTGGGACAGGTGCAGCCCATTGGCTGTCAGCAGTGCTGCATTCTCCTTTAGATAAACCACCAGTGGTACCTCTTCCTCCTCACTGGCCACCTTCTCCAGGTGCCGCAGCAAGCTAGCCTCCTCTGAGTACCCCTCCATGCTGTGGCCAGGGACCCCTCTGTCGGGGCTCTGGGGACTGGGGTGCCGTGGAGGGCCTGGCTCCGGCAGCGAGGTGGAACTCAGGCTGAGCCCCGGTGCATGGCCTGGGAGGCTTGAAGGGAGCACTCTGAGGGACTCCTGGCTGGGCTTCTGTCCCCTCTGGCCGTGGCTCTCCAAGGTGAACTCGTTCACCCTCTGCCGGCGCCTGTTGAAGAGCTGGACGCCACGGGAATTGGAGCTGGGAGGGGTGGTCAGCTGGGCTGCAATCTGCTGGCTCCGCGCCTTGGCTTCTTTCAGATCCTTCTCCGTGAGGCTAGTGCTCCGGCCCAACGCTACAGGGAGGGACAAAAGCCCAGTTAGCAAACAGGAATGCAGTGACACAGGGGTGCACGGACAAACAGGCAGACAGAGATGGTCGCCTCGGCCCTTCCTACACAGGATCTCTTCTGGAATTTAATCGTCACTCACTGTTTCTTAGAATTAGCTCACTTCGTAATCAGCCCTGACCTACCTTTCATGGCCCAACTCAAATGCCACCACGTCTACGCCACCCTGATTATCCTCTCAGGATTAACTGGTCCCTGATTTGGAATCCCCCTGACAGTTGCTGATATGGCACTTTACCAAACTGAGTACGAACACCTCACCCTAGAAGTCCCACCGTGTCCCCAGTTCCTCCCCACTGCCTTCTCCTCTCTCACTAGGCTCTGCCACACTGGCTTGCTTTCTCTTCCTTGAAAATGCCAAGTATGTTCCTGCCCCAGGGCCTTTGGACTTGCTGCTCGCTCTCCTTGGAATAATCTTTTCCCAGGTAGCAGTCCATGCTGGTTCCTATCTTGCCACTCAAGTCTCAGCTGGAATGTCCCCTCTCTGGAGGCACCTTTCCTTCTCCTATCCCATCTGTTTTGTTTTCTCCATAGCATTCACCAAGTTGAAATGATCTTTATGTTTCCCTGTCTATTATCTGTCTCCTCACCTACAGCATAGCTCCAAGGGGCAATGACCTTGCCTGACTTTTTTTTTTTTTTTTTGAGAAGGAGTTTTTGCTCTTGTCGCCCAGGCTAGAGCGCAGCGGCGCAATCTCGGCTCACTGCAACCTCCGCCTCCCAGGTTCAAGTGATTCTCCTGCCTCAGCCTCCCGAGTAGCTGGGACTACAGGCATGTGCCACCATGCCCGGCTAATTTTTGTATTTTTAGTAGAGATGGGGTTTCACCATGTAGGCCAGGCTGGTCTCGAACTCCTGACCTCAGGTGATCCACCCGCCTCGGCCTCCCAAAGTGCTGGGATTACAGGCGTGAGCCACCGTGCCCGGCCACCTGACTTGTTTATCACTCTAACAACAGCCCCTAGAACAGCACCTGTCATACAGTGGCACTCGGTAGATATTGCTGAATGCACAAATGAACCCCCAGAATATTTTCTGTGTGCCTTCCTTAGGGCCCTTTATACTTTCAGAATTATAGCATAGGAATGTGCTCTAATTTTTTTAAACAAAAATGTTTTAATAAACCACCGTCTGCTTTTTTTAATTTGTATTTATTTATTTTTTTGAGACAGTACCTTACTCTGTCACCCAGGCTGGAGTGCAATGATGAGATCTCAGCTCATTGCAGCCTCGACATCCTGGGATCAAGTGATTCTCCTGCCTCAGCTCCCCAAGTAGCTGGGACTACAGATGTATGCCACCATGCTCAGCTAATTTTTGTATTTTTTTTTGTAGAGACAGGGTTTCACCATGTTGCTTAGGCTGGTCTCAAACTCAGGTGGGCGCAAGTGATCCGCCCACCTCAGTCTCTCAAAGTGCTGGGATTACAGGCATGTGCTTTGATTTTATAAAGAGACGCCACTAATATTTCCCCTTTTTAGGGTAGGTAATACATTCACATAGTCTAAAAATTTATTTATTCATTCATTTTTATTTTATTTTTACTTTTCTGAGACAGGGTCTTGCTCTGTTGCCCAGGCTGGCATGCAGTGGCACCATCATAGCTCACTGCAGCCTCAACCTCCTGGGCTCAAGTCATCCTCCCACCTCGGCCTCCCAAATATCTGGACTATCGGTGTGCGCCACCACACTTAGCCAATTTTTTTTTTTTTTTGTATTTTTTGTAGAGAAGGGGTCTCCCTGTGTTGCCCAGGCTGGTCTCAAACTCCTGGGCCCAAGTGATACTCTGGCCTTGGCTTCCTAAAATGCTGAGATTATAGGCATGAGCCACTATACCTGGCCCTAAAAATTAAAACATAAAAAGGTATACAGTAAAAAGTGTCACCCCATCCCTGATTACTCTGTATCACAATCAGTTTCTTCTATCTCCTCCCAGGATTTCTTCCTAGTTTTACTTAAATACTCATTTTAAAATTCACATCTTTTAACACTAGAAAAGTAACAAATTGAGCTAGTTTCACCAATGACTACTGTAGAACATTGCATTCTTTTATTTTATCTGCACAAGACCACAATGAGACAAGCATTGCTTGCCTGTGTTTTACAGAAGAAGAAACGGAGGTTCAGAGATATATAAGGAACTGCCCCAAGGTTGCAAAGCCAAGGGTGACAAAGCTGGAGTCAGAACTGTTCTTTCTGGGGTCTCTAGTCCATGCTCAAGTGGTCTACTCATCCCAAAAGGTCTCTTTGGGACATAAGGGGCAGGAACAAGGTCATCATGGGTCGGGGTTCAGTCTGGGATTTGAGGTCCTGAGATCAGGCTGAGTTCAGTCCCCTATTAATCTATAAGATCACCATAGGCAACCATTTCTCTTTCTATCCCCAGTGGCCAGCTGGCACACAGTTGATGCTCAATTTATAATTGTTGAATAATAAATGAACAAATGCTGCATGAACAAATGCATTGACAGACAGGTGGATGGATCAGCCTGTGACCAGCAACATCAGTGGCTAAGAAAATTCCTCCCTCCATTGCCCCTCTCCTCCCTACTGTGGGAAGCTAATTAGTTCTTGAGGAATCTGACCCTGCCCTCCCCTCCCTTGCCCTCATTAGCACTGGCCATGGCATGCTGAGTCTGTCTCCAGGGACAGTCTTTCCAGGCATCTTGCCAGCGAGGCTCTGAATTCATGGACTCTCAGAGCTGGAAGAATTCTGACAGAGGAGGTATTTCATCACCACCCTGTTTTATAGGTGGGAAACAGAGATCCAGAGAGTAGCCCAGGGTAGAGCCGGGTGACCCCACATGGGACCCGCAGGGAGGCCCACACAGAGCAAAGAAGCTGTGACCAGCAGCGTCACAGCAGCTCCACTGGGGCAGCCACAGGTTTTCTGGCCCCAACCTCCTTCTTCCCTCCTCCATCGAACCTGGTTTTCCCCTAACCTATTAGAAACAGTGAAAGCACACAGCCTATCCCACCCACCCATGATATTACTCCCCCCGAGTAGGACTCTTCTCCTGCCTGGATCACCCTATCTATTAAAGATGTCTATTAGCCATCTATTAGCCAGGCTGCTCCCCTGGGAGGAGCCTAAGGGATGGGGTGCCAGCCACACTGGAGGGCTCTGAGAGGTTGCTCAGCTCATGCTGTGTCTGTCTCCCCTGCTCTGCTTAGAAACCAGGCCTCCTGGCCTGAATCCAAGCTCTGCCATTTGCTAGCCGTGTGACCTTGGCAAGTTACTGTACCTCTCAGAGCCACAGTCTCCTTAACTTGACATGAGTGTTGGGAGGCCACAAAGAGATCATGAAAATGCCAAGGCCTGACTGCCATGAAGCCCAGGTGGACAGACAGAGGGCTCATGCTATCCTGGCATAAGCTGGCAATTGGTCACCCCATTCCACTCCCTGGAAAAGGTCAGATACTCTTCTAGCACAGGGGATTGACTGAAGGTCAAATAGCAGGAGATTCCAGAGCTACACGGAGGCAGAGCTTACTGCCCCAAAACACAGAACCTCGGAATCTCAGAGGTGGCTGTCACCAAGTCCAATTCCCACACAATTCTTGCATCTTCAAAACAACATGCTGAGTGTGCAAGTCTCTGCTGACATACTCAGGTGACGAGCTCACTCCCCCGGGAGGTGTCTTCCACTAATTAACATTCCTCAGCTAGAAAGTTCCTCCTTACATTCACTTCCAATCACTTTTTTTTTTTTTTTTTTCTGAGACAGGGTCTTGCTCTGTCGCTGGAGGGCAGTGGCACCATCATGGTTCACTGTAGCCTCAACCTTCCAGGATCAAGTAATCCTCCCACCTCAGCCTCCTGAGTAACTGGGACTATAGGCATATGCCACTATGCCTGGCTAATTTTTGTATTTTTTGTAGAGACAGGATTTCACTATGTTGCCCAGGCTGATCTTGAACTCCTGAGCTCAAGTGATCCACCCACCTCAGCCTCCCAAAGTGCTGGGATTACAGGCGTGAGCCACCACGTCCAGCCATCATCCGCTTTCTTGATGTGGTTCTGCCTCCCCAGGCTGCACAGAGAAAAAGTCTTCTCAGCCGGGCGCGGTGGCTCGCGCCTGTAATCCTAGCATTTTGGGGGGCCAAGGCAGGTGGATCACGAGGTCAGGAGTTCGAGACCAGCCTGGCCAATATGGTGAAACCCCATCTCTACTAAAAATACAAAAATTAGCCAAGCGTGGTGGCGGGCGCCTGTAATCCCAGCTACTTGGGAGGCTGAGGCAAAAGAATCGCTTGAACTAGGGAGGCAGAGGTTGCGGTGAGCCGAGATCACGCCACTGCACTGCAGCCTGGGCAACAGAGCGACATTCCATCTCAACAACAACAACAAAAAGTTTTCTCTTTCATTCCAGCCTGACAGCCCTGCAGAGATTTGCAGATACATCAGATCCCCTTGGGACAGGGTCAGGATAAACATCTCTAGTCCTGCCAGTGTTTCTTATGACACAGTTGCAGCAATAGTAGCTAATATTGATTGGTCACTTACTGTACACCTATACACAGACTTTACTCATATTATTTAATTTCCAAAACAAACCTACAAATCACAAACTATTATTATGCACACTTTATTGATGAGAAATCTACGGCTCAGAGAGGTAAAGTGAGCTGCCCACGATCACAGAGCCAGAAGGAGTAGAGCTCTGTTCACACCTGGCTCTACGTTACTGCAGAGAGCACCAGGCTCCTGGCTGGCCGGTTCCCACCTTGCAAGGCTCATAGAAAGCACTTCAGTGTTTGATTACTCCAGACCTCTCAATGCCCCTGCATTTTTCTGCTTTTCTCCTTACTGGCTCTAGAAGGCCATGGGTTTAGAAAATCCTCAAATGTCAGAATATGAAGGGCCTTTAGAAATAAGCTGGCCTGGGAGGCCCAGCCAAGGAAGAGGTCAGAGAGGAGGATGTGAGCCCAAGACCAGGTCAGCTGACTCTCAGTGAGGCTCCATGCACAACCTGGGCTGCCGCTAAGATCCCATCACCACCACCTCTCTGAGCTTAGAACTGCTCCCAAGCTACTGTTCTGGAACAAGAGGAATGGCAGAAAAGGCCAGGAGGTAAGAGAGCCCTGCCCTCCAAGGCAAGCTCCTGCAGCCCGCACTCCAGCCCACAGTGACTCCATGGAAAAGGAATTCAGCAGGAGGTTTGGACCAGATCCAGCCAGCCATCCAGATGATTTTCGCCACCCTTCACAAACAAAGCTGGGGAGGCGGGGGGACACCCTAGAGTCCCTCGTAGCAGGGCACCAGGGGGCAACTCCATCTAAAATTCCTCAGACTAGGGAGCTGCCCTCTCTGGCAATATCCCAGGCAGCAGCTGCTCAAGATCATGCTCTTGGTGTCAAAGGTGGGGGTGGGGAGGTAGCCAAAGGCTACAGGGGACAGGTACCTCATTGAACCCTCAATCGGCCTGGCTGTGGCCTGCACTTGTGCAAGTCATGATGTCCCCACCGCCTCCCCACCTAAACTTCTGCAGGGCCAAGTTGGGGTGCTAGCCCTTTAAAGACCCACCCTGGACACTGGATCAGGAGCCCTGAAGATAGGCCTTCAAGAGAGGAAGGGGTGGAGGGCGGGCACAATGAAAAGCTGCCTGGGGTCAGGAGACCTGGGTCCAACAGGGTAAATCCTGAAGTGGGGGAGTAGGCGAGAAGCCCCAGCACAGCCATGAGAAGGGGCTTTGCAACGACTGCTGTCACTACTGAGCCCCTGCTGCAGCCCAGGCTCAGTGCTGTGCACTTTATGCTCACCACCTTGTTCAGTTCTTACAACAGCTCCCAGACATAAGTCCTGTGATTCTTCTCATTCTGCAGATGAAACTGGGGCTCAGAGAGACCTGCCCAGGGTCACACAACTTATGAGTGGCAGAGCTGGAATCCAAACTCAGAAAAGTCTGGCTCTGAGTCTAATCTCTTAACTATTCTCCTTCCAGACTAGGACTCTGGAAAGAGGAGAAACAAGAGAGGCTCCAGTGCTCTTGGATGATGGTCTGCAAAGCCCTCTGCTCCCTCATCTTGTGATCAATGCCCCTCAGCAATGTCTTCTCCCCTGAAAACCCAGCTGCCTAGAACAACTCCTTCTTTCTTCCACTTCTTCCTTTCAGGAGAAGAGTTGATAAACTCATTCTTACTAAGGTAGAAAGGACTGATAAGGCATGAAAGATGAGTAGAGTGGGAAGATCACTATGTTGGGAGTCAGAAGACCCCAGTTCTTGTTTGGCGTAGAAAGGGACAAACCCTTTCCCCCACCCCTACCACCCACTGTGGACAGCTGCTTGTTCTGCCCACCACTGGGGCCCGTGTGGATGGAGGATCCACAGGAGGGAGGTGGGGCCGGGGAAGGGAGGCCAGAGCAGAAGGTCAGGACAGGGAGAATTCAAGGAAATGCTTCTTCACACGATGCCGTCAATGGGAGTGTCCAGCCAGGGTCAGGTGGGGCGGGGTGGGACAGAGAGCCAGGGGTAGGAATAGAGATTGGCTCAAGGCAGCCCATTGTGGTAGTCCAGGGGTCTTGGCGACAGGAAGGGTAAACAGGCTGGGTAAACTGCCCCCCTGGTGAGGTCAGGAAGGAACCAATGACTGGCCACTGCACAACCTCTGGCTCAGCTGGGGGCAGGAAAATGGAGAGGCCTGAGTAATGGCCTGGCTACCTTGCCAGCCCCTTCCCCATTCCTCCCACTGAAAGGAGGAAATGACACAGGCTCCATGCCCTGGAGAATTCTCCATCCCCAGAGTCATGGCGAGCGCAATCTGACTGGGGTCGGCAGACTGCCAGACCTCCTCTTGGGAGGAGAACAATCTAGACTTTGGTGGGAAGGACTGCCGGGCATGGGAGAAGACACAGAAATGGGGTGGGGAGCCCCAGGCCCAGCCCCCGCCTCACCACTCACAGGCTGGCAGAAATCACCACATACCTCTCCCTTGATGCCCAGAGGACAGACTAAGATCAGAGGGGGGATGCCACATGCCCTAAGTCATATACCCCAAGCCACAAAGGCACCTCCGGGTGCTCATCTTACTCACTCTGCTAGGTCCTCCCTGAAGCCAAGCTTCCCCCTGGATGCTCCTGCCGGCCTTCAAGCCTTGGTTCTCAAAGCCTCCGGCAAAGGCAGCCAATTGCTTGGCTGACGAAGCCAGGAAAATCCCACATCGGCAGCAACATGAAGGAGCTGGATGTGACTTTTCTCCTCCACAGATGACTCAGCCCAGCTCTTTATCAGGAAAACCGATTTTGCAACAGCCTTTTAAATGGCCTCTCCACCCCCAGTCTCTCCCCCGCCAATCTACCCGCCCCACGCTGCCAGATTCATCTTCCTCCCTCCGGGCTCCACTCATGCCTCTCTCCTGCTCAAAACCCTCTGCTGCCTCCCCAGGACATGGAGGATCAAGAGGAGAGTCCTCATCCTGGCATTCAAACCCCTGCTATCGGGGCCTGCCCAAGAGCTCACTCACCTTCTCTCTGTGCCCTCAGCAACAGTGGAGGGAGTTCAGTGGCTTGCAGTTCCCACAGCTGCCCAATGAATTCCTGCCTGCAAAGCAGCGTTTGCACAGACCCCCTCTACCGGGAACCCTCCTCTGTCTCACATCCTTTCTACATGCCCTAATCCTTCAGATTTCCGGCCTACCTAGAATGCCACCACCCCCTCCAAAAAGCCTTCACCAATGTTCTGTCTGCATCACTTAATAACCACCACCTTGTGTATTATTTATTCTAGTAAAAGTAATCTTTCAGGGTATACTCACCACATGCCAGGTAGCAGGACAGGGCCTTACTTCACTTACTTCCACAGCAACCCATGAGGCCAGCACTATCCTCATCTCCATATTAGAGAAGACGCTGGCTCAGAGGGGTGCAGCAACTTGCTCAAGGTCACACAGCCAGCCAGAGGAAGAGCTGAAATTCAAGCCCAGGTTGGCCTAATGCCCAGTGCAGGGCCAGTCACGTGGGCCATGCTGCCCCCTCCCAGTGTTTTGCTTTGTAGCAATGAGGGTCTGGGCCCTATTTTCCCCCAGAGACTGCAACGGCCTCGAGGGCAGGGGCCTCTACTGCTTCACTTCGGTATTCCTCCCTTGTCCCCACCACATCTTCCATTGGCACTTGCAGAATAAACATGAAATCTATGAGAATGACAAGAGCCAACATTTTGGGAGCACCAGATGCTGCCAAGCCAAGGGTTTAACATGCCTTTTTTCATTTAATCCTCACAGCAACTCATAGAGGAGGTTCCCTTATCCCCATTTTGTAGATAAGGAAGATGAGGCACACAGAAGCAGCTAACTCACCCCAGGTCTCACAGCTTAGCAAGGGGCCCCTGCGGTCTGACTGATCTCAAGCCTGGACGCCTTCCTTCTGAAGAGCTCCCCACAAAGCAAATTCACCTTCCTTACTCACCCATCCAGGCCCAGCCCAACGGCCACTTCTTGTAGGAAGCCCTCATCAATCCATTCAGACTCCTAGATCAGTGCTCCTCCCCTGTTCAACCTGGCCCAGAGGCCCCAGAGCAGGAACAGAGCTCAGAGGAAACGGCAGGTTGAGAAAACTCAGAAACCCAGGGGAAGGAGGCTGGGCCTGGCCAAACTTCTGGTTTCTCTCTGCTGGCAGTGGGTCGGGATCAGGGAGGGCAGAGATGGATGGGTAAGGGGAAGCTAAGATGAGGGCTCCACAGTCAGCGCAAGCCTGACCCATCTTCTATCCTTGCAGACCACAAGCCCTGCTCCCTGTTGGCTGACCAGGGCCCTGCCAAAGGCCAGGAGCCACAGCCTCTCTCTTGCCCATTCTACTGGGGTAATTATTAATCTATAATCAGTCAATTTTTAGAAACTTTGAGATGGTAACCCAGAGAGAGGCAAGCTGAGCCCCAGGTATACAGCAAACTGAAAAGGGAGGGCTCACAGAGAGGATCACAGGATCACAGCCCAGGCTTCCACCTCTCCAGTCCAACCCTGGTGAGCTAAGCCTGTGCTCACGAAGCCCCCTCCTGCTGTTTCACTCTCCCCAGCCCCAGCTCCCTGGAAGCCTTGGGAGTACAGAAAGAACCATCATACCCTGCCTTTCCAGAGAAAACACATAATCTAAAAGACAAAAAGGTGGCAAGCCAGGGCAGGGAAAGAGGTGGTTTCCCCTAAACAGTGCCTCTGCCAGGGTCAGGGCAGGGCCTAGGTCATCTGCGGGTCCCCTCCACTCTTCCCAGGGCCTGACACACTCTGGGCCCGCCACAAAGATGTGGTCCTTCCCCTTAGCCCTGTGCCAGCCTAGGGCCAGGACTGGTCTCTGTCCTCTGTAAATGTCCCCAGACTCAGCAGAAGCCATCACCCAGGAGGGGTTGAAACCATCACTGTGTTGATTAAATAAACTACTAAAGGACAAGCACTTCCAGAATCCAAAGCCTCCCCCTTCACATTTTGCTTCACCATTCATCCCTGGAGATGAATTTTAGATTTGTCTAAATCCAAGATTCATCTAGATTCTAGATCAAAGATCTAGAGGGTGGTTCCTGGGAGTGGGAGGAGAAGGAAGGAGAGAGCAACACGTTTGTGAGGGAAGGAGATGAAATCTCAAATCACTGTGTTAGACCTAAGGGGAAGAATGTTTCATGAAGTGAGGGGAGAACATACAACCTAAGAGAAAGATGAATTAGGATGAAGCAATCCAGGAAGTCTTCCTGGAGGAGGTGACATATGTCCTAGCTCTTGAAAGATGGAGATAAGGAAGCATTCTAAGCAATGATGATAGCTCAGCAGAGACTAGGAGGTTCAAGATAACCCCCACCCCACTCCCCTACCTACCCCCATACCCCAAATCAAGACCAGCTGAATAGAAAGGAAACTTTGATAGAGGAACACACCCACTGGGCTTGCCCAGAGGCCAGGGGTGAATGGGGAGGGCTAGGCACAGTTCCACAGGAGCTATGTACATTACCAGGCTCATGCCCGGAGACCAGAACCTGGGCCTCCGGGTGGGTTACATAACTGCCCCCAACTCCTTGGGCCACAGAGCCAGCTGGGACCCTCCGCCTCCACCTCTCCTGCCATCTGTCTCAGCAGCTTCCTTCTTATAGGAAAGGACGCCGTGCAGCCCAGCTGAAAGTGAAGGACAGCGCCCTGTGGTAAATTCCCCACATTCCTTCCTCACAGAAAAATAAATAACTCAAAGAAAAAACGCAGGAGGAACGATAATGACAAAGTCACCGCACATGGGGTAAACAACAGAGAGATGAGGTTTATCCCCAGGAGGCGTCATCACCAGCCTGGGGCTCTGGGACAGACAAACCTGCCCCCAACCCCTGCGGGTTCCCCAGACGGGGTCTCAGGCGCGCTCACAGCTGCCAAAGAAGGCGCTGGGAATCCCTCAGTCGTGGCAGGTGGTCACCGTGTGCAAACTCCTCAGGGGCCGGGTGCAATCATGTTCATTACTCAAGTTGCTGCTTACTGAGCACTTCTAATGTGCGAGGCATTCGGTTTCAGTGTTATCATTTTTCATCATGTTGTTTTATTTTATCCTCACAGGCTGTGAGTTAGGGAGTACCATTATTCCCATTTTACAGATGAGGAAACTGAGCCTCAAAAAGAAAGGTTTTGTGATTTGTCAAGGTTATTTGGCCAGTGAGTGGATTGTGGGTTTCCAGCCGGCCCCTCACTCCCGAATCCATTCAGCCTGCCCGCTCCTCCCACAGACAGCCCTCCTTTACCAAATCCAATCAGAGGTGCAGCCAGTTCTTCCCCCATCTATGGCTCAGCAAGGCATCCTATTCAAATTGCTGGGCTACCTTCAGTAAATCACTTCACCTCTCTGAGTCTCAACTTCATCATCAGTAAAACAGGGATAATAATATCTGCTTTGCAGAGTAGCTGCTGAGTAAATGAAATGCAGCAATGATTTCTAAAGTATAAAGCACTGTGCACACATTGGGGGGTGGTTAACTGTAGGCTTTTGCACACACCCACCTCTGCGTAACTCGACCAGGCTGGGGCTGTATCTGTCTCTCTCCCTGTCTTCACCACCCCTCTCTGGGTCTGGTCTCACTCTTCTGCTCATTATCAGACACAGTCCAACCCCATCCCCCTTCCCAACACCCCCCACCCCGCGTTCTCTCTGCACAGGGGATCCCCATGTCACTTCTAGCCAGAACCAGTTTTGAACCCCAGGCCCCCTCAGAGGAGGACACCATGGCTCTGGGGTGCTGGAGGCTGCTGACCCTGCCATGGCCCTCTCCTCTGCTGCCATTCACCAATTACCAGGCAGGTCTGGCCCCACTCCAACAGGAGGAGTCTCCTGCCAGGGAGAGGCTGAATCATGCAGTCCTGCCCTCCATGTTTCCCTCAAATTATAAAAGAAAAGAAGACTAGAAGTCAGGAGATTTGGTTCCAGGGTCTGTCCTGTCACAATTTGGGTGAGACACTGGGCTGATCCCTGACCCTCTTGGGGCCTCAGTGCATCCAATTTGTCCAAAGGAGGGATTGGACTGGACTGGTGGTTCCTAGAGTGTGGTGCCCCCACCACTAATGGAAGCAAAAAGGATTTTAGGTGGTACCTTGATATTTAAAATCTTAATAGTTATATACATTTCAAATGTGAATTGGAAAAGAGGTATAATGAACACACTTGTGATCTCAGGTATATTACTGCTTAAGGAGAGGCTAAAGTGGACATTTCACTAACAAAATTTAAAGAAAATATGTATAGGTGGTGCATGGATTCATTCATTCAACAAGTATTTATTACACACCAACTAAGGGCCAGGCACCGTTCACAGGCATGAAGGGAAACAGATTAAAATCTCTGCTTGCATTCGGGTAAGGGAACAAGATAATAAATACACAAGTAAGTCAGATGGTAAATGCTATAAAAAAATAAAGCAGGGACTGGAGATATATGGACTGTAAGGGGTGAGGAGTGATTTGCAAAGGTAGATATGATAACCAAAGCCATCCTCACTGAGAAGGCACATCTGAGCAAAGAACGGAAAAAGGTGAGAGAGTGAGGCATATGCTTGTCTAAGGCAACAGTGCAGGCAGAGGGAACAGCAAGTGCTAAGGTCCTGAGGCAGGCTCATACCTGGCAGGTTTAAGAATGATAGACATAATGTGGAGGTAGGACACGAATAAGAAAAGTGTGGGCTGGGTGCGGTGGCTCACACCTATAATCCCAGCACTTTGGGAGGCCGAGGCGGGCAGATCACTTGAGGTCAGGAGTTCAAGACCAGCCTGGCCAACATGGTGAAACCCCGTCTCTACAAAAAATATTTGCCAGGCATAGTAGCGCATGCATGTAATCCCAGCTATCTGAGGGGCTGAGGCAAGAGAATCACTTCAACCCAGGAGGTGGAGGTCACAGTGAGCCCAGATTGCGTCACTGCACTCCAGCCTGGGCAAGAGAGCAAGACTCTGTCTAAAAAAACCAAACAAACAAAAAAATGTTTTCTTTAATGGCCCTTCTCCTTCTGAGCTCTGCATTGCAACCATTTCCATACACACACACATACACCTGCAACATACACGCATTCTCAGTAGCCTCTTAATGCTGGAGAGGCTCCAGCCGGCAGCAGCACATCCTCCTCTGCACGTATGCCCACACACAGAGGTGCTGCTTGCTTCAAGCCTGTGCTACACACAGCAGAGCGTGCCCAGGCACGCATGCACACCCACAGAGGGGGCAGGACGTACACATAAATATGTGCACACTGAGCACCCGCAGGTACACGGGACTCGTGGAAGGCTGGCATGGATGGATGGGCATCAGGTACACACCTTGTGGGACGTATGTGTTTCCTTCCTGCCAGCCTGCCCCGTCTTCAGGTAACCGGGTTAGCAGACAACTCTTGCCTTGAGGGCACATGCTCCTGGAGAATGGACAATGCACCGATGGTATGGTTTCAAATTCACTTCTCCAGGATCTCTGCATCTCAGTCATAGTCTCCCTTTTCCAAGGGTACATTAAAATCTGCCACTTGATGCTCAAATGACCCAGGGGATCATGTGGCTGTGGAGAGTGTCCCCTTTGTGTGTGTGTGTGTGGTGTGTGTGTGTGTGTGTGTGTGTGTGTGTGTGTGTTTTAGACAGGGTCTCACTCTGTCACCCAGGCTGGCAGGCTGGAGTGCAGTGGTGCAATTACAGCTCATGGCAGTGACCTTCCAGGGACAAGTGACCCTCCTGCCTCAGCCTCCCAAGTAGCTGGGACTACAGGCATGCACCACCACACCCGGCTAATTTTAAAAAAATTTTTGTACAGACGAGGTCTCACTTTGTTGCCCAGGCTGGTCTCAAACTCCTGGGCTCAAGCAATCCTCCTGCCTTGGTCTCTCCAAGTGTTGGGATTACAAGCATAAGCCACTGTGCCCAGTCAAATGTCCCCTTTTCTATCCTTATTGCCATTAAATGGGATAAGCCATATGAAATGCCTACCATAGCACCATACACCTTAGCACCACCACCAGCATCCTCACGTGTCACCAAAGTCATCTCCACCTTCATTCCTCTAGGGCACTTGGAGGCAACTGAACAGTAGAGGGAAAGGACCAGGCCAGGAGCTGGAGATCTGGGTTTTAGCCTCAACCTGGTCTGCAATTCAATGTGAGGCCTCTGGCAAGTTCCTTCCCCTCTCTGGTCCAGATCAGAAACTTGCAGGTGCTTCAGAATCCCTCAGGGAATGTGGTCAAGATGCAGATTCCTGGGCTTTATCCTAGACCGGAGGAACCACAGAATATACACCTTAACAGGCTCCCGAAGGGGTTCTGTGTACAGCCAGGTTGGGAACCCACTGGGCTTTAGAGTCCATGATCTTATAACTAAGTGTGTAAGTTAGTGAACACAAGAAAATGTCTGGAATACAGACTTTCACACAGTAAGACTCCATAATGTTAATAAAAATACATTTAATAAAATATATTTATATAATTGTCTTTTTTTTAATTTTTATTTTAATAGAGGTGCGTTTTCACTATGTTTCCCAGGCTGGTCTTGAACTCCTGAGCTCAAGCAATCCTCCTACCTTGGCCTCCTAAAGTGCTGAGATTATAGGAATGAGCCACCGCACACAGCCTATGATAATTATATACGGTAATTTTATAGCATTCCTTGAATATGCACAACACTTTTATAGTTTTCCTAGCACTTTTCATCCATCAGAGATAGAGACAGAGCAAGGATTGTTACACCATTTTACAGACTAGAAAACTGAGGCAGAGAAAGGGCAAGGGACCTGCCCAGGATCTCACTGCACATGGTTCATTGGCTCCTAGCCAGAGCCATTGGCACAGCCTCATGAGGTGCCCCACCTCGGGGCCTTATCCTCTCATCCCATGTGATTTTGACTCCCAGCCCCCAGTGTAACTGTCCTACCACTCCAGGTTTATGAAAACTCTGAGCACACATGACTTCTCCATGCCTCTGGAGAACAGGACAACCTCAACCAGTTAATTTCCTTCCAGCCACAAGACCCCTCTCACTGGCAGTGCAGGGAGTTCCCAGAGCCCTAACGCTACACACTACCATCTGCTCTAAAATAGTTGTTTTATTCTAACTAATCTGAGTTCAACCTGATCACTAGCTATGGTGACCTTTAGCAAGCCTTATATGTGCGGAGCCTCAGTTTCCTCTAAAAGATTCTTAATTCCCACTCTGCTATGTTATTGCTCAGATCAGCTCTCACACAGGCAAAGGCCTGAAACCTATACTACTGCACATTAGCTCTCTGGCTAAAGTGTGAGCTCCTGGAAGGCAGGAACCCTGTTTCCCCCACCCATGCACCCACACCTACAGCATGTAATATGTGCTCAATAAATATATGCTGAATGCATGATGCAAGGAAATGATATGGCCAAAGCAGCTCTTTCCTAGTCCTAACTGACCATGGTATTTCATGAGTCATTTCCCAGGTCGAGGGGTAGGGACTCTGAGCAGGGACGATCAGGGCCAGAAGGAATGGTTTCTAGGTCCTGGGAAATTGCCCTCCCCTCTGCACATAGTGGACCACCTGCCATGGCTGTGATGAAGGCCACGCTAGGAGGGCGGTGTTCTGGGAGTCCCGAATGTAATCCTGTTGACTCACAAACATAAATAATGCACTAGTATGTTCTCTCCTCACCACCCTGTCACACTAAGAATAGCACCGGCTACTCTTTCAGGGATTCCAAGGGGAAGAGGGCAGGACAGCAAGATAGGGACAAGCAGGGAAAGACGTCACTGGGCTATGGACCATCAAGCACTCCTTCTCCAAACCCATAAAGCAGAGGAGCCTGGAGGGCAGAGCCGAAAGGGCCCTTAGAGGCCAACTGTCAGAAGCTCTCAGGGGGTGAGCAGATGGCACCTGCCCCTCCACCAGCCTGTTTTATCTTTTCCTCCTCCTGACGCCCATCCTAATAAAGCCTGTGCCTCTAACTTACCCCTCCACACTCCTCCCCCTCCTTGTTCATGGGATGAATAAATATACAGTGGGTGGGTGCCCTCTTATGTGTTTATATGTAAAGCTTTAGAGAAGGAAAAATATGCTATAGATTTTCATTTATCTTAAGTTTAAAAATAACTGACCTAGAATAGCGCTTCTCATAATTTAAAGTACATGGAAATTACTCAGGAATGTTGTCAAAATGCAGATTGTAATTCAGGAAGTCTGGGATGAGGAGGCCTGGGATTCTGCATTTCTAACAAGTTTCTGGGTGATGCTGATACTGCATCCATGGGCCATACACCGAGTGTAGAAAAATTAGAGTATTTATCTATAATAGAGATGGGGAAACTGATGCCCAGGGAGAAAAAGGGGTGTGCCCTAGAGCGTACAGCAGAGCTGGGCTCAGGATGCAAGCCTCCTGCCTGCCATCCCGGGGTTTTGGCTCCAGGGTTGGCTGGGGGTTGGTGCCTGGAATGGAACAGGGGACAGGCAGCCGTTACAGGCAGTGGAAGTAGGTCTGGGGCGGCCTTCATTCAGACACAAGCTGACCCTCCTTTGTCCACAGACTCCCACAGGGAATAAAAGGAAATAAGAACTCACCTGAACAGGGGCACTCAGCTTGAGTGACCGCAGCCTCCTGCCCAGGAACGCACTCTCACCAGCTTGCATCTGAGGCCTGCTGGGCCTCCATAACCCTCCTTGAAGAGATGGGGGAGAGAGGGCCCCAGACTCTGCATTTAGCCACCTCAAGAAGTGGCTGGGGGGGCATGAATGGGGTCTGTCGATAGCACTATCAGGGTGGACATCCAAGGGAAAGAGGAAAGGAAAGGAGCAAAGACCCACCTCCTAGATCAGCACCAGCATGCTCCTCTTTCCTATGATCCGCCTCAAGCCCCTTCGCAGGCTCCAGGCCCTGTACCACCAGCCCCACTGCCCTGACCCCTGCGCTGCAGCTCCCGTCGTGGTGCTTCACCTCCCAGCCTGCCAGGCTCCAGCCATGCTGACCCTCTTTCTAGTGCTCGGCCAGCCCAGCACTTTCTCCCCTCAGGGCCTCTGCACTGGCTGCTCCTTTTCCTAGAGCTCTTTCTTCCCTTGCCCCCTTGGCTGCACCTTTCTGACCACACTTCTCATCCTTCAGGTCTGTTCACAGGTCCCAAGGCCCTCAGAGGTCACATTCTCCTGCCACAACACTCTCTGCCTCTTCCCTAAACGCTCATCAGCTTTGTAATTCCATAAGGATTTGTTTTCACGTCAGTCTGCCTGTCCCCGCAGGGCAGGGACCTTGGCTATGTCCATGCCCCTGTGCCTCGGCCATAGCTGGGCCTGAATAAACATTTGTTGACTAAGTAAAAGAGCAAATGCATGAAACACTGCTCACATCATGACTGCAAAGCCTCCTGCCTTCATGCTCCCATGTGACCTCACTCACCCGGAGTTGTACAGGATTGGGATTTGCACAATTATCTGGGTACTGGCCTCTGCTCTGCTGCACCCTAGCTGAGTGGCCACTGCAGGTCACCTCTCTGAGTGGGGTCTCCTGCAGTGTCTGTCAGGTCTAAATGAGAGAAGAAATCTGGGAAAGAACTTTGATTGACAGCATTACTCTGTCAATGTTTGAGGCCCAGAGAGGGAAAGGGCTCATTCAAGGCCACACAGCCAGTGTGTGGGGATGCCAGACACCCCTGGCACAGCTTAAAGTCCACAGCTGAGCTTCAGGCCCACCCAAGCTCAGTAAGAGCACCATCTGCCTGGAGGCTGGGCAGGGATGGAGGAGGGAGAGGAGAGGGTGGATGGGAGCATTCAGCCTCAGGCCCAGAGCCAGGGTATGGTGGGCGGGGCCCCCAGCAGGAGACCTGAGTGGGGCCTGGCAGCCAGGCATGGGGGAGCCAACTGGCTCAGGTTGGGTGGTGGCATGCTTGTTCTCCGTGCGCGTGACAGTCTATTTTTTAATCAGTACTCTCCCCATCCCCCAACTCCATGTGCCCTCCCAAAGGGCCCCATATTGGGAATAATGTCCTGGCTGAGGAGGCCAGGGCCACCTTAGGGATCCATGGGAGGGTCCCCAACATCTCATCTTCCTATGGAGCCCACAAGAACTAAGCGGCCCAGAAGGCAGGACAGGAGGCTCAGGGATGAAGCGTGTCCTCTGCCTGTGTGACCCTGGGCTGCTCCCTAAACACTCTGACCTCAGTTTCCCCTAACTGTACAATGGTGGCGGTGTGCCAGACTGCGTGGGAGTTTATTACAACTCAAGCACTTAGGAGCCACTCAAGTTCCAAGGCACTAACAACGCCCACTCATCAGGCCATGGCAGAGCCTTCCATGCCCACAGTGACTGCAGGGCACCCTTGATCCTCTCTGACCTACTGCCAGGGGAATAGAAAGGTTGAGCTGGTTCAAGGGCCAATCTCAGAGCCCCGGACCCTAGACCCAGTGAGGCTCCTCCTTCCAGGACCTAAGCTTCAGGGATGATGAGGATCAAAGATGAATGCTGTCTGTTCTGGGATAG
Source organism: Homo sapiens (assembly GCF_000001405.40). Classification (NCBI taxonomy): domain Eukaryota; kingdom Metazoa; phylum Chordata; class Mammalia; order Primates; family Hominidae; genus Homo; species Homo sapiens. The sequence goes on along the minus strand of NC_000005.10, from coordinate 150,629,983 downwards.
GTGGCTTGCTTTTTCTGAGCCCCTGGCACTCCATCTAGTGTGGGAGAGACCATGTTGCGAAGAAGTTAAGCACACAGTTTTTGGGGCCAGACTGCCTGTGTTTGAATCTAGCCACTTACCAGGTGTGCGACCTTGGAAGCTCACTTAACCAACTTCTCTGTGCCTCAGTTTCCCATCTGCAAAATGCTAATAACAGTACTCACCTCATGGAGTTGTTGATGCGTAAAGAACTTAAAGCACCCATGGTACATAGTAAATAACAGTAAACAATCATTTTTCAAGAACTGTGGCTTTTATCTTTCAAGCACTCTTAGACTCTAAGAGATTTTATTCTGGAGGATTACACGCAAGGGTCTCAGGTTAGCCCACTCTCCTGTCCCAGGGGCTCATCCAGCCTGCCCCTTCCTTGACCCTTGACACCATGGTGTCAGCCCCTCCTGCTAGCCCCATGTTCTTGGTGACAAGCCAGTAAGGAGCTTTGTCACACCCATGATCCCCTCAGATCCTTACTAGCCCATATCTCAGCAGTCAGAAGTGAAGCCTGAGGCCCAGAGGAAGCAAATGATTTGCCCAAGACCACCAGCCAGTCAGCTAAGAGCGGAGGTTCGAGCATCCGTTCCTGAAGCTCAGTCCAGGCATTTTCCGCTGTGCTTGTGCCTATTCTCCCACCATCAAAACCTGTTCCTAGGCCGGGCATGGTGACTCATGCCTGTAAGCCTGAGGCAGATGGATCACTTGAGCCCAGGAGTTCAAGACCAGTCTGGGCAACATAGCGAGACACTGTCTCTACTAAAAATACAAAAATTAGCCGGGCACGGTGGCACATCTCTGTAGTTCCAGCTACTTAGGAGGTGGGAGGATCACTTGAGCCCAGGAGGTCGAGGCGGCAGTGAGCCATAATCATGCCACTGCACCCCAGCCTGGGTGGCCGAGTCAGACTCTGTCTCAAACAAACAACCCAACCAAACAAACAAAAAAACCTGTTCCTGGCCAAACATCAAAAAGTAACTTATACTGAGATACAATTAGTCTTAAGCGAGAGCCCATCTCCTTAAGAACTTGCTATTTCTATTTTTTTGCTGGAGTCTCACTCCGTCTCCCAGGCTGGAGTGCAATGGCGCGATCTCGGCTCACTGCAACCTCTGCCTCCTGGGTTCAGGCGAGTCTCCTGCCTCAGCCTTCTGAGGAGCTGAGATTACAGGCATGCACCACCATTCCTGGTTAATTTTGTATTTTTAGTAGAGACGGGGTTTCACCATGTTGGCCAGGCTGGTCTCAAACCCCTGACCTCAGGTGATCCCCCTGCCTTGGCCTCCCAAAGTGCTGGGATTACAGGCGTGAGCCACCACACCTGACCGCTATTTTAACAGAGATCAAAACCTCACAATACCTAAATGGTAGCTCATTTTTTTTTAGCATTTATCATCATCTCATTTAATTTTCAGAACAACAGTATACAACAGGGTCTATTATTGTTTCTATTTTATAGATGAGGAAACAAAAACCCAGAGAGGTTACATAACATAGTTAAGATCTCCCAGCCAGCCAGGAAGGGAACCCAGAGGTCCAACCACAGAATCTGTGTATTAGCCACACATGAGGCATGCCTCCAAGAATTTAGGAGTAGACTGAATTTTGTTCCACCCGCAGCAACCCTGGGAGGCTGGACAGGGTAGGGTAGGGCAGGGTCTGCACAGTACTATACGACCCTGCCTCACCGAGTGGAAAAGCTGAAGCTAGGCTGGTGGAATTTCAGGCAGCAGCAGCCAGTTGGTAGATTTCATTCCAAACAGAGGGCTTGTGTAAGCCTTTGGAATTACAGGGCCTACAGGCTGCTTCCATGTTGACTCCTCCTCTGGCCACACTGGGTAGCAATTGAGCCCCAATATCCAGGGACAGTTCACAAAAGACTCTGACCACACACACACACACACACACACACACACAGAAACACACACACACAGAAACACACACACACACACACGACTAACTTAGCAGAGCCACTTTGCAGGCAGGCCCAGCCGCCCCTCTGACCAGATCTCAGGTGGAGCTCCTTTGGATCTGCAGTCTGAAGCCCCTGGGGATGCAACCAACACCCCCACCCTCCAGTCCCTGCCACTGGTCCCAGCCCCTAGCCCCAGAGCATGACCATCTTCTGGGAAACCTTTCCTCCCAACCAAATCCTCCCCCACCCCAGCTTCCCCATTCTTCCAGACTCCAGTTGCAGATACACCTTCCCCAGAAAGCCTTGAGCATTGCTTCAAATAAGATTCAGGTCTCTGTTCTGAAGTCACCTCTGAGAGAGGACTTTCCTAATCACCAACCCCCGGTAGCCCCCTAACTGCTCTCCATCTTAACAGCATGACTTATTTTTTTATGGCACTTTTACCTATCTGAAATTATCTTGATGATTTATTTGCTTCCTTTTTTCTTTTCTATCTCCCCAATTAAAATGCAAGTGCCTTGAGGGCAGGGGCCTGTCTGTCTTATTCACTACTGCAACCTCAGTGTCTAAGCACCCATCCCAACCCATTGCTAGCCAGGGACAGTGAGGCCCATAGAGAGAAAGGGATTTACCCAAGGTCACACAGTAAGTGAGTGGGCAGCAGAGGTTGGCCTAGCACTACAGCCCAGGGCACTTGGCCCATCTCCACCCTTCCCCAGTTGACCCTCAGCAGATCTATCCTGCTGCTGTCTCTTCACTACAATGGGGACCAGAGCCTGCAGGGCCTCACCAGTAGCACCCCCCTGTACTTCCCCGGGCCCACGGTGCCCTGATCTGGGCAGCCCTGCCTGCTTCCCCTCAGTCCCTCCCTTCCTGGCACCAGCAGCTCCGATGAGCTCATGTCTAGAAGCCTGGGAGCTGCCTTGAAGGAAAAGGTGCCTCCCAGGCCAGGCAGGGGCCCTGGAGGTGTGCTCAGCCTTGTGGGAGGGCAGCCCTGGCAGGTGGAAGGAGTGTGCTGACTCCTGCCCTGCCCACCTCCCAGAGCTGTGACGTGGGCTCAGGAAGACACATGTCAGCCCTGGAAATGGGCTGTGACTAGGGGTGGAGAGAAGATGGAAGAAGGTTCCTCCCATGCTTCTCCTCTCTCTCCAGGTGCTCCATGGACACTCATGTCGCCATTCACCTATTAAGGATGTGCTCTTTCCCAAGGAGAGGGAGCTCTGTTGCCTCCTTCCCACAGAATCACTCTGTGCAAACCTCTTCCCCTCCTTGGCCCCAGTCTCCCCAATTCTAAAATCGGATACTGGATAAAATGCCACGGAAGAACCTAGGGATGCACCAGGAACCACGCGCCTGAATGCCACAGGTTTGATTTGGTTGGTTTTTTTCCTACCTTAAGGGATGGGGAGTAGATAAGGGCAACAGCTGACTAGGGAGGGAAGGAGTTAAAGGCCTTATTTAGCCATGTAAATGCTGGTTCCAACCACAGCTTAATTTAGGTGTCAGTTGTGGGGTTGAGGGGAGCCGGCCCATGGCTTGCAAAGACGGGGCAGGCCTGGAAAGTGGGGGCTGCAAGCCAGAGTGGTAAACAACATTCCTGGGGGAAGTTTGAATATCAAGCTAGAGTGATCCTAGGCCATCCCCTTCGTACTGATGGAAAAACTGAGGACCAGAGAAGGGGAGGAACCAGACCAAGATCTCCTAAGGAGACAGAGGAAGGGGATGCCCCACCCAGCAAACAGGGTTTTTCAGCTCCCCGGGGGGTTTTCAACTCCCCTGAGGGATCTCATCTGCCTGCCTGAGACAATATGGCAAGTAGTGGGGGAGCACATCAGTTCCAGTTTGTGGCTGTGCCCCCCAACATGGAATGGGCCAGGCCTGGGCTTGGTGACAAGGCAGGCTGGCGCCAGTAAGGCTTCCAACCCCTTGCCCCAGTGTACCCTAGACCCCCATCAGCATCCAGTTTCACTTCCACTTTCTAATGGACAGGGGGTAGGGCACCCTCTGACTAGCCCTACAGCTACCACCAGCACTGCTGTCCACAGTGCAATTTCCCCCTCAGGGGCTACCCTGCCAAACCCTCTCACCGGAGGCCAAGAGAGCAAGGGTCTTGCTCCAAGATCACATAACAAGTTGGTTTATTCCAGTGCCACCTGCCATTCAGGACAGGGTGGGGGATGGGGGATGGGGCACATGCTGCTTCCCACTCAGCTCTTGTCCCTTCCAGACAACCTGGACCCCATGGACGGAGTTCCCTGGCACCTTCCGGAATACGCCCATAACTTGGGGTAATGGGGGGAGCAAAGGAGACCTTTTCCTGAGTCCTCAAAGAGGTCCTGCCAGGGCTCTGGACAGTGCCCCTGATTCCACAGCGCAGCGGTTAGAAAGGAGCCGAGCCCTCCACTAACTTCACCTCTGGGGCCTCTCTCTCACCTTGGCAAGGAGGGCAATTGCAAAGATGTTGTGAGGCGGGCAGCGCAGGACAGTTTCCCCTCTCCCTGTAGGCGCTGGGGAAAGGCCTGGATTTCTCCAGGTAGGGCTTGGGCTGGGTGGTCCCCAGGGTGTGACTGCTCTGGCATCCTGTGTGCCCCACCGGCACAGCCAGACCCCAGAGCCCGGTCGCCCCGCCCGCAGGGAGGAGTGAGGAGGCCCAGCACTGGCCGTTCCCGCTGCCCCCACGGCGCCCATGTTGGTCAATTCTGGGCAGAGCCCAACCCGCCTGGGTTATCCTGGGTCAAGTCGGTCCGACTTTTCCCAGAACGGGCTTGGGGAGACAGACTCTGGGCTGTTGCCCACCTGTAAGCCTGGGGCTGCCTCGCCCTGATCCGCTTGCGGGGAGGGGCGCAAGGGCTGGAGCCCCCACGCAGCCCAGGAGGGTAGCTTCCCGGCGTCAGGGCGTCCTCCCGCTCCTCAGCTGCTCGAAAGCCTCGATACCCCTCCAGCCCCCCACCTACAGATGGGGAAACTGAGGCCCAAAGTGTAGAAGCGACTTGGCCAAGGTCACCCCGCGTGCGAGGACTGGAGCCCAGATGTGCCACCTCCTCCTGGGCGGCGCCGGGAATAGCGCAGGTGGGAAGGGGCGAGGCTCGCGCGGTGCCCGCACCCCTGCCAGGCCAGCGCCCCTCACTCACCTCCAGCCGCTGCGCACGGTCCCCGAGCTCCCGGGCGCCGCCGCCTCGGCACACCTGGCCGCGTCCGTCAGCGCGCCCCGCCCCGAGGTCCCCGCCACCCCCGCCCCGCGCCAGGCCCAGGCTCCGCGCCCGACGCCCCCTCCTCGCCGCCGCCACCGCCACCGCCTAGCGGGCTGCTCCGGGACCCCGGGCTGGGAGCCGGGAGCGCTGGGCGGGCGGGCGGGCGGGTGAGCCGTGCTCCTGCTGCCTGCTCCCCGGGGCCCTAGCGCCGCCCCTCCCGCCCCGCCCCGCCCAGCCCTGGGGGTGCGACTCCCTCCTCCACCCGCTCAGCCTCCCATCTCCAGGCGGGGGCACCTCTCTTTCCTCTCGCTGTGCCTCACTCTCTGCTGCCTGGTTGTCTGTCTCTCCGTTTCCTTATCATTTTCTGTATCGCTAGGTCGGTCGGTCTGTCCTAAAATCCTCCTATCTCCTTCGGCTAGGAGGGAGACAGTTTCTTTGTGTCCCCTTTTCTTTTCTCTAACCCACCCACTACCCACTTTGAAATCTGCCTTTGTGATTCTGTCCCCATAACTGGTACCACCTCCCACCCTACCTCTTCCTGGCTCTCCTTTCAGACCTGGGTGCTCAGGCCCATCTTCCCCGCTATGTCTCAGCCCCAGTAACTAGAATAACTGTCTCTCTTGGTAGAACTTAGGCAAATGGGCACTGAGAAGGGTGACCATGTCCCCACCCACCTGCTGCCATCCCCTGACTTCACCAGTGGGTCAGCAACAAGGCAGGGTGCTGTATGGCAGCTCTGGGGCTCAGCTCCCCACCTTTCACTGAGCAAAATGCCATTCAGATTGAGCGTGCGAAGCCCCATGGCAGTGGCCATGTACATCAGAGTCACGTGGGATGCTGTTAAAAGTCCAGATACCCACATTCCAGCACCACTCCCATTGAGGGCACGAGCTGGTGGGCTTGGCACAGGACTGATGGCAAGTACCCTCCACAGCCCCAGCAATTTTGAAACAGAACCACGGTTGGAGAAATGCTGGTCTAGGTTTTCACCGAAGTTTCCCCGGGTTCCCCACCCCCTTGACCAGGGTGGTTCCACTTTCATCTGTCTTTTGCATCAAGAGTTGTGTGTTTAGATTTCTGCTAAAGGAAGTTAGGAATGTGCTAGCGTAAGCCCACCCCACACAAGGGCCTGTGAAACACAGACCTGCAGGTGGCCTGGGTTTGGGATGTCCCCTGTTCACACTGGGGAGACTCAGAATGCAGGAACCCTCCCTGGCAGTTCCCATTTCTCCTCCTGGCCTCATGGGCTTCAGAGAATTCCTCTGATCGTGTGGCTGCTCTGCTCTCATCATCTTGTACCCAGGGTAGAGGGCAGGTTGGGAGAGTGAGGGGTGGGGGTGGGATCCTGGGACCCCCACCAGGTTGGGGTATCGCTAACCCTGAGAGTGCCTGCTCTAGGGAAGTGGCTGCAGCCCAGCCTGTGGGAAACCAGGAAGCTGTGTGTGGGTGAGAGGAAAAGAGAGAGAGAGGCTAGGATTGCTGTGTGGGTGGTATGAAAGAGAAAGAGATGTGGAAAAGAAAGGAGAGAAAGTGATTCGGTCTGTACGTAGGTGTGTGACAGTGGGTGTGCAAGAGTGGCTAGGTCTGTAGGAGAGAATGTGTGAAAGATTTCAAAGTGTAGGTGTGTAGCAAAAGGAAATGGAGAAAAGAACATGCTTTTCACCTGTATCTATGAGAGGGAATATGTGTGTTTGTGTGAGAAAGTGTGCCTATGTCTGCTTATATGTTTTCAGATGCAACTGCAGCTCTGTAAGCAAATCTGAGACGTGTTCACATGTGGCAGCTGTGCATGGGTGAGGGGGCCTTCAGGAAGGTATGTGCCAGTGTGTACCCCATGCATGGATGTGTGTCTGAGGGCCTCCATGTGTGTGCAGTTGTGTGAGTGCATATGTGTGATGGTTTGCATGAGAACATGGCATCTATACATCATGTGTAGATACATGTGTGTTTACGGATGGATGTGAAAGCATGTATGTGTGAGTGCATGGTGAGGTGTATGTGAACCTGTGAGCAGTGCTCCTCACCATCACCCTCCTGTTACAATCACTGTGGAGCAGGGGAGTGGAGGGGGAGTAGGCAGCTTCCTGCCCAGGCTCCTGCTCCATCTGCCCTCTCTGTCACAGCCTGAGGAGCAGGAGCCTTGTTCTGGGCCCAGTGACCACTGTCAGCTGTTAACACGCACACAGGTCCCTCTGCCTGAACAAAACAGACATGTCCAGTGGCAGGACTCATCTGACAACACAGACCCACACCCCTCCCCACCCCAGAGGCTCAGAACAGTGTCCACTAGAGTTGGAAGTGGCTCTAAATCTGCTACACACCTCCAGCCTCCAATAACAAGTGGCCACCAGCAAAGGCAGGGAGGCATCAGCGGTGAGTACCCAGGTTTCCCCCAGAGCATCCGAGTGGGAGGGAATTTGGCTTGGCAAAATCTTCCAACAACTCCCAGAGCCTGAACAACCTTTTCCCAGCCCCAGGTGGGTGGAAGAACACAGCCTGCTGCCTCATCACCATGGAGACAGGCAGTAGAGAGGGTGGTTAAAAGCATGGGCCCAGACCTCCTGGGGTTCAAATCTCAGCTCCTCCACCCACAGGCTGTGAGACTTTGACAATTCACTTAAATTCCTTATGCCTTAGTTTCCTCATCTGTAAAACAGAGATAAGAAAAGTATGAACTTCACAGGATTGTTTATAGGATTAAATACTCCATATGGCGCATTTAGCACAGTGCTGGGCAGCTGAACTGGGAGGCATAAGCCCTGGGTTCCAGCCCTAGCTTTGCCACCAACTTACTGTGTGAGTTTGGACAAGTCACTTGCCATCTCTGGCACTCAGAGTCTCCATCTGCACAACAATCTCAAGAAACGCTACCAGTTATGACCAGCTGAGACTTTGGGGAGGGCAGCTTAGCATGGGGCTGTCTTGGTGAGCTGGGGGCCCTAGTGTTGGCTGAGGCCTGATCATGAGCTCTACACTACCCTTTCCTCCCCAGATCTATTTTCCCAAATTGGCAGCAGCTGATGGCATCTCTCTGTACCCTCTATCCCTCTAGCCTGCCCACAGGGCCCTGTGTTGCCCTGCTCAGCTGGTACTCAGGCCTTGGAGAAATGGCACTGGTACCCACTGACCCCAAACAAAGGTATCTGCAGTGCCCAAAGCAGAAGATATAGTGGCTCATACTTAAACCTGCCTGTGAGCCCTCTAGAGAGGCAGGTACAATTGCGGAAGGATGGATGTAATTGTTTGAAGATGCTCATAATCCTTCGGCGGTAATGGCAGGAAGCTTTAAAATGAAGCCCTAATCCGCTAATAACCTGGCAGCCCCACAGCCTTCTTCCCTCCTGATCTCCAGGAAGGGAGAAGGAACTCTAGCCACTCCCTTTCCCAAGGGAGCAGAAAGGCAAGTGTGGGCTCTGACCCAAGACCACCGGATTTTGACTCTCCTGCAAGACCCAGCTTCCTTCCTGCCTCCATCTCCAAGAAGTCTTCCCTGCCCATTTCATCCTTCTGAAGTCTTTTCTGCCCCCTCTGTCCCTAGAAATATTCTAGGACAGAACTGGATGACAGACTGGCTGGACAGTAAAGAAAGGAATGAGGCCTGGTGCGGTGGCTCACGCCTATAATCCCAGCACTTTGGGAGGCCGAGGCAGGCAGACCGCCTGAGGTTAGGAGTTCGAGGCCAGCCTGGCCAACATGGTGAAATCCCATCTCTACTAAAAATACAAAAATTAGCTGGGCATGGTGGCGGGCACCTGTAATCCCAGCTACTTGGGAGGCTGAGGCAGGAGAATTGCTTGAACCCGGTAGGCGGAGGTCGCAATGAGCCGAGATCATGCCACTGCACTCCAGCCTGGGCGACAGAGCAAAATACCATCTCAAAAAAAAAAAAAAAGAAAAGAAAAGAAAGAAAGAAAGAAAGAAAGAAAGAAAGAAAGAAAGAAAGAAAGAGAAAAAAAGAAAAAAAGAAAAAGAAAGGAATGAACCATACTGTTCCAGGCAAGAACACAATCATAGTCTCAGCTCTGGCACTAGCTGTGTGACCTTGGGTAGGGGACTTAAATCTCTGAGCCTCAGTTGCCTCACCTGTAAAATGGGGAGAATAATACCTGCCTGCCTTGAGAGTACAATAACAAGAGTGAGATGCTATCAAATGAACTGGCTTGGTGTGACTTGCCAACAGAGTTCATTAAAGGTAGTGCCTTCTTCTGTCCTCTCCATCCATGGGCTCTTCCATTCCAAGATGTCCGCAGACAACACTTTACTCCTATAATTCCAGAAGACAGTGGTGGCCAAGAGCACAAGCCTCGTGTTCAAAAAACCATGACTGGATCATGGCTTAGCAGCTTGCTAGTCATGCATCTTGGATAAGTCACATATATTTCCTGAGCCTCTATATTCTCATCTGTATAATGAAAATAATAAAAGTATGTCCCTCATGGGGATTGCTACGAGGTTAAATGAAATGAAAAGGGTAAAGCTCTTGGCACAGGGCTTAGCACATAAAGGCTTCTAACAAATAATAGCAGTCCTATTGTTGAGCTGATGATGGTCATTTCAATTAGGTATAAACGTTTCTTACATACCTATCTAGATTACTCTAAAATTTCCAAAACACTGCCACAACTAAGATCATTGCAACCTCCTAACAGCTCTTTGAGGTAGATAAGACTCATATTTTTATTTTATTTTCACAGAGGAGGAAAGTAGAGCTCACCAAGGGGAAGGGATTTGCTAGGGCTTGGCTAGTCGGCAACATCCAGTCTAGAAAGCATCTATGTCTCCTGACCCCAGCCTGGGCCCGTGAGAGGGATGGGAGCAGGTCCTGGGAACTTCAGACTGTAGGAGACTGAATTTGGGCGGACTCTGGTGTGAGGGCCCACCTCCAAGTTCAAGACTGCAGTGCCTCCCTGGGGTCCTCCTTCTTCCTGCCCTAGAGGGATTAAAGGTCCTTTCTTGCTCCTGCCCAGCCCCCTGTGTGACCCCAGCCTGGTAGACAATGGTGGCCATGGGGGGTGATCAGAGCCTGGAGAGAATTATTTCAGAGAGAAGAGTGGGCGGGAAGGCTGGTGAGATGCCAGCCGGGCGTCAACGACGCCTGCAGAGAAATGAAGTGTTCCTTCAGTTTCCTGACGCACAAGCCCTCCCGGGACTGTGTCCCCCGCATGCCCTGCACCCCCGGGATCTACTGGCTGCGGCTCCTGCTTGAGCTGAGCATGGCCCTGCTCACGTCCTCCCCATCTGGACCCACTTCAGCGTTTCCATGGGCTGGCTGTGGAGGTGATTCAGCGTGGGCTTCCCTGTCCCGCCCTGCTCTGCAGACAGCAGCCGCTGCAGGAAAATTATCATCATTCCTGCCCTTCCTTCCTTCCGTGCCGCGCACACTGTGCTCTCCCCACACGCTGTCATGGGATCTCACTGCAGCCTAGGTGGTGTTCTATCTGCCCTTGTCACCTCTAACAAATGAAAAACCAAGGCCTAGGCGAGGAACGTGGGCCTAGCTCAGCCACTACTAACACGCTGAGTGACCTCTAGCTGTCTTTTTCCTCACTCTGAGTCTCAGTTTCCCCACCTGTAAAATTGGGGGGTCAAATTCTATCAAAGGCTTCAGTCTCTACCTCCCAAGCTCCATGAGGTCAGCAACCACATCCGTTTGGTCCAGTGCCGCGTCCCCAGCACCCCCACGTAGCCAGCACTCAATCCATTTAATGAGAGGGTTCTGCCCCATCGGTTGCTTGGGACACCGCAGTGATTTGTTGCCGCTAATGATTAAAAGGCAGACGAGAGTGGGAAATGGGCATTTTTTTTTTTTTTAGCCAAGCAAGATAATGTGGCTTTCTCTCACTGCCTTCTCACGTGCCCTCTTTGGCAGAGAAAGGAGTGGGGTTAGATGTGGTGCAGCTGGAACTGCACGTAGCTCGCTGTCGCTCCTATCTCTCCACAGCTGTTAATCTGGGCATGCCCATGGGACTGTGATGAATTACTGTGGATCATGGAAAAATATGGTCAGGAGCCCTTGTACTAAGGACCTGGGGGGTCTCCAGTGACTCTGGTAGTCCAAGGGAAAAGGAACACAAGCTTACCTGGTTTCTGGGCCACTCTGGGCCCAGGGCCAGGGCTGGGGCTGGCTGTCATCATCTGCCCGGCCTTCACTACATCCCAGTCCTGGCTGGCCCTGTCGTCGTGCTGGGACGCCCCTTGTTCCTCTCTGGAGCAGCTGGGTGGTTGGATGCCCAGGGCTTTGGGCAGCTGCGGTGTCCCCTGGGTGACTCTGCAGGCAGAGTCGTCCCCACTCCTGCTGACCCCCTCATCCTCTTCCAGGTCGGTAGGCCCCACCTCTCCCTGCAGGCCCTCCTCACCGCTGCTCTCCTCGGCTTCCAGAGCCAGACACCTGTAGCTTCCATCAGGGATCTGGAAGGCGCAGGGGGTAGGCCTCCCTTCGCTGGGTGCAAGGGGCGGAGGTGGGAGGTGAGGACCCAGCATGGTGCTGTTCTTCCTCAGCGATGCAGGGAAGCAGGCTCCTGGGCCTGGGCCAGGGCCTGGGCTGGGGCCAGCTGTGTGAGCCCTGGTCTCTGCTCCTTACACAGCCTCCTCTGACTCTCTGCACTTTTGCCTTCCTCCGCTGATTCACAGAATTGGGGTGAGGTCTGGCTGAGACGAAAGATAAGTCCTTCCTGGGCTAGTGGAGTGGTGGACCTCCAATCCCTCTTCTTAACCCGTCTCTGGTGTGAGGCCGCTTTGGGGCAATCTATCGGCATAGGGAAGAAAGAAACAGCACATGAGAAAGCTCGCTTGGGGTTCCAGGCTGAATTTCTGAAGCCTGTTCCTCTTCAGGTGACCCTGAGAACTGGTCGGCATTTGGGGTGCAGGTTCCACACTTCCATAGGGAAGTGTTTCGAAAGCTCCAGTCATTTAACATCCTGGATTTTCACCACATCCTCATGCTACCTGAAACTTTATCTAATATTTTTCCATTAATCAACTTGAAATCACTTACTTCTATTACTTTAGAATTATCTTAAGCAATATTTGCAGAGAAACCACAAGTATATTGTGCTCAGTCCTTTTCCCCCAATGCACATTAAATAAATATCTAGTTATTTAACAACACGTATCTAGACACCACCTAGAAAGAATTCACTCATATCCCAGCAAAGGTACCTACACCACAGGAATCACAGGAGTGGTGTGACCTAAGATGCAAACTGGGGATAGGAGCCCTTGGAGGAGATTGTGCAACAAGAAACACTGTGCAGTCCGGGGGTGGTGGCTCATGCCTGTAATCCTAGCACTTTGGCAGGCCGAGGCGGGTGGATCACCTGAGGTCAAGAGTTCAAGACCAGCCTGGCCAACATGGTGAAACGCTGTCTCTACTAAAAATACAAAAATTAGCTGGGCGTAGTGGTAGGCACCTGTAATCCCAGCTACTTGGGAGGCTGAGGCAGGAGAATCGCTTGAATCCAGGAGGTGGAGGTTGCAGTGAACCGAGATCGCCCCATTGCACTCCAGCCTGGGCAACAGAGCAGAAACTCAGCCAAAAAAAACAAAAGAAGATGGTGCAGTGGTGTGCTTTCAGTTTCTGTGCCCAGGCTTGCAGTTAGAATCCTAGCTCTGCCATTTGTGTGACGATCAACAAGCCAGCCACAGGACCTCTCTAAACCTCCACTTCCCCGTCTGTAAAATGGGTATTGTAATATTTCTAACTTCGCATTGCATTGAGGATTACATGAAAAAATGCACGCAGAGGACTCAGCACAGTTTCTAAGCCATACCTTAATACATGTTGGCTGTTCTTTCATTCCACAAAAATTTCTTAGGATCCTATTATTTTTCAGACATCATAAAAAGTACTGGGGATATAGCAGAGGGATAAAGAAGCCTTAAAATGTGGTGAGGAGAGCTGTGAATGATAGCAGGAACAACAATAATCATTGTATGATTATTTATATAAATGTTAAGAATGATGATAATCCAAGCAAGAGGGAATGGAGGCTTTCTGTAAGGGGTGGTGAGGAGGGGGTAGATGGGAGAGATACTTGGGTGGAAGAACTGGCTGGGCTTGGAGGCAGATGGAGAGTGGGTGTGGAGAAGAGGGAGGAGCCTAGGATGCAGCCCAGGTTCCTAGCTCTGGTGACAGAGATTTTGTTAATAGAGATCAGGAATAAATGAGAAGGAGCAGCTGTTTAGTGGAGCAGGGAGATGAGTTAGGTTTTGGATTTCCAGGGGAGATGAGCAGTGGGCGGTTCCACATAGGGGTCTAGAGAACAGGGGAGAATTCCAGGCTGGGGACAAATATCTAGAAATCATTTGTGGAGGCAAAGGGTGGAGATGGGTGAGATGCCCAGGATGGGCAGGTAGTGCGTAAGACAGAGCAGATGGCCAATTACACTTGGGAGGAAACCCTAGAATCAAGGGATCTTGCTTAAAGACTGGATTCCGCTGCTACTTAGCTGTGTGAACTCAGGCAAGTGTGAACTCTCTTACTCTCACTTATCCTACTGCAAAATGGGGAGCAGTGAGAATCCTGAAAATTGTGAGAGTCTGTGGACATGAGTGACCTGAGGACCTGGACTGACCTCAGCTGCTGTGGTCACGCCTCCGCCCCCAAGCAGGGGTCAGGCACCTCCCACTGCAGCAGGCTGGGTCAAGGTCTTGGTTTCTGGCTGGGACTGTGCCAGGAGAGTCTGGCAGGCAGGCAGAGAGATAAGCGCATTACCAAGCCCCAGGGAAAATCAGAGCCAACCAGGGGAAAGGCAAACAACCATCCGGATCAGAAAGATAACCAGGCACCTGTTATAGCAGCCTCAGTGGCAGGGAAATCAGGAGAAAGAAGCCCACCTTCTGCCCCCCGGGGAAGAACAGAAGCACCTCTTCTATCTTGGGTCATTCACTTAGGTTATTGCCGTAATTTCTCACATCAACCCTATGAGAGAATTACCTTATTATTATCCCATTTCAGAGGTGAGGAAATTGAGGCTCAGATAGGTGAAGTGACTTCTTGCCTAAGGCACACAGCTAATAAGTGGCCAGGCTGGGATTCCAACCTAGCTCTGACACCTTGACCATGATGGTGGATTCAGAGACATGGAGGAGAGGCTCCAGGCCCTCATTCATCTCCAGGTGCTTTCTCACTCACCAGCTGCTGCCAGATTTCTGCCATTTGAGTTTCAAAGAATCTTAGAATCTCACAAAGGCCAGCAGCACTCAGAAGAGACAGGACTGTGAACTGGGGCAGGTGCTTTTCGCACTCTGTAGTCAGATTCCCGGAGGACACCATGGTGAGACTGAGCCAGATGATGCTGGAGGATCCGTCCAACTGTGGCATTGCAGGATCCCCTGATTCTAAGCACTTGGATACCCACCTCCGTCATCCCCCCACCGTAGAGCCAGATGGCCGGAGGCAGAAGGAGTGGGCGTGGGGAGGGGGCAGGGCTCCTCTGACTCCCCGCAGGGGCCTCGCCTCACTCTATCCCTGCTTCTGTTTTGATGTATTTGACGGTGGCCACGGTTTCCAGGAAAGAAGAGAGAGGCGGAAAAGTTAACTTTCCGCCACCCACACAAATATTTTTGGCCGGCGTTGTCTTCACGCTGCCAAGCCAGGAGGGAGGAGTTGGCAGGAGCACTCCAATTCAAGGTTCCCTCCCAAGGAGGAAGGAGGACTCCCAACCCAGTCGGGGAGCTTGGGCAGGCCCTATGCAAGCCTGAGCCCCACAGCACCCACCTCTGTGCAGGAGCTGTGGGGGTCGGGACCCGAAACAATAATAGCAGCTGCCACTAACTGAGCACCTGCTAGGTGCTGAACCCAGCCCTTTACCTGACACTCCTGCTGTGTCAGTGCAGTCTATACAGGAGGAAACTGAGGCACGGAGAGGTAAGTACTGTGTTCAGAGTCACACGGGTGGGAAATGGCAAAGCAGGATGTGAATGGAGGCAGCCAAGGTCTGTGCTTGTACTCACTGCTCTCAGCAGCTGCAGACTCCAGGGACCCCCACAGCTCCTGGGGTTGCTGGACTCAGCCATCGCTCAGATGGCCAACCCATCCATGAGGGCGGATCTCCTCTGTGGGTAGGAGAGCACCTGCTGCAGACTCCACAGACATGGGAGGGAGTCCTACCAACTTCTAATTCCATTTCCCCCAGATTCATGACCCTCATCTGGACACAAGCTCTAAAATACTTGAGCCTTGGCAGAAATGGCTGATAGAGTCCACAGAACACGCTGTCCTCATCTCAGAGAGGAGAACTCTGAACCCAGAGGGGAAGGATTTACCTGCAGTTGTATGGCAAGCCAGAGGTAGGCGCTGCACTGGAACGCAGGTACCCAGACCCTTAGACTCTAGCTCCTCACATAAGCCCTGCTCCCTCTGAGGGGTCAGCCTCCCCTTCTCCCTCCCCTTCACCTCTGCATGAGTCCAAGCAGGGGCCCCCAGGACCAGAGGACCGGCTGAGCGTCAGGTGCTCCACAGTCTGAGGGCCGGCCAAGACACCCCAGGGCTCCAACTGTTGGCTTCTGCAATGGCCTTGGGGCCCTGGCATCCCTTCTGCTGCTGTGTGTGTGGTGGGGGAAGGGCACTGGCTTTGGCATCAGGTCTGGGTTGGAATTCTCACCCAGTGGCTGCCTGACCCTGGACATGTCTCTTATCTTTCTGAGCTTCACTTTTACTGCCTGCAAAACAAGGCTTAAAACACGATCCACTTCCCAGGGTGTTTGTAGGGATTAATAGAGAAAATATAGGCTTATTCCTTCACCCAGTGGGGAATGAGGAAGCATTGCTGTGTGCTGCTCACCTGCTGGGCTCTACAGACGCTTGGTGAGCCTGGCATTCGGGGCCCCAAGTGCTTGGTGTGCACAGACTGCAATGATTATAAGGCACAGTCCAGCCTCCTTCTGATTCCCCATCATCTGCAGGGTCCCCATGGGTCAAAAGAGCCTCCCTTGTAAGCTGTAGAAGAAGGGAAAGGGAGTGAGGGGTGCTGAGCATTAGGGCTTAAGTAGGTGCATTGCAGAAGTCAGGGCATGGGGTCCTTGTTTCGACTCTTCCATTGCCTCACTGAGTCAGGCTGGGGAAATCACAAGATCTAATTTTATAGGTGGAAGGCTATAGGGCGGAGAAGGGAGAAGCAGCCCAGGAAGACTAGACCCTCATTCCTCCAAAGGCCCCACTGCCCATGGCTCTCTACCTGACCTCCCCACCTGCTGTCTCTTCCTGTTTCCATCCTATAGAAAGTCTGATCCATTGTCCTAGAGTGTGGCTCTGACTGTGTTGCTCACCTGCTCAAGAGCATTCCATGGCTCCTCATTGCTCACAGATAAAGCAACACTGCAAATGCAGGCTCAAAGCCAAATCTTATGATTCTTGGCTGAGGGGAGTGAGGAAAGGTTTCCTGGGGTAAAGATCATCCATCAAGGCCCAGTGAAGGCAAGAAGGCAGGACCACTGGGGATGACTCTGAAGAACGAGGCGGGCTTGGATAGGCTGAGGTTAGGGCATGTATGGAAGGGCTGAGAAGATGGCCAGTTTGTGACAGCCTTTGGTTGCCTAGGCTCTCTCCTGCTGGCTGGAGAGACAAAGTAGGGGGGTGGGCAGCCCTACACGGTTGGGGGAAATGACTGCAAGGCCCAGCTCTGTAGGTTTGGGTTGGAGGCAACATGGCCAGACCAGCAGGCATGGGACTGAAAAAAGGGCTGGCTGGCAGGCAGAGGTCCCAGCAAGAGGAGAATTTTGGAGCAATTTCTTCAGCAGCTGGCACAGGTCCAGGCACATAAAGCAACAGGCCAGGACCAGTGGCTCATGCCTGTAATCTCAGCACTTTGGGAGGCAAAGGTGAGATGATCACCTGAGCCCAGGAGTTTGAGACCAGCCTGAGCAACATAGTGAGACCCCCGTCTCTACAAAACATTAAATATTAGCCAGGCATTGTGGCACACACCTGTACTCCCAGCTACTTGAAAGGCTGAGCTGGAGGAGTGCTTGAGCCCAGGAGGTCAAGGCTGCAGTGAGCCATGATTGTGCCACTGCACTCCAGCCTGGGTGACAGAGTGAGACCCTGTCTCAGAAAAAAGAAAAAAGAAAAGAAGAACAAAACACAAAACCAGTAACAATGATAATAGCTGATGTATATGGAGTGTTTACTCTGTCAGGTGCTATTCAGACACTTCATTTGCAGCAGCTCATTTGATCCTCATCACACCCTATAAGGAAGGTGCTATTATTATCCCCATTGTGCAGATAAGGAAATGGAGCTGCGATGACTTGCCAAGCTCACACAGCTAGTGAGCGATTGAGTCAAGGTTCACATCCTGATGGTCTAGCTCCAAATGTCACTCTTATCCATAAGGCTGTACTTTCTCAATGGTATAAGTAGTTGCTGAGCGAAAGAATGAAAAGATGAACGAATGAAAGAGAGGAATGGGAAATGGAAGGATGGGAGGGAGGAAGGAGCTTCTCTCTGATGTCTGGTACATTGCCTGGCATATTGTAGATGCGTAATATATATCAAATGAAACAATACATGTGGGGTGGCCAGGAGATTGACTGTAGGTGTAACCTAGGAGCAAAACGGAGGCATCCTGAGGAAAAGGTGACTCTGAACGGGTTCAGATGGCTCAGGTGCACCTGCCCACCAGATTCCTGTCTGGAAGCACCCTCAGCACCAGTCTAGGGTAGGGGAACTGTCTGGTCTATCCAGAGCTAAGTTCTCCCTGACAACAGGAAGAAAGCTTTTGTTGTCCTTGCGAACCTGACCTATGTTCCTGCCTTAGTGTTTCTCTCCCAAAGAGGGGATGAGATCCAAGGTTGGGGGTTTCTTCCTCATGGCTCCAAAGGCGGGGAATTCCAAGCCCTTCCAACCTCCAGAGCTAGTAAGCATGAGAAACCCCAGCATTTTCCATTACCTTGCTCTGCATTCTTGGAAGAATCACTTTCTTTTACCAGGCCTCAGTTTCTCCAGCTGAGAAAGGCCTTGAGCAAAGTGGTTAGTGGGAGCGGTAGCAGCAAGGTTGCTGCTACACCTGAATTCTCCTTGGCCTTGCCCATTTCCAGTGTTTTCCAGTTGGGGTAGTCAGTCCCAGAGGGATGTCCACCATGATCCCACGGTCCCGATCCCTTCTTCTAGTCCTTCAGGACAGACTGACCAATCTTGGCATCCTTCCTCCCTTCCTCAGCGGCCATCAGTATCAACCATCCCAACCGCCCAGCCTACTCTGACCCCTTCTCCTTCCTCCCTAGTCCTCCCTCCATTTCTGCCCACCTCCTGGGGCAGAAGGGACCAGTGTTGGATGGGCATGAGGTGGAGCTGGGGGGAGCCCCAGGAGCCATAGGAAACCAGCCCTTGGCACGAGGTAGTGGTGAGAGGTTGGGAAGAACTTCCAGCTGGGCACACTGGGTGGTCTCAGGAGAGATAAGGCTTCAGTTCAGCCTCAGAATAGTGGGTAACTTCAGATGAGTCCCTGCATCTTACTGAATTTCAGGTGCCCTCCTGGTAGAATGGAGACTCAGTCATTCATTTACTCATTTGTTCACTCAATGCATATTCACAGAACGCCTGCTAAGTGCCATCACTATTTTAAGTGCTGGCAGTACACAGTGAACAAAAGAGAAAGAAACTCTGCCCACGTGAAGCTCACATGTTAGCTGGGGTGGACAGATAAATAAATAAGAAAGTATGTCAGATGGTGTTAAATACGATGGAAAAATAAGCCAGAAAGGCGGCCTGGGAGTGCTACGTGTCATTAAGATAAAGAAACTGCTATGAACATAACAAATCTTAACAGATGCCATTCCGTGTTTTGTATAGCATATGCATTTCAAGTTCACTATTATGTTAAATCCTCATATGCAATTATAAAAAAAACACAAACCAACATTAGGTGACAAACTTAGAAACATAAGCCCTACAAACCCTTGGGAGACATATTTCTTAGGCTAATATTCTGATTATTCAATTGTTCACCATTTTAGAACCTTCCTATTCCATTCTGAATATGTCTACTATTTAGAAATGAGTATTTTTTGTAATCTTGTATATAAAAAATAAGATTTCATATGTTAGCATTCTTTTTTTGGAACATTCTTTTCCAAGTTCGTTATTGGTAGAGCATCTCCTCACTGTAAAACACATGATATGCAATGAGTTTGAGGACAATAATAATGATATCATATTGCTGTGAGGATTAAATAAGGTAACCTGTGTACATGCTCAATAGAAACAGCTGTTGTTATTATAATTATTGTTTTTGTGAAGTGGTGACTGAGGGCATTACAAGAGCTACCACGTATTGAATATTGAGCATGTGCTGGGCACTGTATCAATCTTGTTTCTTGTTTCTTCCTCACAATAACATTATGAGGCAGGCACCTACTGTTATCCCTCAGTTAACAGATTGAGGAAGCAGAGGCTCACAGAGGGTGAGTCTGTGCCCATGATCCCAGAGCAGGAAAATGACCAAGCTGGAACCTGACCGGTGTCTGTGGCCTGGCGTGGTCACTGGAGGTTTTCTGAGGGTCTGGGGAGAGGCCATTTCACACAGCACAGAGTCCTTTGTTCTGGCTCTGGCTCTGCCGTGCCTGTGACTGTGGCCACATGCCTCCACTCTTGGGCTTTGGTGACCTCCCTGCACAATGACAAGCCTGGGCCTGGGGTCTCAAAATGCTCTTCCAGCTTTAGACTGCCTGTGGAACTCAGCACCCAGGATGCTGGGGCACTCAAGCCTGTTCCAAGTGGACTCACTGAAGCCAGCCTGCTCACAGAACCAGCCAAGTCCCCAGTACGTCACATCTATTTCTGCCCTGCTGGGTTTATAAATACATGGGCCAGGGAACCAGCTTCAGAGGAACTGGGGAGACTGAAGTCATGGCTATAAATACGGGGCTGAGACTGGCTGAGGTCAGGCAGGGGTGTGGCAGGGCAGAGGCCACTCTGCACAAAGTCCAGTCTCCCTTGGCCACACCAGAAAATGGGGGCTCAGATGGGGAGGGACTTGCCCAAGGCTACGCAGTCAGCAGATGGGGAGAGGGCTGGCACACAGGGCCCTGGCTCTGAGACTGCTCCACACTGCCCCCCCCCGCCACATTCACAGTGCCCCCTCACCCTGTCCCCCAGTTTAAACAAGAGACTGAGACGGATACTATGATTTCGGTTTCTATAGTAAACTTATGCTGATAACATACTGCTTTTTATCTGTTGCATACATTGGGGCTCCCAAATATTGCATTGCAGAAAGGGTTCAAGGACTAAAAATTCAGAAAATGCCTAACCAGCCAGGCATGATGGCTCACGCCGATAATCCCAGCATTTTGGGAGGGCGAGGTGGGCAGATCACCTGAGGTCAGGAGTTCGAGACCAGCCTGGCCAACATGGTGAAACCCCATTTCTACTAAAAATACAAAAATTAGCTGGGCGTGGTGGTGCATGCCTGTAATCCCAGCTACTCGGGAGGCTGAGGCAGGAGAATTGCTTGAACCCGGCAGGTGGAGGTTGCAGTGAGCCGAGATAGAGCCATTGCACTCCAGCCTGGGCGACAAGAGTGAAACTCCATCTCAAAAAATTAAAAAAATTAAAAATAAAAATAGAAAATGCTTAACCATGCCTACCAAATGGGATCCCTTCTTCTCCATGCCAAGTGGCCCAGCTGTGTGCTGAAGCCAGCCACACTGTCTCAACAGCCAATGCACCCTTTCCCAGCTCTGCATTCAGGGACATTGTCAATGGCTTAAAATGGGCCACGGTGGGAGTAGTTACACCACAGAAACTGGCAGGTGCTACAAATCAAAGCTTTTTTTTCTCCAGAGAGCAAGTTGTTAGACATTTATCCACACACCGCTGGTTAAAACCATGACTAGTGAATCCCTATCATACCCATTTCCTGACTGTCTGAACTTGCCCCGGTTACTTTACTTCTGTGAGCCTCCAATCTTTCATCTGTGGAGTGGGAACCCTAACCACGCCTGCATCATAGCAACTGTGAGGGCTACCGGAGCTGGTGCCCCTAAGGGTTAGCATGGCAATTCCCAAACTTGTCCACCTCATCAGAATCACCTGAGGATCTTTTATACATTCCAAAGCTCTGGCCACACCCCAGACAAATTAAATCACAGCTTCTGGGGGTAGGACCTGGGATCAGCGTATTTTGAAGCTTCGCAGGTTGTTCCTATGCGCAGGTAGGTTTGGGAACCCTCACTCTTTGCAAGCACTATGTAGATGCCCAGAGATCATACAGGGATGGGGAAAGTGCAGACCCCACATCACTGCTCCATTGTTTAACTCCTGGGGTTTCAGGAAAAAAAAAATGTATTAAAAATAGTGGGTTTTATTCATTTGTTTTTTCTGTTTAAAAGCCTAACCAGCCTAAAGAAACCATGGGAGGAGAGGCTCTTACCCTCTCCTTTGCAGATGTGGGCCCGGCTGCCTCACACTCCAGAGCAGATGGGCCACAGGCTTATAGGTCCCAAGGAAGCTTCACTTCATGTGGTACCCAGCTGGCCAGCCAGGAAGATGGAGGGGCTTCTGGCTGGCCTCTCTTCCTCTCCTAGAAAGTCATGCTGGCCCTTTTGGGTCCATGGGCCAAAGGTTCATGAAGGTGGCTCTGCCTGTGAGACATCAAGCTCCTGGGTTGAAGGACTTGGATTAAGAAGAGTGACATCAGTGCACAGTTTATGCCAAGGGCTTGGGGCCTCAGTCCAGCTTCTTCCTGGACCACCACCAACAACAACCAGTGATAAAAATAATTATACTAGTGGCTGACATTTATGGATTCTTCCTACACACTAGGCTATACCACAGCGAGTGCCTCGAAAGGAAATATAGTATAGCACTGTGCCGTCCAACATGGCGGCCACTAGCCACATGCACTACTGAGCACTTGAAATGTGGCTAGCCCACATTGAGATGTGCTGTAAATAAAGAATAGACACCAGATTTCCAAGACTTAGTACCAAAAAAAGAATGTAAAATTTCTCATTAACAAGTTTTTTTCTTACATTTATTACATGTTAACATGACGCTATTTGGAGTTTAAATAAATGCATTATTAAAATTGATTTCATGGGCTTCTTTTTTCCACCTTTTTTTTTTTAACTTTTTAGTGTACCTGCTAGATAATGTAATATTACATCTGTGCTCGCATTACGTTTCAGGGGACAGTGCTGGCATTGCAGTCAGGAGGGCTGGTCTCCACTGCCATACTCCAGCACTGCATTCTGCCACGTACCAGCTGTGAGACCTGGGTCAAGTTATATCACCCTCTGTTCCTCAGTTTCTTCATCTGTAAAACTAGAATAATAATAGTACCTACCTCTCATTTAAATGTGCTTGGCAAAGAAAGTCTTCAATAAAGATCAGCTATCCTGGCACCCCTTGGCATTGGGCTAAGTGATTCCTTGGGTTATTACGTGCCTCAATAGGTACTGAGCTCCGTGTCACTTGTGGTAAACAAGCAGAGAATGAGAAACTCCTCAGTAGAAATAAACTGACCCCAATATTACAGGAAACCCAGACCAGCACAGAGCATTGTAAGACCATAACCTCCTTCACTCTGGACATTCTACCTTTATTAATGCAGCCTAACATCAGATTTGCTTTTTTTTTCTTTCGACAGCTATGTTCCTATTACGCTTATGGCCCACAAAGACGTCACTAAATAACTGCTACTTTTATGCCATATCTCCCACATCCTGTACCTAGGCAGTTGGCATTTTGAGCCCAATGGAGGACCTGACACGTATTTAAGTTAGTTTGGCATCATGCTGACAAGGACTCTCAGTAAGGACTGGAGCCCAGACTCAAGTCTATCAAAAGATAATAACCCCCTCCCCCTCCCCCCAATGTAGGATGAAATAAAATAATGGAAGGGAAATATGTTTTGTCAACAGTTATCCAAGGCTACTATTAAATCCATTCAGGACACAGTTGTTGAGGCTGGATGAAGAACAAGTGTGAGGGCGTCAGATACTGGACAGGGAAGGGCTGGAGGATAGAAGTACAGGCTCAGGAGTTGGGGGCAGGTCAAGGAAAGGAAGACACTGAAAGAGGCGGCTGAGGGGCGCTCAGCCTAACTGTAGATTTGCTCGGTTGGCCAGCCCCTGTCACCTGCCTCTCCTCCTCACTGAAGCCTTGGCTCAGCACACACTCAGACGTTCAGCCCTGTTCCTTCCAACCCTTGTGACTGTGGGCAGGTCACTTTCCCTCCCTGGACCTGAGAAAAGGCAAAATCATGTTGCTGCTCCACAGGGCATGGCAATATTGGAGGTGAAAGTGCTGGTCCCCATGCCCGGCGCAGAGCAAGAGCCCAGTGCTCTGGGACAGTGTGGCAGCATGGTTCGGCAGCCGGCTCTGCACACAGGCAGCCTGCCTTGGAGAAGCCAAAAACGAACTGTGTGGCCTTGGGCAAGTGACTTCCCCTCTTCTCCATGTACAAATCAAGAATAATCACAGTGCCCACCTCACTGGGTGGTTGTGAGGATGAAACAATATAAGAGCTTAGAACAGAGCCTGACAGTGGCAGTGCCCAGTATACAGTAGGTATTACTGCAGTGAGGGGGTTGAGACTGTGTAAGTTGTTGGGGCAGAGGGGAGCAGGTTGAACCAGAAGTAGCTACAGAAACACGCCATCCCAGCATCTGTCCTCCAGCTTGGAGCTTCTTCTGCTGTGTGTCTGTGTGCGTGTCTGTGTCTATGTCTGTCTGTGTGTATATGTATTCATTGTGTATGTTTGTATGTGAATCTTGTGTTTATGTGGATATCTGCATGATATCTGCATGATATCCACGTGTGTGTATGTGTGCACATGTACGTGTCTGGGCGTGTATCTGTGTGTCTGTACGTGTTTCTATGTGGCATTTTGTATATATGTGTCTGTGTGTAATCTGTGTAATTGTGTTTCTTTGTGTGTATCTTTGTAACAGTGTGTAAGTGTGATGTATATGTGTCTCTGGGTACGTATGTATGCATCTGTGTGTGTCTATGTATATCTGTCTGTGTGTATTTGTGTGTCTGTGTGACTGTCGTGCGTTTGTGCCTATATTTATGTGTGTGTCTGTACGTGTCTCTGTGTATCAGTGTGTGCATATCTGTGTGTGTGTGTGTGTGTGTGTGTATGTGTGTGTGTGTGGTGGGGGTGGTTGGAGTCTGTCTGCAGAGCTGCTGGGAGTGGCCCAGGAGGTGGTCCAGCCAGACCAAACAACCCCAGTGAGCTTGCAGCTCCAGGCTTTTCTCCTGACTCTGTTTGCTTTCTTCCTCTCCTTTCCGGTCCCCTTTAACCCATTCCTGCTCCAGTGAAGCTGGGAAGGAGGCCCTGTCCGGGTAAGTACCAAGGGCCTCCCCTTCCCCTCTCCCCATAAGATTTCCTACCTTCTTGCCCCCACCCCTCCATCCCTGCCTTGTTGCCACATTGATCCCACAGAGGCCCCTTCCCTATCTGAGCCTCAATTTTCTGAGTTTCCTCATCTCTTTAAATATCCTTCAGGTATGAACCATCATACCATCCCTGCTATCAGTGACAAGGAAGAGTGCTAGTCCTGACCACCCGCCAACCTGGGAGACTCAGGGAGAACATTCCAAGAAGTGCTTTTGGTAGTGTTTATGGCAAGATTTGAGACCAGCCTCAGGGAGAGCCCCACCTGGGGCTCAGGGCCTCTGACCGTCCAACCTCACTACTCACAAAGGCCGTGGTCCCAACTTGGAACTGCAGGGACTATCAGAGGGGAGCAATTTGAGGAGCAAAGGCCTCTGGGTTTCCATTCAGCTAGAGGAGTGTTCATTGAGCACCTACTATGTGCCAGGAGCTTAGGGTTGGCTCATTTCATCCGCATAACTGCCTTGTGAGGTAGGTGCTATTCCTGCCCACTTTACAGATGAGGAAACACAGACGTGGTGGGATTAAGTAATCTGCTTGAAGTTATGGAGCCATGGGGAGCGGGGATGGGACTGGAACCCAGGCCTGCAGAAGAGTTGGTGCTCTTCTCTCATCTTAGGGCATATCATTTGCTTCCGCATTCTCCCCTCTGTAAAATGACAATCACACCCCCTCCTTAAGCCAGCAGAGCTATCAGCAGGCCTGATACCTTTGAGCTACAATTTGTTCAGTGCCAGCCGCAGTGTGTGCCAGGGCTTCTGTGCCGCCACCTCGTGAATTTTCACGACAATCCATTTTACAGGTCAGGAAGGTGGAGTTGAGACGCAGTCGCCTGGTGAGCTCCCACGGCTACTACAGGAGCAGAGCACGGGGTCACCTAGTTTCTCTTCTTTTTCTTTTTGCCTCACCCAGCAGCTACCTTCAGTTTTTCCTCGCCTAAAGTTAACATTGCCACCGGTAGATATGGATGTGACTCCATAGATAAACTGCATTGTTGCCACTTCCACACACTGCCCCTACCAAACCCAGGAAAAAGAAATCAAAGTAAAATCTAAGGAAGTCAAGAACCCAGGGCATCACTGTCGGTGAATAAGTTCTAGAATCTTCAGCCTCCATCTGCACCCCATTCCTTAGCCCAACAGGGTGGCTTACTTAAGCAGACCACAGTTATGGGAACAGTTTTGCTTTTAAATGAGAATGTTTCTTTGGGACGCAGTTGCTCTTTAAGCGCTCATCCTCCCCACATAGCAGTGCCACCTCCCGCTCCCTGGTCAGGCAGATCTCTCTATAACCGTGCCCATGCCAGGACAGCATGAAGCAGATCTCTGTTTGCCCTTGGCCTTGGGTATAGCTGCTAGTGGTTCAGCAGGACCCACAAGGCCACTGAAGGTCAGTTAGAATGTGGCATGTTCTGCAGGCAGAGGCTATGCCCCTGAT
Source organism: Homo sapiens (assembly GCF_000001405.40). NCBI lineage: Eukaryota > Metazoa > Chordata > Mammalia > Primates > Hominidae > Homo > Homo sapiens. Next base: position 150,604,064 of record NC_000005.10, on the reverse strand, counting down.
CATGGCCAGCAGCTTCCCCAGGGTTTGAAACAGGATTCAAGGGAATCCAGGCCCAAGGACTGTGGATGACTCCATATGCCCATCTCCAGGAAGCCCAACTCCAAAACTCACAAGGTTCTTCCCCCTAGGAAAGGCACCCTTCCATAAGAACAAGAGTCTCCTGGAAATAGCATTTTGTTTCATCCTAGGGCAGCACTAGAGAATCGCTTTAGCCTCATCAAGGACAATGCCTCCTGGGGCCAGAGGAGAGGTGGGCCAGAGAGGGCAAGGAGCTTGCCTAGGGTCACACTGCATGTCAGGGTCAGGGATCAGGTGGACCCAGCCCTGTGCTCCTTCCTCTGCATCTCTGCCTCACCAAGAAGGGACTGTGAATTCGTCCCTACCCAAGGATGCTGTCCACATCCTGGAGCCAAAGCTTGGTACCCTTTGCCTGTTGCAGGACAAGACAAGAAAGAATGGTCCCGAGAGCTGCATTTCCTGCAGCAGAGCAGGGTCAGGCTACCCTAAAGAGCTGGTGATGAGACAAATCACCAATGAATATCCACATATAAGCAACTGTGGTCACAAGTAACACTAACGGCAACAGCAAATCTAGCAGAAAGGGAGGAGGGTGAGGGAGTATGTCCTGAAAGATGCCAGCTCTGACCAGCTTTGCCTGGAGAAGTGACTGGGGAGCTTTGCCAAGGGGCCCCCCCAGAACCCTTGCACCCTCCCAGTGCACCTCTCCCTGGCTAGTCCTGGGCTGGCAGATAAAACGCAGCCAAGTGGCCTGGGAGCCAGAGCTGAATGGCAGGAAAGGCCAAGGCCAGGGTGGCCTCTCGCCTACCCACCCATCCTGGTGATTCAAAGCCAGGCTGAGGCCGGACAAAGCACTTGAAAATGTCAGTCAGGGGACAATCTCTTTCCCAAACTCCTTGCCTGTGACCTTGGGCATCCAGCTTTTACTCAGGATGGCTGATCTTTTCCCCAGCTCTGCGCATTCCATCCCCTGCCCCTTCCCACATAGCACTCACAGCATACACCACACACACACACACACACACACACACACACACACACACACACACCCTAAGGTGGCAACTGGGCTTTCCACTCTGTAATCACAGAATTACAGGGCGGTTGCTAGTTTGTGGGGGCCAAAAGATGGCCTACATAGCAGATCACACCTTCAGGCCCTAGACAGTCAAAACCAACGCTCTTAGGAACATTTAAAATGATGAAAGCGGCTACACGTGGTGGCTCATGTCTGTAATCCCAGCGCGCTGGGAAGCCATGAGGGAAGGATCGCTTGTGGCCAGGTGTTTGAGACCAGCCTGAGCAACATAGTGAGACCCTGTCTCTACAAAAAATAAAAGAAAAAACAGCTGGAAGAGTTATGATCATGCTACTAGACTCCAGCCTGGGTGACAGAGCGAGACTCTGTCTCTAAAAAAATAAAATAAACAAATAAAAATAAATAAACAAATAAAATGCTGGAAGCGTAATGACAGCCCATTGCCAAAAGGGACAGAACACAAGGATCTTCTCCTGATCCCCGGCTTTTATTCATTTGGGTCCATTATTCCTTTATTTCCAACTACCCGCTGGCTTGATATGCTATTTAGACACCTTTCCCTAATGTAGGTAAAAACAACACACACTCCTTGTTACAATGAAAATTGGCAGTCTACATGGCACCGTCTCATGGGCTGCCAGAGGTGCACACACCAGACTTTGGAAAACACTATCCTGGCCCAACTCTGCCATTGTGGGGATAGGGAAACAGGCCCGGAGACAGGAGGAGACGTGTCCAACATCCGTAGCAAGGCAGTGGCAGGGCCACCACCAGAACCCAGAGCCTGGCGCCCAGTAAGGCTCATTCCTTAAGGAGAGATGATCCAGGACTCAGGTCACCTAGGCCCTCTGGGAGCCCCATTTGCCACAGAACCTGAAAGTGTGGACTCCAGCCTCGCACCAAGGCTGAGCCCACATCCCAGTGTCCTCTGTGCCCCCGATGAGTCTGGATGGCCCACCACTGTCTCCCCGATGGCCATAAGGAAGCTGTCCCTCACTCAGGCTAGGTTTTCTCACCTGCCAGGGCTACAGTGGTGATGCCGAGCTCCTGGAGGTGACTGCTCTGAAAAAGATGAAAACAGATGTGGGAGCCGAGATTGTTATCACCTCCTTGCTCTACTTATCAGCTTTTCCCCCAGGGAAATGGGCAGAGGTTGTGCAGGTGCCAGAAGACTGAGCTGGGCTGAAAGAAAAGGAATGAAGGAGGATGGTGGTCACAAGGGAGTCTCTGCACAGTGAGGACCACCCCCTACTCAGGTGAGTGTCCTCTCACCCCAGAGGACCCTCCCAGGGGGCAGCCAGCAGGCTCCCAAGCTCTGGGTGACAGGTAGGAGTGTGCCCAGGACTTAGGCCACAGGAGGCCACTTCAGCCCTGCAAGCAGGAATACCCCACCGACCTGCAGACAGGCTCTCGCGTGTGCACACACGCTCATTCATACAACAAGCACACGCACAGAACTCATTCACTCACACTCTGACACACTCTCACTTGTACGGATGCAAATGACCCCGAGCCCTCCTGCACAGCCCCTCACCCACCCTGGGGCACATGGTGGGGCCAGCTGCATCTTTTCTCCCCCAGCCCCAAGCCCCAGGCTTGGCGGCGTCTCTGCCCCGCTGCCTGGGAGACACATGTGGTTTCAGTTAACAGGAGAGCTGGCATTTCCGTCCCAGACAGCCAGGCCCTGCCAGGGCCCTGGCCCTACAGGCACCCGCAAGAAGGGCCACCTCCACCCCCACTCCTCCACTGGCCATCCCAGGGACCCCGAGGCCCCCTCTCCCCTGGAAGGCCCTGTTCTCTTTCCCTGTGGTCGCCCCCTCACCTGTAGCCGGACACCACACCCTCTGGCACAGCAACTGGCTGTGCCCGGGCCTCTGTCCACGGCTGCCCGGCTGCCCGCCGCCTGCCCGCCTGCTCCTCACTCGCGCTCTGTCTGGAGCAGGCTGAGCGGGATGGGAGGAGGGCAGGGTGTCAGGGGGGCGGGCGGGAGGGAGGGGAGGGGGCGTGTGGAAATGAAACTTTAATAACAGAGCCCCTTTTGTTTCCGAGCATATGGGATATTTCATACATACTGAAGACATTAGCCGTCTATATTTTTAAGGGCTTGGGCTAAAGGATGAATAAATACAGCCCATATTCTGCTTGACAAACACACACATCAGAGTACTGACTTCTGTAGCATTTCAAAACCTGAAGAAAAAGCCCCCAGCGACACAGGACACTTAAAAATAAATATGTTTCCAAAACCTTAGGCTGGCTTTGCCCCTTCCTGGAGCCACTTGGAGGACTCGGGGCTCCCTTTATCCCACAGCACTTCCCACCACCCGCTATACCTTCTGTGCTATTGTGGGAAGCAAGCCCCTGGAATCCAGCCCCCTGCCCCATTTCCCTTTCCCGGATCCCTTAACCCCCCAGCCAGATCCCTGAGTGTTAAGAGTTCCAGAAGAGCTTGGGATCTCTGCTATCCTCATTGCAGAGATGGGGAGCCAAGGCTCAGAAAGGGGCAGGGACTTGCCTCAGGTCACACAGCAAATCCGGATTTGGGCCAAGGGGCTGTGCCTTCTTCTTTCAACAGGAGGGATCCCCACTTCCCTGCCTGGGGGATGGGCTGGGGAGACCCCAGAGCCCCAGAGGGAGGGCTGTTGTGTGGGCTGGGAGAGTGCCCGCCTGCCTTTCCCACTGGAGTGCTGCTCTGGGCATCCCCTCCAACTCTGGGCACCCATCCAGGGGTGACGTCAGCAGGGCTGGGAATGGGGCTGGCCCCAGGAAATCCCCTTCAGGCCGGCAGATCCCAACAGACCTGGAAGCCTCAGGTGCAGGAGCCTCCCTCCTTTACAGTTCAGCTCCCAAGTCCCCTCTCGCCCTCCATCTGTTCTCTAGGAACAAAAGCAGAGGCCCAGAGAGGTCTGAGGTTTGGCCAAAGTCACGCAGCAAAATGATGGCAGGACAGAAAATCGACCCCGGCTCTTCTGAGCTTGTGTTTGCTGGCAAGGTTTTGCCGGCAAGCTGTTCCCAGCTCCCTCCAGGCAGGGTCCCTCGGTTGGGGTCTGTGCAGTTTCCCCACTCATGTCTATTCATTCTCCGGAGGTGGCCTCAGTTCCCCTCTCCTGTTAGAATTCAATCCCTTCTCATCAACTGCCTAACCATCCATTTAGTTAAGCAGTTAACACAGTGCTTGACACTTACTAAGTGCCCATGATAAATGCAAACACTTTATTATGATGATATTGATTGAGTCCCTGCTACAATCAAGCCTGTGCCCAGCACTGGCACTGCAGTAGTTACTGTAAGACAAGCCCCCACCGCCGACCCCCAGGCTCACAGTACAGAAAGAGCCTCTGTCTTCGCAGATGTCTTCTCAGGGACTCTTCTCCGATACACTTTGCAGTAGGTACCACAGTCATCCTCACTTTAGGGCAACTGAGGCTCAGAGAGGTTTAGATGTCTCCCTAGGCCACACTGGTGGTAAGGGGGCTGGGCCTCCAACCAGGATTCCCTGACTCCAGAGCCAGTGCGGGTCACCCTCCTGGGGCTCACTCAGTACTTGGCCCCAGCATTGGTCCCAAGACTACTCAGCACCGCATACCACTGGGTGTCTCTACAGCCAATAACAGTCACTTTCCTGGCCCCTGCCAGGAAGAGCACCCCCAAACCATCCATGAAAAAGGGGGCACTGATGCAGAAGCTTGCTTCCCGGGTTCTTGGCCTCACCATGCCACTAGCAAGTGTGTGGGGTCCCTTCTCTAAGGACCTGGTTCTTTACCTGTGAAGCAGAGATCGTCGTTTCACTCAACTGTGAGCATCACGTGATATTAAAGGATGTGAGAGGGGCTTCGCCCGGTACATGGTGATTTCCCTGTCTGGAATTTTGTGTTGAGAATGGATCCTGGCATTAAATCCTGTCTGGGTTGCAACAGGCCCTGACAGGCCTCCTTGCCCATGGGTGGCCCTCGGTGTAACCTGCATCCGGCCCCAGAATCAGCTTCCTGAACAAGCGCTTCCGTGTCCTTGTCGTCACCCTTGCAATAAACCGACAGCAGGTCCCCCGGCCATATGAGGGGCTAGAGGGGATTGATTCAAGGCCCCTGTGAACCTGGCCCCACCTCAACCTCCCCCTCCTTCCCAAGCCAGACCCCCCACCATGTCAGCCTGCACCTTCAGGCCTCTGGGGACCCCTCCCTCCCCACCACCATCAGCGGCCCCTGCCTTCCACCGCCACCATCAGCTTGCTGATGTGGAAAGTCCATGAGTTGTGTTGTCTCTGCACATGGAACTCTCTGTTGGTAACAGTTCAGAGGCCTCTTTAGAAAGGGGGTTTCGTAGGAGTTCTGGGCTGGGCTCTGCAATAGCAAGTTTCCCAGGTACTGGGATACTTATCTGGATACTATATCTGGATACTTATCTGGATACTAATTATCTCATAAAATAATAAGAAAACCGCCATTAATGGAGCACTTCCTCTGTGCCGGGCACTGTACTAAGCGTTTCACATGCACCATACACGCATTCCTGACAACCCCAGAAAGCTGGTAGGGAGGCCGAACTGTTTGCTGAAAGCCCCCCAGCCTGTCCGTGGCAGTGCGGGTATTTAAGTGTGTCCTACGAGTATAACCTGCTACCTCCAGCCTATGCCCTTCACGGCAGCACAGACTGGCTCTAGGGGCAGCATTTTCTGTCCCTGGTGACAGGATGAGCCCCTGGAGGAGTGAGACTCAGCCTCAGTCTTTTCTTTCCCCCTGCAGCAGGGCTGAGCACCGTGCTTGTTCTGAATTGGCATTCGTGAACATTTGCTGCGCTGGATGCCAGAGAGGTCCTGGTTAAACTCTCAGATGGAAGGAGGTAGTGTGTGTTTCTCTGTGGGCGGGGGACACTGCTTCCTCGGTCTGGCGAGCCCTACCCGTGACCACGATGTGTTGCGAGGGCAGTGGGTATTCACAGGCAAGATCCCACTACTGAGGAGTGTGAGGGTTTTGACCCACTCTGTTTCTGATACAGGGAAGTTTGTCCCTCCTTAGGTAACCGGGTGGTTTCCTACCCCCAGGAAGTCATTATATTCATGCCAAATTTAGTGTGGTCTGGGTGCGGTGGCTCATGCCTGTAATCCCAGCATTTTGGGAGGCTGAGGTGGGCCGATCACTTGAGGTCAGGAGTTCAAGACCAACCTGAGCAAGATGGTGAAACCCTGTCTCTACTAAAAATACAAAAATTAGCCAGGGTGGTGGCATGCGCCTGTAGTGCCAGCTACTCAGGAGGCTGAGGCAGGAGAATCACTTGAACCCGGGAAGCGCAGGTTGCAGTAAGCAAAGATCATGCCACTGCACTCCAGCCTGGGTGACACAGCGAGACTCTGTCTCAAAAACAAAAACCAGAAAAACCTGGCTGGGCACAGTGGCTCACAACTGTAATCCCAGCTCTTTGGGAGGCCGAGGTGGGTGGATCACCTGAGGTTGGGAGTTCCAGACCAGCCTGACCAACATGGAGAAACCTTGTCTCTACTAAAAATATAAAAAAATTAGCCAGGCGTGGTGACGCGTGCCTGTAATCCCAGCTACTCCAGGGGCTGAGGCAGGAGAATCGCTTGAACCTGGGAGGCAGAGGTTGCGGTGAGCCGAGATTGCACCATTGCACTCCAGCATGGGCAACAAGAGCAAAACTCTGTCTCAAAAACAAAACAAAACAAAACAAAACAACAAAACCAAATTTAGTGTGGACACTCAATCAGCACAGCACACTATGTCCCAGAACTCCTGGGCTCACTGAGCCTCCTGTGTATGTTGATGGTGAGGGATGGGACACAGCCGAGAGGTGCAATGTCTAAGAAAACAGTCCTTGAGCATGGGCTCAGAGTAAGAGGCGTTAAATGGAGACTTGAAGAAACAGGAAGCTCCAAAGCCCACTGTCCCCCACTAGCCAACTTAGCAGAAGCCACAGGAAGACAGCAGGATTGTCTTGATTTCCCAAGGGAGGTTTATTGAGACACAGCACTAGGTCCCCAACCCTCACTATCACAGCCCTGCAAGCAGGTGCCAGTCCTACCATCTAGGTTCCCCTTCTAGAATCCAGAATGTGGACAGAAGTCATGAGGCTTTCCAGCCCTTGCAAACTCTAATGGTTGGGTACATGATGGGGCCCGTGGGTGTGAAATGCATACACTATCTTCCCTTACCTTCTAGCCTCCTTGCCCTGACTTGGGTCTTTGCATGGGGGATCTGAGCCCGTGCAGGAGATGGCAGCCTCTTCTGGGTCCCCTACCCTTGCTCAGCAGGAGACACTGCTCACCAGACCCATTCTGGGACCCAGGGACCTCAAGAAGGTACCCTGGGCTGTGGGAGGGGTAGATCACTGGCCCAGGAACCTTCATCTCTGGCAGAGCAACCTTCACCAGGGCCCCCTCTGACACATGAGCCGTCCTGATCAGATCACTGGTAATTGAGTTGCCTTGGGGGGTAAATTCCATCCAGATGTGGAGGGCGGGGTGGACTTCCTGAGCAGAGCAGGGGCGGGGCACTGATACATGGGGGCCGTCCGTCAACTCGCCAAGTACCTAGGAGGCCTGGGATCGAACGTCGTCTTCTGAAAAAGCCAGATGTAGAATTTCAAGGCCAGGATATCTGAGTCCAGCCTTCTTAGTGAGCAGATAGGAAAACTGAGGCCTAGAGAGCCTAGAGAGCAAAAGGGACTAGTCCCACAGTGACTGCTGGATTTGCGGGATCAGAATTCCAGGTCTCCTATCTGGCCAGATCTCTTCTCTGGGGGTGTTTAGGGGAAAGTAGGCAGGGTGACCCCCTCCCCCAGGAATCTCTATCAAGCCCTGGATTTGGAGGTCAGGAGTAGGGGTCAGGAAGCAGAGAATCTGTGGTTGGGGGAGGCTCTCATCACCTCCAGCTTAAACCCCCAAACTATAGAGAGCTGTGTTTTATTTGCAGAGATTGTGGGGACAGAGGAGAGAAGATTCTAGGGGCAAGCCTGTAAACAAGACCTCCCCCCAACCCACCTGCCCTTGCAGGGTCATGGGAGAGCCTGTGGCCCGGGCCTCTTTTCCCAGGGGAGGCCCCTCCATGCTTCTCTCCTTTGAGAAGAGCCGCTGGGCCACATACCTTCCTGGCTCCGTTGGGCCGACTTACGGGAAGGCAGGAAGGGGCCAGCCAGCTGGGGGGGTGGGGGGCATGAGAACTTGGAGAGAATGAGAGGAAATGAGGGGGGAGTGGGCTGGGGTGGGGGGAGATTAAGAAGGGAATTTTTTTCCTCCTGCCTCATGTTTTGGCTGCCTTAGTGTGAACATGTCTAGGCGCCTTATCGCGAAGGCCAGCACAGTCTGCACGAGAAAGAAAATAGTGTCTGCAGCGGAGAAAATTACATCTTGATAAAATAGCCCTTTGGAATGACATTGTGGGTCTCTTATCAGCGAGTGGCTGGGCCTTACATACCTCTTGTCTGCCTGTCCCCAGGCCCCTAGATCCCTCCTTTTCTTCTCTCTCCCCTGTCCCCTGACTCCTAATGCCTACCCAGAGAGTGGCCTATGCCGAAACTGTCAGCCAAGTGTGGAGACCCAACTTGTAGTCCTGTTGCTCCTGATGCTGTGAGACCTGAGCCAAGTTCTTCTCCTCGCTGGGCCTCTGTTTCCCTTCAGGGAAGAACAGGGAAGGGTGGAGGAACAAGATGGTTTCTGAAGATCCTTCCAGCATTAGCATCTCACAGTGCTGACATTTTCATACTTGGTGATTCTATGTGTTTTGAACTTTTCCAACCTCTTCCCAAATGCCATCGCATGCTAAATGTCTACGATCTAAGATGTGCAAATCCCCTTCATTTCCATTAGATACATGAAGTTCTTGCTTAATCCCCAGGTAAAGCTACCCAACCCAGAGTCTGTGCAGCTCAGAAGAGGGTCCGCCTCAGCTTCCACCTGAGAAGTCTTGCAACAGCACGGGGTCTTCCAATTTTTTAGGCATAAATATTTTTTTCCTCAAAATATTTCCTACATGGAAATCCATATAAAATAACAGACAAGTGAAGCAATCATGCCTGCTTCATCCCATCTCCCTCATCCTCCACATCTGCTCTTCTCAGGCCTCTGACCTCCTTCCACAGCATCCAGGCCCCACTGAAGCCCCTTGCAAACTTCTGGGGCAGTTGATGGAGGTCTGGACAGAACGGCAAGAGTCCTGCTCGACCATTACCTTGCTGTGCAAACTTGGAAGGACTTTCCCCATCTCTGAGCCTCAGTTTTATCATCCGAAAAAAACTGGGGATAATGTTCACCACGCCCACCTCCCCAGGTTGTTGAGGGATAAACTAAGTGGTAAATAAGAAAGTGCTCCGTGAACTGAAAGACTTGATGATGATGAGAGAACTTGTAGTCTGCAAATGTGAGGCCCGGGAGAGCTTTTAGTGACCATCTGTGCAATTCCTTCTTCTTACAGTTGGGGAAACTGAGGCCCAGGGAGAGGGGAAGGAATTTGACAAAGGCCACACAGTGAGATGGCAGCAGATCCAGGGGCAGGTGGAGGGACCCATTTCTGTAGCCATCTGTCAGGAAGGCCTGTTGGTAGGTTGTGGGGAAGACTGGTTGCTTTTTAGGGATCCTGCCCAGCTTGAGGATTTGCTCTGACCCCTCTGAGCTACTCAGAGTCTGGGTTTTCCCCTCTTCCAGCCTCCTGGCTCTGCAAGGCAGGGATGGGGAGAAAGCCCCTTTGTGTAGCAGCCAAGCCCCAGCTCTGACCCAAGTTTTTGTTCCCTAAAGATCTTCCCCCTGGCAGAGAAGCCCCATCTCCACTGCCCCAGCCCCACTTGGCCAGACTCCCCTGCCGCCTTCCACGCCACCCTCAAGCCGCAAGTCCTGGCCCACACACAGGATTCCACAGAGCGCCTCTGTCCTCTGGCCATCTGGATGGCAGGGTGGGAGCTAACACACGTCTGCAGGCTGAAGAAGGACAGCGCCAGGGTCAGCACAGCCGTGCAGGGTAAGCCCCTCCACCCAGCAGGGACACCCCCTGCCCCATGTCTGACTTCATTATCACCTCACTTTGTGGGGCTTTATTATTCCAGAACCAAGCACTGCCAGAGCTGGCAGCCCCCTAAGTCTTCCATGACTGTTACCTACATAGCTCTCAAACTGCCATTCTACTGACCACACACTGCCCATTTACCCACCAAACCCAGACACCGCCTCTGAATTCTTATCACAGTTCCAGCCAGCACTGGCCAACCAGAACAGACACAAATGTTTTTATTGTTAGAAATAGGCCACACCCCGGGCGTGGTGGCTCATGCCTGTAATCCCAGAACTTTGGGAGGCCCAAGTAGGGGGACTACTTGAGCCCAGAAGTTCAAGACCAGCCTGGGCAGTGAGGCAAAACCCCATCTCTACAAAAACACAAAAATTAGCCAGTGTGGTGGTGAACGCCTGTAGTCTCAGGTACTTGGGAGGCGGAGGTGAGAGGATGGTTTGAGTGTGGGAGGCAGAGGTTGCAGTGAACGGAGATCATATCACTGCACTCCAGCCTGGAAGACAGAGCAAGACCCTGTCTCAAAAAAAATAAAAAGAAATAGGCCAAGCCACTTCTGGAATATATAAAATAGAGCCAAGGCTCAGAAGGGAAAGGAGTGTTGCCTGAAGCTGCACAACAAATAAGGGACTGCGTAGGGAACAGAACCCAGGTCTCCGGGGCTCTGCCTGCAACTCCTGCAGACTCAGCATCCAAAAGCTCAGAAAGGAGCTTTCCTCCTTGTCCTGGCTCTGCCCTGGCCCCGGCTCCCAGGACAAACCTCATTCTTATTCCCTGCCTGAAGATAGCACACAAGTCAGGGCCTCCAGGCATGCCCTGGTCTGGGGGCCTAAGGCCATTTCTCCGCAAATGAGAAAGCCAGAGACCAGGCCATAACAGGTAGAATTCAAAGAAGTATGTCTATTCAGACTCCAGTGGGCTACCAATACAGCTCTGAAGGACTGTCCCGGGACAGAGGGGAGCACTTTGTTCAGAAGGCAGCGGTTAATCTACAGAGACATAACAGGAAGGCAGGTTTCTGTTCAGCCTAAGGAAGAGCTTCCTAAGCTGCCCAGTGATGGAAAGACATACCTTGGTAGGTGGTGAGCACCCTATCACTGGACACAAGGTTCAGATGCCCACATGGGGTGGGCAGGACTGGTAGGTGGTATTAGAGGAGATACCCTTAAAAGCCCTTTTCCATCTTGAGAGGGTGTGATTTGGGCAAACACACTCAGTCACTCAAGCTCACAAACCACAGTCACTCGAACACAAGATCCCCGGTCTTCAGAAAGAAGGGTCAAGCCTTAATCACTGAGGAGTGGCCTCTGTCTTCCAGGCTATGGCTCAATGGGAGGAAGGGTGCTCGGGCTCCAAGATTGCTGTCTTACACTAGCTGGCCTATGGGTCCAGCCCCAATGCCTCCTTCTCCTGCATGGAGCCGTCAGAATTTCCCCCATTTGGGATGTTCTTAACCTACTTGCAGATTCCCACACTAGCGTGTTTTGTTGGTCTAATTCCACCTTGAATCAGAACAGTGTTTCTCAAGATTTTTTTTTCTTGGTGGCATAGGGACATGGAACTATCCAATATCACTTAGCAGTGAGAAAGCTGTTCCTTTAAAAACTCTCTTTCATTCATTGAGGGTGGGGTTGCCAGATTCAGCAAGTACAAATACAGGAGACCCAGTTAATTTGAATTTCAGATAAATAAGAAATAACTTTTTCCAGGGTAAGTAGGGCCTCCGCAATATTTAGGATATATACTAAAAAATTATTCATTGTTTATCTGAAATTCAAACCTAATGGGCATCTTGTATCTTTTCTTCTTCTTCTTCTTCTTCTTTTTCTTTTCTTTTCAGACGGAGTTTCACTCTTGTTGCCCAGGCTGGAGTGCAATGGAGCAATCTCAGCTCACCGCAACCTCCGTCTCCCGGGTTCAAGCAATTGTCCCACCTCAGCCTCCCGAGTAGCTGGGATTATAGGCATGCGCCACCATGCCCAGCCAATTTTGTATTTTTAGTAGAGACGGGGTTTCTCCATGTTGGTCAGGCTGGTCTCGAACTCCTGACCTCAGGTGATTCACCCACCTCGGCCTCCCAAAGTGCTGGGATTACAGGAGTGAGCCAGGGCATCTTGTATTTTATCTGGCAGATATAATCAAGAAGAAAGTCTTAGTTGGGTGCTAGCCTGTCTTTAACATAGCTCTGACGCTTGTTAATCTTCCTTTTTATCAGAGAGAGAGAGAACAAGTCTCAGGCTCTAGGTAAAATTTAACAACATTGTTTTGTTTTTATTGTATTTTATTTACATGGTTACTATGTACGGTGAGTGTTACTATCTTCCCTTTACAGTAGCAATATCAAATTCCCTTTGAAATAACTGTATTCAGGTTTTAAAAAGTGAATCAATTTAAAGAAAACTGTTACGTAAGTAACATCACAGGTTCAATGCAGTTGTGACAAAAAACAGGAAGGCGAAGGCCAAGAGACCAGGGCTTGGGGCTATCTGAGACGGCGCTTCTGCCCTTTCCCATCTGTGAACTCCAGGGTCCCTTCCTCCCCTGCCCCGTCCCTTGTCCACACAGGCTTGATGGCTGGAATTCTGCAGCCCCTGGGGCAGGCCTGCAGGAAGTGCTGGGGGCTCAGCTGCGCATGCTGCAGTTCTGGGGGAGAGGTTTCAGTCCATTCTCCATCACTGAGGTCCCCAGAGCCCCTTTATACAAAACAGCCTCCCCGTCCCGGGCTCAGCTTCAGAGGGGCTGTTACTGAGGAGGCAGCCGCCAGGGACTTCTCAATGTGTTTCCAAGTCAAATCCCAGCCTTTTCAGCTTTGCCAAGACCCACCCCCACTTCCACTCTGGCTGCCTCCGGGAGTCAGGGCTGCGGGCCATGTCCTCCAGACACCCCTCCCCCACCTACCAGACCTTCCGGCCCAGACACCATTAGTGCCCCCATCCCAGGCCTGGCACCTTTGCCTCATCTGTTCCCCACCCCCTCTAACCCTGAGGCTCAGAAGACAGCCTTGGAATTAGAGGTAGGGGCTGGGAGGGGGGCAGAAAAGGAGCTAATTCCCTGGATTGCAGAGAAGGCCCCAGTCCCTTCTTAGACCAGGACTGGGCTGAGGACGGGGAGGTATAGCAGCAAGTCTATGCTGCACCAGCCTCTTCTCCTTAGAAGCCCCCTTCCCACTTCTTTATTGTCATTACCAGCAACAACGATAACAGCCCTTCCTTTTCGAGACCCTTCACGTGTCAGGCACCGTGCTAAGTATTTTCTGTGAATCTTCTTATTGCACCCACACAGGGACCCTCTAAGCTGACAATTGCCATTATCTTATTTTAGAGAGGAAAAAGCTGAGGCTTGGTTGTGTTAAGTAACTTGCTCAAGGTCACGTATTTAGAAGGGACAGAGCCCACACAAGCGCCACCCTCAGATGCACAGTATCAGCCCCAAAAGACTTCTAGGACGTGAGGTGGAGAAACTGAGAAACCAAGAGACAAAGGCTGCCTGCCAGGCTTGGTTTGACTCTGGTAGAAATCCCCTCTGCTGTCTCACCCAGCGTCTGATCACCACCAGAGCTGAAGTGCTCTACCAAGTTGCTGTGTGGCCTGGAGCAGCCCCTTGGCCCTCTCTGGGCCTCCACATCCCCTTCTGAGCTATCTTAGAGGCTTTTCAGCTTGGCTGGCTGTGGCGGTCCCTCTCTCCCCCTCCAGGGGCCTATGGTCCCAGCCAGGAGATGAGCCAGGGGAGCACGTAGGGGAGAGGCATGGGGACCATCTCAGGCCTCATTCACCTCTTGATCCTCAGCAAAGATGCTTCTCCCCAAGGCAGAGGCAGGCTCCAGCTCAGACATCAAAGAGCCTGTGCGGCTGGCGCTTTGATGGGAGCCTTGTAAAATAATAGGAAACATGAGGATGACACTGTGCCCCAGCCCAAAGCGCAAGGCTTGGAAAAATGAAAAGAAAAAACTCTTGGCAGCCCTCTGCGCGGGCTTTGGCTGAACTTCGTTCCTTGCAGCTGTCGGCAGCCTGTCCTCTCCCCACTAGGTTGTTTGCAGCCACCCCTGGCGGGGGATGTGGGTCCTTGCATGACTGGTGAACTGGGGACCTCTCCCCACAGCAAAGGAACTTGTCTACTGGAATCCCTTTCTCCCAGGCTCCAGAGAGCACTACAGAGAGCACAGAGCTGGGGGCTTTGAAAGGGCTCACAGGGACTCTGAATAAACCCTCATTTGAAGATACTTTAGTCCATCTCAGACCTGGAGACTGTGTGGCTCATAATCCAATAATTTGCTCTTTCTACCTCCTGCCAAATGCATTAGCAGCAACTGACCAGACCACGGGGGCCTGTCATTCCCCTGCTCAAAACCTTCTAGGCAACAATGTGGTGACACATACTGAATTAAATGCATGTATCCTTTGACCAGCAATACCACTTCTAGGAAGTTATCCAGCTGGCACACCAGCCCACATGCTCAAAGGTGAATGCGTGAGGATATGTTCATCGCAGGGTTGTTTGTGGAAGCAAATGGCTAGAAATGATGTCAAGGTCCATTCGTAGGGATGGGTAATGACGTGCAGAGCGTCTATATGGCAGGACAGTAAGTGGGGGTAAAACCAATGAGATACACCTACATGTGCTGCTCAGAAATTATCTGTAAGGCTGGGTGTGGTGGTTCTTGCCTGTAATCCTAGCACTTTGGGAGGCTGATGTGGGTGGATCACTTGAGGTCAGGAGTTCAAGACCAGCCTGGCCAACATAGCCAAACCCCGTCTCTACTGAAAATACAAAAAAATTAGCTGGGTGTGGTGGCGCACACCTGTAGTCCCAGCTACTCGGGAGGCTGAGGCAGGAGAATTGCTTGAACCCAGGAGGCGGAGGTTGCAGTGAGCCAAGATCACACCACTGCACTCCAGCCTAGGCAACACAGCGAGACTCTGTCTCCAGAAAAAAAAAAAAATCTATAAAGCATACACTGGAACAGAGAATGGTGTGTATAGTACATTACCACTTACAAAAAGGAAGCAATGGAATGCATTGAATCAATATAGCCTCGAATATTGCTCCAAAGACATACAAGACCTGTCAAAAGGGTTTGCTTCTCAAGAAGGAATTGGGAGAGGGGAAGGAAAATTTATTTTTTACTAAGAATTCAGTTGTATTGTTTGCTGCCTTTTTTTTGTAAATAAGTGACTGTGCAATACAAATTTTTTTATGTCAAAAAGTGTGAACACCTTTAAAAAAAAAGGTTCCATATTCCACAGAGGATAAAGTCCAAAGGCCTCATTAGACTGACTTTATGGCCCCTGGGAGCTCCTGGGAGCACCGCCCCAGCCTCCTCTTCTCTCCCCTGCCCCCTTCCTGCACCCCACCCCTAACCTCTGCCATATAGGATGGTTTTTCTCCCCCACTCTCCTAGACAGACTGAGATCCCCTTCTCTCTGACTCCCACAATCCTGGGTGTCTGGGGCTCTGAGATGCTCAAGACCTACTTTCTTCCATGGCTGCTGCAGAGGTCCTTCCCTTCCCAACATGTGGAGCCCCTTTTCCTCTGGGTGGGGACAGGCAGCCTGAGGCTGGCTCTGGGGGAGGGGAAGTTCCCCCTGGCAGACACACCCCCAGCTTCAGAGGCTGGGGTTGCAGAAGTCCAGGGTAGTGACAAAGTTCCAGGAAGGTTATGTGGTACCAGAAACTCACTAAGGGCCCTTTTATAACACGCAGCTTCCCCCGACCCCCGGGGCACACCAGAGAGTGGAAAGTCACGCATGGAGATATGGCCGGTGGCCAGGCTGGCTCAAGAGGGAGTTGGAGGTTGGTCCTCAGACCAGAATGGGAGGTCCCAGAAGCTCCCAGGGTCCATAAAGTCAGGCTGAGGCCTTTGGACTATCCTCTATGGAATATGGAACCATGTTTTCACACTTTTTTGAAACTAAAAAAATTCATACTGTACACTGACTCATTGTAAAATTACTTCACTTTACCCCTAGGGGCCTGGCGTTCATCCTGACAACTCTATTGGGCTTTGAGAAAGGTATGGGGAGGGATATCCAACACAGCTCAGTAAGGCTGACCTTCCCAAAAATGCAAGGGAATAGCTAGATTTTGCCCCTGGGAGAGACCCAATCTTTTCTTCTAAAGAGAAAATGGAGTCCCAATGACTTGTCCCAAGTCACACAGAAACCTCAGAAGAGACAGGACTGGAACAAAGCCTTCTGGCCCCTTTTCCAGAGGCTGTTTCACACAGTGGTGAGAAAACAGATTTGTGGACACCTAATTTGCTGTGTGGCCTTGGACACATCGATTTCACTTCTCAGAGCCTATCTGCTCATCTCCTATAAGAGGGAACTGAGCTCTTAATTGTCCCTTCTAATTATAATGCTATGTTTTATTTTAACAATGTAATAAATAAAAGGTACCTGTCTTTAGCATTCTAGAGTTTCATGATTATGAACATTCTAACAGTCTAACATTCTGAAGTTCCACCCAGACATCCATCCATCCATCCTTCCATCCACCCCTCCATGTATCCATCCGCCTATTTATCCACCTACCTACCCAGCATCCATTCTTCTATACATTCTTCCACTCGTTCATCCTGCCACTCACCCATCCATCCATGCATCCACATATCCATCCATGAATCCACATATCTATCCATGAATCCACATCTTCATCCCTGCATCCACATATACCTACATGCAGCATTCACATACACATACATGCATCATCCACATATTCATCTATGAATCTACATATCCATCCACACATCCATATATCCATCCATCCATCCACATATCCATCCATGCATCCCTATATCCATCCATCCATCCATCCATTAACATATCCATCCATATATCCACCCATGTACCCCTATATCCATCCATACATCCAAATACTCATCCATGCATCCATATATACATCCATGTATCCATATATTCATCCATGTATCCATATATACATCCATGAATCCACATATACATATATGCATCCACATATCCATCCATGAATTCATATATCCATCCATGCACCCATATATCCATCCATGTATCTACATACTCATCCGTGCATCCATATATCCATCCATGAATCCATATATCCAACCGTGCTTCCATATAACTATCCATGAATCCACATATACATACATGCATCTACATACACATCCATGCATCCACATATCCATCCATGCATCCATGTATACATCTACCCATCCACATCCACTCAAGCATCCATTCAACTTGTTCTACTAATATTTCTCAGGTTTTTACTATATTCCAGGGCCTGAGGATAGTCTGGTGAACATGATCGACACAACTGCTACCTTTTCAGGGCTTGCAGTTAGAAGGGGCACAATATCAATCAAATAATTCCACAAATGAATATATAATAACAAACCAAAGTTCTGCCCAGACATCATCCATCCATCCATCCATCCATCCATCCATCCATCCATCCTTCCATCCACCCGTCCATGTATCCATCTGTCTATTTATCCACCTACCTACCCAGCATAGGAAAAGCCTCAGTTTTTGAAGTGCTATTCTGGAGTTTGACCATATCTCCAGTTTATAGTGGGGGTTGGGGGTTAGGTATCAGGGCGGGCTTCCCTGAGGAAGAGTAGCTAGAGCTAAGACCCGAAAGATGAGACGGCATTTGACAAGGAGAGGGAGATTGAAGTGGCAGGTGAGCCCACGGGCTGTGTTCTATTTTAGGAAGCTCCACTGCAGCGGAAGATTGATTCTAGCCTCTGTGATTTGTGGTTTAACGAGCTTATCACAGCAGTGGCCTCAGCTGCCTCACCCTAGAGAGACAGCTGTCAAGCATGAGCTTTCCCTTCTCCCTTCCCGATTTTCCAGCCCCACCAGGTCTGCCAAGGCCGAGGGGAGCCTCTGCCTGGCACTCACCTCTGCCAGTCCTGCATGCTGGCTTGCAGCTGCGCCATACAGCAGGGAACCTGATGCCAATGAATCCTGAGGACCTTCAGAGCCTGGTACTTGTGCCGGCCCCTGGCAGTGTCCCTCGCTGGGGGTGGCACAGCCACTAGGAACCTCTTGGCTCCTCCTTCCATGGGGCCTGGTTTATGACGCCAAGGAGAACTTTGCCCAGCTCAGGGCCTCCCAAGTTCCTCTGGGGCCAACCCTGGCAGAGCCTCCAAGAGCTCCCCAGACTTGGGTTCCTGGGCTAGGCTCACCTGCCAGCCCTTCCTCCAAGGAATAAGCTGCAGGATGCCAAGAGCTCAAATGGCTCCCTTAGCCAAAAGCCTCCCTCTGATCGGGCTGTCACCTCGCTGGTCCCAGGGCTCAATGGGTATGTTTCGGCTTCCATACCTTGGCTCAAACAGTGCCCACTTTCCAGGATGTCCCCCTCTTTCCTCCCATCCTTATCAAGGTCTGCTGAAACCCCAGCTCCTCGTCAAAGCCTTTATCCATTCGGTGCCCCAGTCCCTTCCTCATCCAAGGCAGGTCAGCCTGCTGGGAGAGCTGAGGTTTTAGAGAAAACAGACCTAGGTTTGAGTCTTGACAGCTGTGAGCCTTGGTTTCCTTGTCTGTAGAATGGGGGAAAGATGATAATCATAGTATCTGCTTGTTGGGTTATCAGGAAGACTAAATAAGAGAATGTATATAAAGGACCTGGTGCGCACAAGCACCCAGCACATGGAAGATACAACTCATGTCAGGGCCACTCTGAACTCCCTTAGGATTCCATGTCTGAGCCATGTATTTGGAGTGCAACACATGCCACCTTAGACCATTAGTGCTCCCAGTGGCCTGTGCTGTCTCCCCAAATAAAAGCCCTGGCCTGGGCACAGGGAGCCTCAACCGTGAGGCCTGGCTCTACGCTCCCTCCTCGTGTGACCTGAGCAAGCCCCCTCCTTCTAGGCCTCACATGATGGGATGAGCTCTCAGTTTCCCAAAGGATGGGAACCTGAGCTACCCACCCCACCACAGCCCCAGTGGCGACCTCAGTGCCAGGCACACAGCAGGTAGGTCCTCCAGTGGCTTGAGAGAGCAAAGGAGGAGACAGCAGGGGGAGGCAGACAGGAAAAAGAGGGAAAGAAAAAGGATTCAGGGACGGGGCAAGGGGCTGCCCCCCATCCAGTTCAGAAGCGCAGGTCTGGGGAAAACTCCGCATCTGTACAAGCCAAGAAGGTGGTTTACAGCCTGTGTTTATTATAGTTACTGTGTCTCTAGCTGCCTGAATCTGGACAAGCCAGGTCTGTTCCACTGTGTACCAAGGGCTGGGTGAGGCGTGGGGGGTTCATGTGGTGAACACTCGGCTACCACAGCCCGGGCAGGAAGGCAGCGTGCAGGGAGTTGGGGGGCCAGGTTGTGTCTGAGTGGTGGGAGAGGAGTGTGTGCTGTGGGTGGGGCTCCTCTGCTCAGCATCTCTGTGACCTTAGGCAAGTGACTTTCTCTCATCCTTGCAATGAAGCTAACGAAAGGAGGCTTGGACAATGCCTGGGAAGGGCCTGGCATGTAGTAAACGCTCAATAGGTGTTATTAAAATTATTACTACATTATTATTATTGTGTGTCCGAATGTGATCTGCAGTGTGAGGCAATGAAGGTGCAGTCTTTAGTTAGAGAGGGAGAGTGTGTGTGTGTGTGTGTGTGTGTGTGTGTGTGTGTGTGTGTGTGTGTGTGTAGGGTAGAGAATGCTGCTGGTAGTAGCTGACTTTATGTGCAAAGTTAAATGAGCATCTGCATGCAAATGTCAAGAAAGGTGCTAGTTCCATGCAGTTGGGATTCTCAGGTTCCAGGAAGCCTTGAGAGGTCACCCCCAAGTCCATTCTACTCCAGCCTTCTCTGAGCAGTCACAGCTCATGCCGCTTTGTCACACATCCCTGTCCTCAAAGAGAAGCAGCCAAGTCTTCTTTAGTTGCTCACTGCAGGGCTGAGCTGCTCTTGCCCTGGCCAGGGTTTCCAGTCTGTTGGTAGGAAGCTGGGCTGTCACTGCACAGGCCTCTGCCTGGGGCAGTGCCCATGACATGAACATCCTGCCCTTGTGCCTTTCACAGTCCCCACGTGAGTCGCAGAAGTCCCTGCAGTGGGCATATTGTAGAGGACCTGCTGTCATTCACAGACTGTATAAACTGAAGGAGGCTGTGGTACTGGCCCCTCGTCACTCCCAGTGGGTAAAGTGTGGACTAGACAGGACATAGCCAAGGTCCTTTCTGTTCCAGTCCAGGACTTCCCCACCGTGAGATGCCCTCTAGAGAGAGATCAATGGGGTGAGATATTTCTGGCCTCCCAGGCCAACCTTGTCTGGTCAGAGTGCCCCCCCAGCCACAGGTGAAGGGCCTTGCAGTACCACTAACCACCTTCCAAGGTGGGGTGGGGGCACAGTAGACATCGCGGGCAGCTCTGAGGGAAGGACATAAGCAGAGGGAAGAATGAGGGCCTGCGTGTGCGAGTTCAGTTGGTTCATAGGTTTACCCTTTGAGCAGTTTTACTTCTTGCCATTTATCCCAAGGAAATAATTCACATGTGTACGAAGGTGCAGGTACCAAGAGATTCAATGCTGCATTGTCCATTCAAGGGACATTTTGAAAATCCCCTAAAAGCTCGACAACATCAGGCAGCTATACGATGGAACGGCCCTAAAAAGGTCAAAGTGGATCTGCATTTCCTGACGTGGCCAGGTGTGCACCACTGGTGTTGAGTAGAAGAAGGAAAGTGACAAAGCTAGATGAGTATGATGAGCCCACTTTCCTGAAAAGTAAACATACATAAATACTACAGAGACCCAGGACAGAAATAATAGGAGAAATGACACCAACATATTGGCAGTCAGTCATTTTACATGGTAATTTTGGGGTGATATTTAGTTATCTGTTTTGTTATATTCTCTTCTAGCTGTTATGTGTTTAACAATAAAATCATTGGCTGTGTGCAGTGGTTTATGCCTGTAATCCCAGCACTTTGGGAGGTTGAGGTGGGAGGATTTCTTGAGGCCAGGAGTTTGAGACCCTGTCTCTTAAAAAAAATATGACAACAATAATAATAAAACCACCGAAAGGGCTAGAGATGGTGGCCTGCAGCCCTCTGCTATAATCACCGTACTTGAGAGGCACTCATGAGGAAATGCGCCTTGGGTTCATCTTAGCACCTGCTGGAGGGACTTTCTCTGAGAAGTCCAGAATCTGCTTTCAGACCCTCTCCCAAACCACTCACTCAGGGGCCTCAACCTGGATTTTCCTCCTCCATGGGTGGTTCAGGTGCCAGTCACACCTCCCCCTGTGGCTCTGGCCAGGGTAACACAAGAACCTTGGGCAGGTGGGATACTTTCCTTTTTGGAGCTGAAAGCCCTTTCCTAGGCAGCTGTGTGCCTCTCCCAGCAGGACAGGGTGGGTGAGAACCCCACCCCCAATTCTGAACAGAGCCAAAGTCCAGGAGAGACAGCCATCGGCCAAAGGTCAGCAGTACAGCCAACGCCACCTGGGCCCAGCTGCTGAGGAGAAGGAGGTAGAGAGGTTCGCCGTCTGGGCAGCTGCCCTCTGGCCCGCTGCCGGCCTCCCCTGCCCCCACCCCAGCTCCCCAAAGGCCAGGAACATCTGGCTGCTGGCCTAGCTCCAGGAAGGGTGAGTGAAGGGGCCTCTTTCCACCAGGCCCGCCGCTGCCGCGGTGCAAGGCACATCAATCAAGACCGCAGAGCTGGCTGGTGCTGGGAGAAGAGCCGGCTCCTTCCCCACCCCCTCCCCAGACATTCCTGCGTAATGGAATCTCCTTTCCTGTTCATTTATTACCAACCCGCAGAACCCCGCCAAGCCCCGTCTGCACACTCAAGCCCCACCGACCCTGCCTGTTCCTGGGGAAAGGGGTTCCTGGGGGTCCTGGAAGGAGCGACCTAATGGCCACTAGCAGATTCCCACAGTACTCCTCTGCCTTCGTGCACTTGCCCAAGAGGCCTGCTCTGCTAAGCACTCACATAGGAGATCTCAAGTGTCTATGCCTGTGATATGAACACTCTCATCCTCATGTTAACAGATGAGAAAACTTCAGCTCTGAGATGTTAAGCCACTTGCTCAGAGTCACACAGCAAGACAATGGCAGAATCTGCCAAATTCCCAAGCCCAAGCTCTTTCTTTTCTTCTGTGGAAAAGACTATTCTTTCCCTCACTGAATGGTCTTTCTTTGAACCCTTGTCAGTTGACCATAGATGTATGGATTTATTTCTAGACTCTAGACTTGATAAATACATACCCTTGTGCCACACTGTCATGATTACTGTTGCTTTGCAGTTGCTTTAAAATCTCAATGTGTGAGTCCTCCTGCTGTATTCTTTTTCAGTATTGTTTTGACTATTCTGGATCCCTTGAAATTCCATATGAATTGTAGAATTAGAATGTCAATTTATACAATTTATATCAGCTATTTGACAAGGGTTGTGTTGAATCTGTAGATCAATTTTGGGAGTACTGCCATCTTAACAATGTTAATTGAGTCATCCAGTCCAGGAATATATAGTATTTTCCACTTGTTTAAGTCTTTACTTTCTTTCAACAGTTTTGTAGTTTTCAGAGTATAAAATTTGCATTTATTTTGTTAAGTTTATGTATACGTATTTCATTCTTTTTGATGCTACTGTGAGTGGAATTGTTAATTTAATTTCTGGATTGTTGATTTTGAATGTGTAGAGATACAATTTATGTTTGTATATCAATCTTGTATCCTGCAACCTTGCTGAACTTATTTATGAGTTCCAATAGTTTTTTAGTGAATTTCTTAGGATTTTCTATGTGTAAGATCATATCATCTGTGACTAGAGATAGCTTTACTGCTTCCTTTCTTTTTTTCTTTTACTTTTACTTATGTATATTTTTATAGAGACAGGGTCTTGCTCTGTCACCCAGGCTGGAGTGCAGTGGTGTGATCACAGCTCACCGCAGCCTTGAACTCCTGGGCTTACACAATCCTCCAGCCTCAGCCTTCTGAGTAGCTTGGGATGACAGGTACACACCATCACACCTGGCTTATTTTTTTTTTATTTTGTTGAAGTGAGGTCTTGCTTTGTTGCCCAGGCTGGTCTCAAACTCCAGGCCTAAAGCAATCCTCTCACCTTGGCGGCCTCCCAAAGCACTGGGATTATAGGCACGAGCCACCATGTCCAGCCTATGTCTTCCTTTCCAATCTGGATGCCTTTTTCTTTTCCTTGCCTAATTACGCTGACTGGAACTCCCAGAACATGTGGAGTAGAAGAGGCAGGCATCCTCATCTTAGCCCCTTTCTTCTCTACGTCCCTTCCTTTCTTATGGTTCCTTTTCCTCTCCTCCACCCAATGAGGGGTGGGAATGGTGTTAGCAGAGAAGAGAGTCTATACAAGGGAAGTGGCAAGAATAAAATAAGAAAGAAAAAAACCAATTTGTCAGATACATGAAAGTCCAAGACTATATCAGGATCCCCACTGTATAATTGAGAAAATGGAGGCCCAGATAAAAAGATGTGACAATTAAATTTATTGGACACCTACTCCATGCCAAGTACCCAAGATACAAAGATGAATCAGAAACTCAAGGTTGAAAGCTGGAATTCGAACTGAGATCAAAGTAGATCCACATTACCATCTTGGAAAGGAGGGAAACATAAAAGAAACCCGTCACTATTGCTCTTAAACCTCTTTAGAAGCGGAGGCTCAGAGCTGTCAGGAAGGTGGCCACTGCACACAGCCAGGTGTGCCAGCTGTGGCGGGGTGGGCAGCTCTAGGCACCGGCACAGGGGCTGGCTCTGTGTGAAGCTGCAGTTGAACCAGATGTACTGCAAGCAGCTTCCACTGTGGGCACCCGGGAACATGGTGACTCCTGGAAGCTTAGAGACACCAGAAACCCGAGTCCCAAAGAGGGTGTCACAGCCCTGGCTCAGGGAGCCCCTAGGTCTGGACTCCCTGAAGGGCCGCAGCTCCTCTCTCCTCACCACCCGCAACATGGCAAGTGGGGGGCATGTTTCAGCCTGTTTGTGTTACAGCTCTTTCAGTCCCACCATTCGGTAGGTCCCGAGTTCTTGTCCTGTGTCCAGGAAGTATGAGGTATGTGGACAACTGGAGGGTGAGCAAGACAGAGAGGAGCTTCATTGGGTGACAGAACAGCCCTCAAGAGACCCAGAGTGGGTAGCTCCTTCCTGCAGGCAGGCTGTCCCAATATGTCCATCTTTCAGTGGAGAGGAGACCCACAGTGGGCAGCTCCTTCCCGCAGGCAGGTCATCCTGACAAGTGTCCATCTCGCAGTGGAGAGAAGACCCGCAGTGGGCAGCTCCTTCCCACAGCTGGTAGTCCAGACATCTGTGTGAGTCTGGCTGAATCTGGGTTTCTATGGGCTTAGAAGGGAGAAAGTGCTTGCTGATTCATCCATGGGCAGCTGTAGGTGGCCTGGAAAAAGCACCATTAGTTATCATTCTGGGCTGGGCTGTGGACTTCACCCAGAACAGGCAGCCCAGCACCCAGGCTTCAGGCCATCCCTAGCTTGAAGGTGGGGTTTCACTAGGGACCTGCCCCTTTCTGCCCAGGGACCTGTCTGCCTCTGCCATCAACATGCTGTCCATGGTATCCAGGCTGTTCATGGCAAGAAGTGCCAGCAGGCCAGTGCTGAGCTGCCCTCAGCCGTCCCTTGCCTTCCTCCCATGCTTATTGGTGCCCAAAGTCCAGAGGAGGTCAAGGTGGTGGGGGTGCAGGTGTGTCAGTGCCACCTCGAATGCGTGCACACCTAGCTGGGTTGTGACAGCACCTGGGCTCAGCCACAACTTTGCTCCAAAATCAGAGCAGGTGCCAGGAGCAGGGAGAGGCCAAGGAGCAGGAACAGGTACATCAGAGCCTGTGCGGGGAGAGGGACTTCCCAGGCCCCTGAGCACACAGGGATGCCATGGTCCAGAGCTGTGGCTGTGCCTGGCAGCATGGGCTCCCACCTGGCCGACTTGGTAGGGGCGGGGCTCCTGCCTGTTCTTGGCCCCCTCTGGCTCTGCAGAACGCGCAGCCCTGGCAGTGCCTCCCCCACTGCAGCTGATGTGCCTCCCCGACTGCAGCTGATGTCCCTGCAGCGGCTGCTCCAGATGGGCCGCTGCCGCCATCAGTAGCCACCTTGGTGCTCTATTGTGAGGATTAGATGACTGGTTAATAGGTGAAGTTTGTGGCAAAGGGCCTGGCATGCAATGGAACTATGCGAGCCGTCCCTCTTCTGCATACTTGGCACCCAGAGAAGCCAGCCCTGTCGTGCTATGGAGTGTAGGTGGGGCCGTGAGGCTGTCTGTGCTGGGACTTCGGATGGGACTTGTCCTTGCTGCCTAGAGCCCTTTGGAGTCATGGAAGAAACTGCTGCGACTTCTTTTTTTTTTTAAGACGGAGTCTCGCTCTGTCACCCAGGCTGGAGTGTGGTGGCACGATCTCGGCTCACTGCCACCTCTGCTTCCCGGTTCAAGTGATTCTCCTGCCTCAGCTTCCCAAGTAGCTGGGACTACAGGCACCTGCCACCGCACCTGGCTAATTTTTTGTATTTTTAGTAGAGACTGGGTTTCACTGTGTTAGCCAGGATGGTCTCGATCTCCTGACCTCATGATCCGCCTGCCTCGGCCTCCCTAAGTGCTGGGATTACAGGCGTGAGCCACCGCACCCGGCCGAAACTGCTGTGACTTCCGTTCCGCTTATAAAATGGGACTCCTTGGCACTTGCCAAGGGCCTGCGACATGCAGACCTACTGCTGGGGACTTCCCAGAAAAGGCGATAATTGCAATTGTTATTCTTATCGCAGCTCACCATGTGTGTCAGTCAGGGTTCAGCCAGAGAAACACAACTAGTAAGAGATGTATAGTAAGAGATTTACTGCAAAGACTTGGCTTACGCGATCGTAGGAGCTGGCTAGGTGTGTCTGAAATGCATAAGTGTGATGGTGAATTTTATGTGTCAACTTGACTAGGCCATGTGGTGCCCAGAAATGTGGTCAAACATTATTCTGGGTTCTCCTATGAGGATGTTTCTGGGTGAGATTGACACGGGAATCACTAAAGGCAGATGGCCCTCGCTAATGTGGGTGGGCCTCATCCTGTAAGTTGAAGAGAATGAAAGGCCGACCTTCCCTCCAGTAAGAGAGAATTATTTTTGCCTGCTGGCCTTGGAACTCAGACATTAGCTTTTTCTACCTTTGGATTTGAACTGAAATAGCTCTCTTGCTTCTCAGGCCTTCAGACTCAAGACAAGAATTACATTCTCAGTTCTCCTGGGGCTCCAGCTTGCCAACTGCTGTTCTTGGGATGGGTCAGCCTCCATAATCTGGGGATCCAATTCCTTATAACAAATCTATCTATATAAATACATGTGTGCGCACACACAGGTACACACACACATGCATACACATGCACATGCACACACACGCATGCACACACGTGCACATATGCACTCGCACAAGCATGCACACACACAAATGCGCATGCACATGTGCACACCCCCACACATGCACAAATGCATGCACACACAAACCCACATGCACGCACCCACACACATGCACACACGTGCACACACACAAATGCACACATGTGCACACATGCATGCACACACCTTCTATTGGTCCTGTTTCTCAGGAGAACCCTAACACAGCAGGGCAGGTTGTCCAGAAGGGCAGGTTGGAACCCTCAGGCACTGAAGCTGGTGTCCACAACTTCTCTTCTTTAGGGAAACTTCAGCTCTGCTTTTAAGGCCTCAAACCACTTAAATCAGGTTCATCCAGATCATCTCAGATGGTCTCCCTTACTTAAGAGTCAACTGATTATGGACTTTAATCACATCTACGAGATACCTTCACAGAACACCTAGATCAACATCTGACTGAATATCTGGTGACCATAGCCTGGCCACTGACCATCACAACACCTGCTGAGTATGATGGTGAGCCCATGACTACATAGCAGCTGATTTGTTTCCCCAAAAATCCCATGGGAAGATGTTTTTAGAACATGTCTTGCCCAAAGTGACACAGCTGGCCAGGGGGAGCGCTGGTGTTAGAAGCCAGGTTGCCTCCAGAGCTCAGCCTGAGCCACTCTGAGGCTCTGAACCCCTAACCCACCTTCTCAGCCCTCATAGAGGCCCCCTGTGGTGGGACTCTCTTTGCTTTTGGAGGACACAGAGGCTCAGAGAGGGCAGGTGGCTGCCCCAGTCACACGGCTGGGAGATGGAGGCTGTTCCACTTCAGCTCTAGGCCCCTCCTCACAACAGCCTATGCTCGCTCCCCTCCCTAAGCAGTCTACCCCAAAGGACAACGCTGAGTTTCTGCCCAGGAGCTCTCTGCGTGATACAGGCACCCCTCCCTCCGGGCCTGAGCATCGCCCAGTGTAAAGAGGGACAGAGCTCTTCCAGGTTTGAGGTCGGGGGCCCTGGCCTTGGAGCACAGGGTAGAATCTCAGGACCCCTGGCTCCAGGGAGCTCATATTTTGGGACTACTCCCACCCTTGGGAGAAGGTGCTGAGGGTATCTCATGGGGGCTGCTCAGTTGGGACCAAATGCCCTCAAATGGCCTCCCTCCCAGAGGGCCTGCATCACCCAGTAAAACTTGTGTTCCTGGGGAAACCAGGGTGCCTCCTCACAGACAGGCCCCTGAAGGGTCCCAACACAGCCAAGCCTGTGGTCAGTCCCAGCCATGGCGCGGCCCACCTGCCCGCCCTTTCCTGTGAGGGCCTCGGTGCCAGGGGAGGCAGCCCCGGAACAATGCCTCACTCTGTTCTTGGCCTGGGCAGGGGCAGCTAATTCAGCCACACCTCACACCGGCTGCAGATCCCACACTCCCCTGCTCTCCCCTGCTCTCCCTGGCTCTCCCCTGCTCTCCCCTGTTTACCCCTGATCACCTCTCCTATCCCCTGCTCACCTCCACTAACTGGCCTCAGGAAACCCAGACACTCCACACTTAGCACCCTCCCAGCTCCCTGACAAGCCACAACTCAAAGGTCAGGAGTGACAGCCAAATGACTTAGGGGCCCTGGGGCTGCGGGTTGGGGATGGCCCATCCTCAAGGCCAGCCATGAGCAAAAAGCCTACCCAGCCAATGTAGCCCCACCTTCGCTCAACCACATTGACCAGGCCTCCATCATCATCTGGTGAATGAGGAGAGGGGCTCAGAGAGGCTGGGCAGCTTGCCTTTGGTCACACAGCCCAGGAGCAGCAGAAGTGGAACTCAAACCCAGGTCTTGTGCCTCCAGAGCCCATGGTCTTAACCACTGCACAAAATTGCCTTTAGGAAACCCCGAAGTGATCATGAGTCCAAGGACTCAGAGGCACCTTGCATGGATTTCAGCACATATGCATGGATGCGCGTGTGCGCGCGCGCGCGCGCGCACACACACACACACACACACACACACGCCTTCCTCGGTAACCAAACCCCATAGACGGGGCCTGCCCTTCCCAGGCAGCCTTGAAAAGGGCCTTGCAAGGGTCTTAGACATTCCAAGCCCGGTCCCTACCTTCACCTGGAGGGGGCCTCTCTGCCCCCCACATCCCCAGCCTGGGCCTAGGAGTCAGAATCACAGCTCAGAGTCTCCTTGGTGGGTGTACATGGCTTGGGGAGGTCAGTCCCGCCCCAGAGCACCCCCAGCCTGCCAGGCCTGTGGGTCAGCCAGATCCCTCCCCCAACCCTCTCAAGGCCCACAAGCCCCGGGCCAGGCCTGGCTTCCGGAGCTGCCGCCACCTTGGCTGGCCACACCACACATGGTTTTAATCAGCAGCCTGCCTGGATGAATGGCGCCTTGTGAGAGCGCCGCAGGGCTCACCTCCATGGCAGGGCCAGGATGGGCCAGGTGGGGCAGCCTCAGGGAGGGAGGAGTGTGAGGGGACCCCATGTGGGGGTCAGGGGGACAGGCAGGGACGGCCCAGCACAGCAGTCATGAGCCAGGGTCTGTGGCCAGACAGAGAGCAGGGGGTCTGGCTCTGCCACCCACAGTCTGCGTCCGGGCAACTCACGGAACCTCTCTAAGCCTGGGCCCAACTCTGCGTATAACCGGAGCCCCTTACGGGGGGCTGGGAGGATTTCATCTGAGGGTGCTTGGTGCATAGTGTGGGCCTGACACATAGTATGCACTCTGTACCTAGAGGCCAGCCCAGGGCCAGGGGCAGGGGACTCACAATTTGATTTAATAGAAGAGTGGAGAGAACTCACCTTGGAGCAAGGTGGCTGACCTCCAAAGAGGCTAGAGGTGGCATCTACAGCTGACTCTGGTTTCCGCAGTTTCAGGGCCTGGGCCTCCGCTGCTCCCTCTACCTTTCAAAGGGCCTCACAAAGAGAGCTGGAGGGGCAGACCTCAGCTCCTCGAAGGGCCCACCTCGCCTCCTTCTGTGGCAGGCAAAGCTTCAGACAGTACTAATTAATGTTTATTGAGCAGTTACTAGGTGCTGCACCTGGGTGTTTCATGCATAATCTCATCTAATCCTCCTTTTATGATTGTTTTCATTTATGTAGAACAAAACTATGACTCAGAAAGGGTAGGCAACCAGGCCACGGCCACACAGCCAGGGAGAGGCAGAACTGGGATGCGACGCTGCAGATGGAACAGCTCCTGCTGTTGCCTCAACTCCACCCACCCTGTGTCCTGTAGAGGGAGCACCATTTCCCACAGGGGTGGGTGGCACTGGGCAGCCTGCCTGGGGGAGCAGAGAGTGCCTTCTCCTCGGGCCTTCAGTGGACGGAGCTGTCTCCCTCACTGGCAACCCTGCTCAGCCTCCCTTCCCTCCCACAGAGCCTCCGAAGGCCCCATCCCAAGGGCCCAGGACCCGTGTCCTCCTCCCTGCCACTCTCCCAGCACCCACCAAGCCTGGCTCCTGGGTGTCTGAGAAATTATGGGAGGGAGTGAGAAAACATCAAGGGAGGGCCCTAACCTTGTCACGCCTCTCCTCACTGAGCCATCATGGCGGTCCTGTCATGTGGGGTAAAGTACAGACTCCTGTAACCCCTGCTGCACCCCTGCCCCTAACCTCCACCCTGCAGACTAAGGCTTTCAGCTCCTCCGCGGCGCTGGCTCTGTCTCTCATCTCCAGGCCGTGCTCATCTTTCCCCCTGCCTGGGACCCTCTCCTTTTCCACCCTGGCTAACTTGTGGTCCGAGCCCCATGCACTAGGATGACTGTGTGAAGCCCCTCCGTTCCCCACCCACCCCCTAGAACAGCCCCTGGAGCACTTCTGGGAGCAGAGCTCTGGGACCTCTGGGAGTTGCTCCAATTTCAGAATCCATTTCTGCAGAGGAAGGACTGCATCCTCTTTCCTCTGTTGGAGATGGGGACATCACCTTTGCAGACTGGTTTTCTCTCGTTCCTCTTCAAATTCAACTATCTGCAGAGCCGCGGGGGCTGCACTCACATGCCCACATGGGTGTCACTTATCAAGCTATGCTCCCAGCCTTTCAGTGGTTCTCTGAACTCAGCTGAGACCATTTCTAGAGGACTGTTTAAAGAATAAGGCATCCTGCTGTCTTCTACATAGATTAGGATGTCCCCCTCAAGCTGACTTGGCCCAGCTAAGAACCAGGTGAGCACAGCTTATTGGGTGCTCCCCCCACCCAGGGTCTCCCTGACCCCCCTGTCCTTTGGTATGATGGGTCAGCGAGGGCCATTAGGGAAACAGCCCTGTGGAAATAACTATAAACACGCTCAAAGGTTAAGCCACAAAAATGTTCCGCATAGCTTTGTTTATGATACTAAAAAATATCTAGAATAACCCACATATTCAACAATTAAATAAAGTGCGATACATCCATAAAATGGAATTCCATAAAGAGGGTTATTTAACAACACCGAGAGATGGTCACAATTTATCTGTAAGTGAAAAAAGCAGATTATAACATCTTATGTTGGAAGAGGAAAACCTCCAGGCAGTTCAGTGAACGAAACTGAGGGGTGTAGAATGAGGGGTGCTTCAGGGTGCAGACTTGGAAGCTGGAGGCCCGGGTCCTCCGGCAGCCTCTGCCCCCTTGCAGCCAAAAGACTTTGGGCCATTCACCAAACCTAAAAAGCTAGAGGTGGCCATCTGTACAATTGGGATAATATTGTACATACAGGCCGGGCGCGGTGGCTCACGCCTGTAATCCTAGCACTTTGGGAGGCCGAGGCGGGTGGATCATGAGGTCAGGAGATCGAGACCATCCTGGCTAACAAGGTGAAACCCCGTCTCTACTAAAAATACAAAAAATTAGCCGGGCGCGGTGGCGGGCGCCTGTAGTCCCAGCTACTCGGGAGGCTGAGGCAGGAGAATGGCGTGAACCCGGGAAGCGGAGCTTGCAGTGAGCCGAGATTGCGCCACTGCACTCCAGCCTGGGCGACAGAGCGAGACTCCGTCTCAAAAAAAAAAAAAAAAAAATATTGTACATACAGACATACTAGCCACTTAGCACACTGTGTGTGGCCTGCGACAGACATACAGACTAAGCATGCAACAGACATTATAAACATCACGTATGGGCTTAATTCCATATTATGGGTGATTTTCATTTTCTTACATTTGCCTATTTGTATTTTTTTTTTTTTTTTTTTGAGACGGAGTCTCGCTCTGTCACCCAGGCTGGAGTGCAGTGGCGCAATCTCGGCTCACTGCAAGCTCCGCCTCTTGGGTTCACGCCATTCTCCTGCCTCAGCCTCCTGAGTAGCTGGGACTACAGGCGCCCGCCACCATGCCCGGCTAATTTTTTGTATTTTTAGTAGAGACAGTGTTTCACCATGTTAGCCAGGATGTTCTCATCTCCTGACCTCGTGATCCACCCGCCTCGGCCTCCCAAAGTGCTGGGATTACAGGTGTGAGCCACCGCGCCCAGCGCCTATTTGTATTTTTAAATTTTTCTGCGATGAATGTTATTAATTGTATTAACTTAAAAAGTAAAAGCAAACATGACCTTACAAGGAAACAGCCCAATGGAACTCATTCCTGTGTTAATAGCCAGCATGTTGTTAAGGACATTGCTTATTATGCTGCCCTAGTGAGATTTCCTGGGAGAAACTATGATCTGCTCTTGGAACCAGGAGGCTTTGCTGGTCACACTGGCTGCCTGTGGGCTTCAAACAGCTGTGTACCTAACCTCAATGCCCACTGTGACAGAATTATTTAAATAAACTATGACACAGCTCTACCATGTACACCAGTTTGTCATGTACATAGGAGAATATCTGAGAGATTTCCACCAAAGGGTTAGAAGTATTACTGGGGGACAGGAAAGAGGGGGACATTTGAGCCTTAAATTTTGTGCACTTCACTAATGATTGCAATTCTTTCACAATAATCTTGTATTATAATCAAAATAGAAATAACATAATTTGATGTAGTAGAGAAATATTTAATAACATATAAATATGTTGACAATTTATTATGATTTAAAAGAGTTTGTAGGCTGGGCGTGGTGGCTTATGCCTATAATCCCTGCATTTTGGAAGGCCAAGGCGGGTGGATCACTTGAGGCCAGGAGTTCAAGATGAGCCTGGTCAACATGGTGAAACCCCTCTTTTTCTTTTTCTTTTCTTTTTTTTTTTTTCGAGATGGAGTCTTGCACTGTTGCCCGGGTTGGAGTGTAATGGCGCAATCCTGGCTCACTGCAACCTCCACCTTTCAGGTTTGAGTGATTCTCCTGCCTCAGCCTCCTGAGTAGCTGGGATTACAGGTGCCCGCCACCATGCTCGGCTAATTTTTTATATTTTTAGTAGAGAAGGGGTTTCACTATGTTGGCCAGGCTGGTCTCAAACTCCTGACCTTGTGATCCGCCCACCTCAGCCTCCCAAAGTGCTGGGATTACAGGCAGGAGCCATTGTGCCCGGCTGTGAAGCCCCCTCTTTACTAAAAATAGAAAAATTAGCCAGGCATGGTGCCACACACCTGTAGTCCCAACTACGTGGGAGGCTGAGGCATGAGAATCTAACCACTTGAACTCAGGAGGTGGAGGTTGCAGTAAGCCAAGATTGCAACGCTACACTCCAGCCTGGGTGACAGAGCAAGACTCTGTCTCAAAAAATAAAAATAAAAATAAAGGAGGTTTGTAAAATACAGTGTATGCATATTCTCCTTTCTGCAAAAACAACTTTATATATCAGACAGAAAGGAAATGTCCTAAAATGTGAAACATGATTATCCAGGGTGGTGGGATACAGACATTTAGATTTTCTTCTTATGTGTCTGTATGTTCTAAAGTTTCCACAATAGAGATTTATAACTCTTGTGATGAAAGAAAAAAATGCATTTTCTTAAAAGGAAAGATTTGGCCCCAACTCTCCCCTGCCTTGAGTGCCTAAGTCACGGCAAACTCATTCTTAGCCTTCTCGCCTCCTCGCTCCTCACCTAGGCGTGTCTGTTTCCGTATGGGCCACCTTGCTGTCCTTCCTGTGTCCTTGTAAAGGGCCTGAAATCCTCGTTAGAACCAGGCAAGGCAGAAGCCAGGACACAGGCCCAGCCCACTGCTCAGCGTCCAGTGGTCCCCCAACCACCCGCCGCCGCCTCCTGGGGCATTGTTCTCATTAGTGGGGATGCAAAGCAGACCCAAAGGCGGAACTATAAACACCAGAGGCAGAGACCCATAAACAGCTGGGTAACCAACTCCAGCTGTGCAGATGGGCCCTGGCCACACTGGGGGGCAGATGGGGGCTGGGAATTGCCCTTTGCCTGTCCTCCTTAGGCCATGAGCTGCCAGGAGCCGGGTGGGCACCACTAGTTAGAGAACTGGAGGGTGGAGGGTCTGCACAAACCTAAGTGAGATTACATGCAAGTGAGCAGGAGTCTGGGGGCCAAGGATTCTCAGGCACCTGAGCCCCATTACCTATGCACCTGGGCCTCAATTTACCTATCTGAAAATGGGGAAGAAAAGAAGTAACAGACTAGATGGGCTTTCTCAGCTCTACTACATCATGACCCACCCATAAATCTATGCACTAGGCCTAAATGCCTATAATGTATCTGTCTGTAATATAATAAAAATATATACTATGCGATAACATAAACAAATGTTGTAACTAAATTATCTGTACCATAACCCATACATATTATATGTTTTATATCAGCCTCTTTAATGTTATGTTTCTAAATGTTTAATGACCATCTCTGGATATCTGTGATCAGAGAGTATGTGGAGGCAAGCCAGGAAGACCTCCTGGGAGAAGGGAGACTTAAAGCCTATGAATTCGACAGGCAAAAGGAATGAGCCTCCAAAAAGGTTCTAATGGAGGAGAAGGGAGGGAAATGAGTGTGAGGGGATTTATAGGGCTGTTGAGGGTCATCCAGGGAAGGGATCCATGTCCATCTTCCACCCTAGAAACAAATATTCTGGCACAGGAGAGGGCAGGGAGAAAGCACACTGGACTGAAGTGACTAAGATTTGCCAGCCCCAGAAGCTCCCAAACCTGGTTACATAACAGGACTACTGGGGAACTTGGTAAAATACAGACTCTTGGGCCCTTCCCAGGGCTCCTGAATCAGAATCTAGGACAGTAGTGTCTGAATATTTCAATTTTTACTAATTGCCTGGTGGAGTCTGAGGCTAGAAGTCTGTTACAGGTGGGTGTTTGGGAACCTCTGGCCCAGAGCTCCCAGTGTCTGTGGATTGGATGTAGGGCAGAAGGAACACCCATGATTTTCACATCCTGTCCTGTGTCTGATCAACCAACACAGGGTATAGTCATTGCCAGGCAGCTGGTGCCACCCTATGCTTGGGGCCTGATGGGACTGGGAACCCTTGAGAAGCTCATCACCTACTGAGGGGTCCAGACCCCCATATCAGTCATCTGAGCTCAGTGCTGGATGTTGGAATCTTCTCAGGTGGCACAGCCCAAAGGGTGGATGCTGGAGGAGCCCAGAGGAGCAAAAGCAAACCTCTGAAAGCAGGACTAGGAAGGGGAGCACAGAAGGCTCTAGAGAAGATACTCTGAAGGATGGGGAGGATTCAGGTGATGGAACAGGAAAGGAACAAACAGACAAGGTGGAGGGAATGATGGGATCAAAAGCGAGAAGTGCAGAGGCAGTAGAGGTAAAAATCATATGGGAACCATTTTCTGGCCATATGGTTTGTCAGGGGCCCTTTCTGTTGGGCACTGTGAAAAGGCAGTGTGCTGAACAGCCTGGGCCAGGGGACCAGAGAGCACATCTCCCATGTCATAGGCAGCTGGCCCAATGTCCCAGAGGAAAAGCCCAAGCCTGGGACTCCCCCCACCTACCTGGGGGAGACTCTCCCTGTCCACCAGGCCCAGCCATGTGACTTTCCCAGTTCCCCCAGCTGGGATCACATGAGGCAGGCATGGGCAGGGGAGAGTGGAAAGTTCCAACTCTGACCCCAAGATCAGAATCTCCTTTTCCAGAGGGGCCCCTGAGGCCAAGTCAACCCTGATCCAGGTCACATCTCCCCAAGCCAATTCAAAAATGGGCAAAAGACTTGAACAAACATTTCTCCAAAGAGACATACAAATGTCCACCAAATACATAAAAAGATAATCAACATCATTAGTCATTAGGGAAATGCAAATAATAACCACAATGTGGTACCACTTCATATCCATTAGGATGGCTATAATTTAAAAAAAAAAAAAAAAGGAAAATGAGGCCAGGCTCACACCTGTAATCTCAGCACTTTGAGAGCCCGAGAGGGGAGGATCACTTGAGCCCAGGAGTTAGAGGCTGCAGTGAGCAATGATCACACCACTGCACTCCAGCCTGCGCAACAGAGTAAAATGCTATCTCTTAAATAATAATAACAATAATAATAATAATAATGCCAGGCACATTGGCTCACACCTGTAATCCCAGCACTTTGGGAGGCTGAGGTGGGCAGATCTCTTGAGCCCAGGAGTTTGAGACCAGCCTGGGCAACATGGCAAAACTCTGTCTCTATAAAAAATACAAAAATTTTCCAGGTGTGGTGGTGCACAACTGTAGTCCCAGCTACTCAGGAGGCCAAGGTGGGAGGATCCCTTCAGCCCGGGGGGAGGAGGTTGCAGTGAGCCATAATCCCATCACTGCACTCTCGCCTGGGCAACAGAACGAGACTCTGTCTCAAAAATAAATAAAATAAAGTGGAAAAAACAAGTTTTGGTGAGGATGTGGAGAAATTGGAACCCTTGTATATTGCTGGTGGAAATGCAAAATGATTCAACTGCTCTGGCAAAAAGTTTGCTGGTGCCTGAAAAAGTTAAACATAGAATTACCTTATGACCCAGCATTTCCCTCCTACGTCTATACCTAAAGGAATTTCAAATAGATAATTGTACATGAGTATTCATTGCAGCACTATTCACAATAGCCAAAAAGTGGAAACAACCTAAATGTACATCAACTAATGAATGGATAAACAAACATACCAATAATGGAATCGTAGTCAGCCATTAAAAATGAAGTATTAACACAAGCTACAACATGGATGAACCTTGAAAGCACATTGAGTGAAAGAAACCAGGCACAAAAGGCCACATATGGAAGAAGGATTCCATTTATGGGAAATGTTCCGAATATGCAATTCATTGAAACAGAAAGTGGTTCAGTGTCTGCCAGGGCCTGAGAGAAGGGAAGAATGAGGAATGACCACTTACTGCTATGAGGTTTCTTCTTGAGGTGATGAAATGTTCTGGAATTAGATAGTGGTGATGGTTGCACAATTTGCTAAAAACCACTGAATTATACACTTTATTATTTTGTGTATGTAAATTATATTTCAATTTACATAAACAGAGCTGCCTTGAATGCCATGTATGTATTTTTATTGTGGTGAAATACATATAACATAAAATTTGCCATTTTAACCATTTTAAAGTGCACAATTCAGTGGCATTAGTACATTCACAATGTTACACAACCATTGCTACTATCTATTGTCAACACTCTCCATCACCCAAGGAGAAACTTTGTGCTCCTTAAGCAATAACTCCCATCCTCCCTCTCCCCTCAGCCATGGTAACCTCTAGCCTACTTCTTATCTCTGTGAATTTGCCTATTCTAGATATTTAGTATAAAGGAAATCGGACAATATTCGTCTTTTTGTGTGTCTGGCTTATTTTATTTCACATAATGTTTTCAAGGCTAATTTATGTTGTACCATGTATCAGAATTTCTTCCTTCCTTTTTTGTGGTGGAATAATATTCCATTGTATTATATACCACATTTTATTTTCTCATTCATCTATTGATGGACACCTGTGCTCTTTCCAGCTTTTGGTTATTGTGAATACTGTTTAACCTTTTGATGAAACACTAAACTGTTTTCCACAGTAGCTGTACCATTTCACATTCCCACTAGCAATGTATAAGGGTTCCAATTTCTCCACATCCTCATCAAAACTTATTTTCCTTAAAAAAAAAAAAAAAATATATATATATATATATATATATATATATATATATATATATATATATAGCCGGCCACATGTGGTGGCTTATGCCTGTAATCCTAGAATTTTGGGAAGACCAGGTGGGCAGATCAGCTGAGGTCATGGGTTCCAGATCAGCCTGGCCAACATGGTGAAACCCCATCTCTACTACAAATACAAAAATTAGCCGGGTCTGGTGGTGGATGCCTGGAGACTGAGGCAGGAGAATTGCTTGAACTCGGGAGGTGGAGGTTGCAGTGAGCCGAGATCACACCACTGCACTCCAGCCTGGGTGACAGAGCAAGACTCCGTCTCAAAAAAAAAACAAAAAACAAAAAACAAACAAACAAAAAAATTATAGCCATCCTAGTAGGTGAGAAGTGGTTTTGATTTGCATTTCACTAATGACTAATGTGTTGAGCACCTTTTCATGAGTGTGTTGGCCATTGTACGTCTTCTTTGGAGAAACATCCATTCAAGTCATTTTCCCATTTTTTAATTGGATTGTTTGTCTTTTTGTTGTTGAGTTGTTCTTTATATTTTTTGGATATTAGGCCCTTATGAGACATATGATTTGCAAATATTTTCTCCCGTTATGTGGATTGTCTCTTAACTCTCTTCATAGTGTCCTTTTTTCTTTCTTTCTTTTTTGAGACAGGGTCTTGCTCTGTCACCCAGGCTGAAGTGCAATGATGCAATCTTGGTTCACTGCAACCTCCACTTCCCAGGCTGAAGGGGTCATCCCACCTCAGCCTCCCAAGTAGCTGGGACCACAGGCACACCACCATGCCCAGCTAATTGTTGTATTTTTTGCAGAGATGGGGTTTCACCATGATGCCCAGGCTGGTCTTGAGCTTCTGGTCTTAAGTGATCCACCCACCTAGGTCTCCCAAAGTGCCAGGATTACAGGTGTGAACCATGGCGCCTGGCCTTAATGGTGTCCTTTGACACACAAAAGTCTTTTAAATTTTAATGAAGACAAATTTATTTTTTTTCTTTGTTGCCTGTGCTTTTCGTGTCATATTTAAGAAACCATTACCAAATTCAAGGTCATAGATATTTGCACTGATGTTTCTAATAGTTCTAAGTTTAGCTCTTAAATTTAAGTCTTTGATCAATTCTCACTTAGTCTTGGCATATGGTATGTGGTAAGGGTTCAACTTCATTCTTTTGCATGTGATATCCAGGTTTTGGAGCACTATTCTTTCTCCAGTGAAAGGTCTTAGCACCCTTGTCAAAAATCAATTGGCAATAGATGTGAGGGCTTGTTTCTGGGCTCTCAATTCTACCCCAGGGTCTATATGTCTATCCTATGCCAGTAGCACACTGTTATAATTACTGTAGATTTGCAGAAGTTTTGTTTTTTTGTTTTGTTGTGTTTTGTTTTTGAGACAGAGTCTCACTCTGTTGCCCAGGCTGGAGTGCAGTGGTGCGACCTCGGCTCACTGTAACCTCTGCCTCCCGAGTTCAAGTGATTCTCCAGCCTCAGCCTCCCAAGTAGCTGGGACTACAGGCACGCGCCATCGCGTCCAGCTGATTTTTGTATTTTTAGTAGAGACGGGGTTTTGCCATGTTGGCCAGGCTGGTCTCGAACTCCCAATCTCAGATGGTCCACCCACCTCGGCCTCCCAAAGTCCTGGGATTACAGGTGTAAGCCACCGTGCCTGGCCTGCAGTAAGTTCTGAAATCAGAAAGCATGAATCCTACAACTGCGTCATTTTTTTTCAAGATTGTTTTGGCTATTCTGAGTTTCTTGAAATTCCATATGAATATTAGGAATTTTCATATTAGGAATTTTTTTTTTCATTTCTGGAAAAAAACCTATTGGATTTTGATAGGAATTGCAAAAAATCTGTATATTCCTTAACAATATTAAGTCTTCTAATCAAACATGGGATGTCTTTCCATTCATTTAGATCTTTAATTTCTTCAAGAAATGTTTTATAGTTTTCTGTATTCAAGTTTCTCACCACCTTGATTAAATTATTCCTATATATTTATTATTATTATTATTATTATTATTATTATTATTATTATTATTATTTTGAGAGAGAGTTTACCTCTTGTTGCCTAGGCTGGAGTGCAGCAGCATGATCTCAGCTCACCACAACCTCCACCTACAGGGTTCAGATGATTCTCCTGCCTCAGCCCCCCAAGTAGCTGGGATTACAGGCATGTGCCACCACACCCGGCTCATTTTGTACTGTTAGTAGGGATGGGGTTTCACCATGTTGGCCAGGCTGATCTCAAACTCCTGACCTTGGGTGATCCACCCGCCTCGGCCTCCCAAAGTTCCGGGATTACAGGTGTCAGCCACCACGCCCAGCCTATATTTTATTCTTTTTGATGCTATCATAAGTAGAATTGTTTTCTTAACTTCCTTTTTGGATTGTTCATTATAGTGTATAGAAATTCAATGGATTTTGTGTATTGATTTTGTATCCTGAAATTTTGCAAAATTCACTTATTAACTCTAATAGTTTGTGTATGTGTATGAATTCTTTTGGGTTTTCTAGGCATTAAGATCATGTCATCTATAAATAGAGATAGTATTACTTCTTTCTTTCCAATTTGGATGCCTTTTGTTTTTTTCTTGCCTAATTGCTCTGGCTAGAACTTCCAGTATTGTGTTGAGTATAAGTTTCTAATCTTAACTAGAAGTTATGAAAACAGACATCCTTGTCTTGTTCCTCATCCTAGGGGAAATGCTTTCAGTTTTTCACCATTAAGAATTATGTCACTTGAGCCCAGGAGTTCTAGACCAGCCTGGGCAACATGGCGAGACCCTGTCTCTACAACAAAAATAAAAAATTAGCCAGGCGTGGCACGTGCCTGTAGTCCCAGCAATTTGGGAGGCTGAGGTGGGAGGATCGCTTGAGCCTGGGAGGTCGAGGTTGCAGTAAGCCACGACTGTGCCACTGCACTCCAGCCTGGGCAACAGAGTGAGATCCTGTCTCAAAAAAAAAGTTATGTTAGCTGTGAGTTTTTCACATATGGCATTTATCATGTTGAAAGAGTTCTTTTCTAGTACTAGTTTGATAAGCGTTTATATCATGAAAGGGTGTTGGATTTTGTCAGATGCTTTTTCTGCATCAATTGAGATGATCATGTGGTTTTTTCCCCCTTCATTCTAATAATGTGGTACATTACTTTGATTTTCATATGTTGAACCACCCTTGCATTCCTAGGATAAAACCCACTTGATCATGGCATATAATTTTTTTGTTTTGTTTTGTTTTTTGAGATGGAGTCTCGCCTTATCACCCAGGCTGGACTGCACTGTCGCAATCTTGGCTCACTGCAACCTCCGCCTCCTGGGTTCAAGCGATTCTCCTGGCTCAGCCTCCCGAGTAGCTGGGATTACAGGTGCATGCTGCCATGCCTGGCTAATTTTTGTATTTTTAGTAGAGATGGGGTTTTGCCATGTTGGCCAGGCTGGTCTTGAACTCCTGACCTCAGGTGATCCACCTGCCTCAGCCTCCCAAAGTGCTGGGATTACAGGTGTGAGCCACCACGCCTGGCCTGCAATTTTCTTTTCTTGTAGAGTCTTAGTTTCAGTATCAAGGTAATGCTTGGCCTCATAGAATGAGTTGGGAATGTTCTCTCCTCTTTAGATTTTTGGTAAGAATTTAAGAGAAGGATTGATGTTAATTCTCCTTTAAATGTTTTGTAGGATTCACCAATGATGCCACCTGGTGGTAGGCATTTCTTTGCTGGGAGTTTTTTGATTACCGATTCAATCTCCTGACTTGTTACAGGCCTATTCAGATTTTCTATTTCCTCTTGAGTCAGTTTTGGTAGTTTGTGTGTCTCTAGGAATTTGTCCATTGCATCTAGAGCATCTGATTTTTTAACGTGCAGCTGCTTATAGCAGTCTCTCATGTTCCTTGTTTTCCTGTGAAGTTGGTGTTATGTGTGTGTGTTTTGAAGGGTCATTCTCAGCGCCTCAGATCACCCACCACTTCCATTTCAAGGTCCCAGGAAGAACAATCAAATGTAATGAGTTTCCACATTGAGTGGGCCACTTGACTCCTCAGCCCATCCTCATCTGCCTCAGGACAAAGGTGGCAGTGCCACCCCCAGGCTCAGGCTCAGAAATGGGGTCTGTATGTGTGTGAAACCAGGAACTGGCAGAGACTTTACTGAGCACTCACTGTGTAGCAGGCTCCTGCTGAGGGCTTTCCAGACACTGTCTCTTCACTCCTCACAACATCTCTGTCACCTCAGTCCTGTGACTATCCCCACTTCACAAAAGCAAAGACTGAGGCTCAGAGACATGAATTACTTGACCAAGGTCACACAGCCAACACTGAGCCTGTATTTGAAACCAGATCTACCCGGCTGTGCATATTTTGACTACTGTGCTGCACAGCCTATTCCTTCCCAAGGGAGAACACCCCAGAATGGGGCAAAGGCCAAGGAATTCAAGCTCCAGTTTTTACCCCCACTCCCTGAAAGGTGTAATAGAGCAGAGCTTCTCCAAGTACCCATGCAGAGGAGCCCTCCATCTGCTGCCATGCAGAGCAACAGACACCCTCCACCAATTACCCATGCAGAGGAGCCCTCTGCTGCCATGCAGAGCAGTAAATACCCTCCACCCACTGACCAGAGGCCCCCATGGAAAAGCACAGTGCAGAATAGCCTGAGGGTACACACCAGCAGGGTGTGCATGCTCACGCAACTGTTTGTATATGTAAAACAATTTCTGGAAAGATCCACAGAAACTGCTAATGGTGGTTTCCTCTGAAGAAGTGAGTTGGAGGACAAAGGTCAGGGAGTGGAAGGAGACATACATCTCACACCATTCCCTGTTTGTACTTCTGTTTTAGATTTGTAGGTACACATACTGTTAGGCACCTTTAACAGCTTCCCAGGATCACCCAGTCCCCAGCCCTGAAAAGGGCAGAGCCAGGCTCGGGGAATTGTCCCCACTCTGCCTCATGGTCATGGCATTTCCCTGTGCCAGGACACATTCCCAGCCTCAGGCCCAGGGGGCAGGACAGCCTAGTGGACTCCAGGCTGTGGAGTCTCATGGATCAATGACTACCAGCTCTGTGATCCTGACAGAGTTACTTAACCTCTCTGAACTCAAATTCCTCAAATATACAATGGGAATGATAATACCTACCTCAGAGGATTGTTATGAAGATTAAAAGAGGCCGGGCAAGGTGGCCGATGCCTGTAATCCCTGCACTTTGGGAGGCTGAGGCAGGAGGATCATTTGAGGCCAGGAGTTCAAGACCAGCCTGGGCCACATGGCAAAACCCCATCTTCACAAAAAATACAAAATAATTAGCCTGGCGTGGTGGTGCATGCCTGTAATCCCAGCTACTCAGAAGGCTGAGGTGGGAGAATGGCTTGAGCCCAGGAGCTTGAGGCTGCAGTGAGCCGAGATCACTGCATTCCAACCTGGGTGACACAGTGAGACACTGTCACAAAAAGAAAAAATTTTAAAGATAGCACTTGATAAGCAGAGGGTCTGCCTGACAGGATAAGAAATACTTTTTATTTATATTATTTAATTTATTGATGTTAATATTGATAATATTATTGCCCCACCACCATTAACCACCAGCCCAGTCTTCCCGGGAGGCATTCGCGCTGACTACACTGTGAGAGGCTAGGATAATAGTGCCCCCTGGTGGACATCTTTTGGACTGCATCTGATGAGTACCTACCATCTAGTACCACTAGAGAAAGAACAGGAGTCAAAATTCAGTTCCATTTCTTCCTTTTTACCCCTAAATATTAGGTTGGTGCAAAAGTAATTTCAAAAAACTAATATCTCACATGTACTTCATTAGATACTCTTACATAACAGTAAAATAATCAAAACCAGAAAATTGAACATCGGTTGAATAGTATTATCTAATCCACACGGTCCATCCTGACATTCTGCTAGGTGTCCCTATGGTATCCTTTATAGCTAATTGTTTCATGGTCCAGGACCCCTCCAGGGTCACACATGGCATTTGATTACCACATCTCTTTAGTATCCTTTAATCCT
The DNA here is from genome assembly GCF_000001405.40 of Homo sapiens. Classification (NCBI taxonomy): domain Eukaryota; kingdom Metazoa; phylum Chordata; class Mammalia; order Primates; family Hominidae; genus Homo; species Homo sapiens. Next base: position 150,560,745 of record NC_000005.10, on the reverse strand, counting down.
GAACCATTTCTCAGCTTTTCTGTATCTTTCATCACCTTGACATTGTTGGAGTTCAAGCCAGTTATTTTGCAAAATGTCCCTCAATACGGATGTGTCTGTCTGTTCCCCTTGGCTGGATTCATGTCCCGTGTTTTCGTTAGGAATTTCCCAGGTGTTGCACTGGGTCCTTCCCATTGCATCATATCGGGAGACATGGTGTCAATTTGTTCCAGCAATGGTGATGTTAACCCTAGCTCCCCCGTCTGTCAGCTTGGGGAAGCTAAGCTCCCAGGGCCAGAGAGGAGCTGAGACTGGCCTACAGTCACAGGAAAGTCAGGATCCTCAGCTCAGGGTCTTCACGAATGCTTAGGATAAATGCAGCCAGGCAAGAAATTGATCACCGGCACCTAGGCCTCCTCCAGATCCTAACTCCATAGGAGCTTAAGGGCTGGGTAAAGCAGTGTTGGCCTTCATCGCATCGTCATGTAAGTCTAGCTGCTTGGAGTCCCCCTTTCTGCTTTGTCCATTTCTATTTTTCATTAAGACTTTTTCATTCCACAAATGATATGCAAATGCATTATCCTTGTCTTATATATATTTCAGCCAAGGCTGAAGTCTCCTTTGAAAGTTCCCCTTCTCAGTCTTTCCTCCCCTAGTATCAGTTTGATATGAGACGTCTATCTACAACCCCAGGAAAAATACAAACTGTAGTGTTCTCTTTCCATGATGGTCACATTGTATAAGTCTGTCATAGAAATTTCCCTGGCAGGGCTTGGAGACTGAGCTCATTACTTTCAACTGAATCATCATTACAGTGAATGGATACACTGGAGGTTACCTAGCTGAGACCCTGTGGATGGACATCTAGGTTGTTCCCAGCGTTTTCCTATTGTGAAACACACTGCCCTACACGCATGATCCAGGCTTCTCCAAGGTAACTCCCCACCTCTAGAAGCCCAAACCACTCCTGGGGCACCAGATTTACTGGGTGGACATCCCCGTGGGGGGTGAGGAGGGGCTGATGGGCTGCTACTCATTCAGCCTATTAGAACTGCAGGACTTTTAGGACCTCTGGAAGCAACTGGGCTGGGTTTTCACAATGTGTTTTGAGAAATCTTAGGGTTCCAAGATAGCCTGAGAGACAGGGAGGAGGTGAGCTGGGAAGAGTCCAGAGCTTCACTCCCACTCCAACCACAGAGCACCCCCACCTTTACCTGGTTTTCAATTAAGTGATTCTTTCAAAACAGAATCTCAGCTGTATGTAAATTCAAAAATCCCTGTTGCAGGCTGACCCCTCAGTTGGCACAGTCACCTTTCTGCACCATGCCTCTGGATCTGCTCTTGTCCATGCAGCCTCCAGCTGTGTTCTTGCTGGTGAGGGCCACCTGACCCAAACCAAGCTCCCAGCTGACGAACTGCAAAGAGGGCTCTGCAGGTGCTGCCCTTGTGCCATCAGAGGTGGCACTGTGGTATTTCACTTTGAACATACTGGGTCCTGGGAAGCAGGACTGCCCAGCTGTGTCCCCAGCATGCCCCTCCTCTGTCCCTCAGAAGCTGTGCACATTTCTGGGTACCGTCTCTGACAAACATGGTGGCCTGATTCAGTGTTCCCAAACTTCCCTGAACACCAAGGAGTCTGTTAAAGTACACAGTGCTGGGTCCCACCCCAGAGGTTCTGAGTGAGCAGATTTTGGGGGAGCCCAGGAATGTATATTGTTTAAAGCTTCCCAAGGGGATTCTGAAGGAGCATGTCTGATCACCTGCATTGCAGACACTGGCCTGGGCCCCTACCTGTGAACTCTCCTTCTCCAGGCAAATCTCGAGTCTGGCCCTCAATTAGGCTGTGAGGGCTTCAGTCATTTGTTTTACCCTAAGTTTTCCTGGACAGTGGGGCTCTCCGTATTAATTAGAACCCATAGGAACCATGGATCTGAGTCAGAGTTTCCCACTCTGAGCCAGAGTTACACTGGGCTGCCTCAGTGTACTGGAGGGCTCCTTATAAATTCCTCAGTGTACTGGAGGGCTCCTTAAAGATGTTGGGCCCCACCCCACATCTGCTGGAGCTGAATCTCTGGAAGTAGACCTGGGAATCTGCATGTTTTAGGCAAGTTCTTCAAGTGAGGCCATGGAGTCCAACTCCCTCCATGCGTCTAAAAGGTGAGGGAAATGGGATAAAACAGTAAAAGTGGCTTGCCCCCAGCTACAATATACATTAGTAGCAGAAATTGTTCCAGCCCCCAAGTCTCCTCTCGGTCCAGTGCCCGACACCCAGGGCTTCTGAGCAATCCAGCTTGTCTGAGGGCTTCTATCACCTGAGATGCCCCCTGTGGCTGCCCTAGGATAGGCCTCTGCTGTATCTGGGAAATCTTCCATTTATAACCCAGTGAAAATGATCTGCGTTGACCAAGTCACCATGTGTATAGGTGTGTGCATACATGTGGGCACGTGTGCATGCCTGAGGTGGCAGGGACAAGCGGGCTTTGGCCGTGCATGCAAACACCCCTACTCCACCCTTCCCTGCGGGCCTTGCAAAAAGGTCAGACAGGACCAAGGTGTACAAACAGAACCCCACTTTATTAGCAGTTAGTTCGAGATTGTACATTAATGGAGGAAGGTCTCACCTTTAACACAACCCAAAACGGCTGGTTCGAGAGCCCTCATCAGGCGAACTGGATAGCACCCCCTCTCCCCACTCTCCCCACCCCCCTACAAGGGAAGGAAACCTCTGCCTGCTTCCCCAGTGTGCCCCCCACCCTCTCCAGTCGGCCCTCTCCTCTCCCAGGAAATGACATGAATTTCATGCACAAATTACAAAAGGAGCCCTCTTGCTAATAATAAAAGCTAACACAGTCATAGAAAACCCTCTCCTCCCTCATTCTCCTCCAGGGCCGGAAACAGTAAGAGCAGGAGGGATGAACTTCTTAGGATAAAACGCATCCAGTTTCCCCCAGGTTCCTGGCATTGACCCCACAAAACCCTATGCCAGTCCCTTAGGGAAGCTGAAAACTCGCCAGCCGTCTGAGCTGGCAAGGGCAGCCAGCCCACAGCTGTCAAGCCAGGAACCCAGTGTTGCCTCAACGGCCTGGGCAGCAGGGGGTCTAGGCCGCCCCCTCATCCTCACATCAACTAGAGCAGAGGCTGCCTCCTTTGATGTGTGAAAATCCCTGCTGTGGCCCCTATCTGCTCATTCTACAGATGAAGAAACTGAGGGCCTGGGAGGAAGATGGTCAGGCAGCTACTAAATGCACCCGGCTGGGATGAAACTTCACAGCTCCTGCTGCCAGCCAGGGCTCTTCTCACACCACAGCTTGCGGGAGGCAGTTCCCCATGTAGGCTTTTCCCTGCTGCAACTGAGAGCCTGGCTCTGCTCCAGTGCACACAGACCACGGGTCTCCAGGAAATGAAAACCCTGGGACCCCAAAATAGAAAGAGAGAGACATATGATGTGTTTGGTGCCCTGTGGCCCATCCCCAGGGTCGAAGGCCCAGCCTTCAGGCATGCAGCCTCCTCCTTCCAGAGCCCTGTGTCCTTCCTTCCAAGGCCCAGATATTACGGCCTTCTCCAGGGAGACTTTCCGGCCCCCCCAGAGCTCTTGCTCTAACTGGCCCCTCTGCTGTTTTGGCACTTGGTACAGGTGACAGTGGAGGCGCATCTTAGGCAGAAGTGAAGCTGTCAAGTCAGCACAAAAGGCAAAATCTCATGTAGCCTAAATTATCCTTGAAAGTACAGGGGATAGAAGAAGTGGTTATGCGACACCATGAGCAAACAATCTGACAAATTCAGAATGTGGGGCTTCAAAAAGACAGCAGGCCTAGGGCCTCAAAAACAATGTCATTTAAAAACTCAAAGTGAGCTGAGGGAAGACCTTTCAGCATTCAAAGAGGTTTTAAAAACATAGTTAGAAAATGCAATGTGTGCACCGTGACTGGATGCTGATTCCAAAACCAGACACATAAGTTACCTGGGAGACAATTGGGGGGATTTGAATACAGATTAGATAGCAGACATCGCTGGGAAATGACTTCTCGTCTTGGCTGTGATACTGGGCCAATGTGTAGGACAATGCCCTAACTCTTAGGAGATGCAGGCTGAAGCTTTCAGGGATCAAGTTTCATGATGTTTGCAATGTACTTTTAAATTAGGACAGAGAAAACATATACATACACAGAGAGAGAAAAAGAATGTGGCAAAATGTTAATAATTTTAGATCTAGATGCTGGGGAGTGGGCATTCATAATTAAATGTTTGGTAAAACATTGTTGTATTTGCTTTTCCCACTAACAAGCCCATGGGCACAGCTCTGTGCTGGGACCACCAACCTCTGCAGGTCAGCGCAGCAGCTCTCCTCTGCTGGGAACAGATGGCTTCCTTAGCTGGGCCCAGAAGCACTGACTGCTCATCAGGGGGGCTCAGAAAAGGCCCATTTTTAAACTTCAGACTCATCCTCCAAGCAGCAGGATGCTCCACCACAGAAGGCTCTGGAACTCTGAATGACTGAGGCAGCTGCAGGTGACACTCGCACCTGCACCCACCCTGGGGCAAAGGCTCATGGAGGGGACCACAGAATAGACGATGGAGCCACCTGAACAATTTCAGTTATTTCTCTCTCCTTTTTTTGGCCAAATGCTTAGAGTGAATTAGTGGACATTGAAGACTGGCCTCGCTGGCCCACTCATCTGTGGCTTCTCTTCTCGGGAGGGGGTGTCCTTGTACCCATTAGCTAACAGCCCCCCAGGCAGCTTATCTGCCTCTCCTTCTACCCCCCATACCTGCAAGTCCCGGCAGTGTCTGGACCTAGTGGGTCTTCAAGAAAGGTCTGTTAGTGGGAGGAGAAGTGGCAGCAGTGACCTAGGCAGACAGACTTGGAACATGTGGCAGGTCCAGTCTCCAGGCTTGCAGAAGGGTCCAGGCAAAAATCCAGAAGATCTCTGCTGTCACAGGATTTCCAACCGCCTGCTCCTTCCCATAGCCAGAGGCAGAGAGAAGTGGAGCTCCTGCCCTAGGCCAGCCCACCTCTCCTGCCTTCCATGCTCTGCGAGAGAGGCCTCCAGGCCTAGAGGGTAGATTTCCGAACCTGGGAGCTGTAAGATCCTCACCCATCCCGCAGCCCAGTCCCCTCACTGACGGATGGGACTCTGGAAGTCACTGCCCCTCTCTATAAGCCCCTGGCTCCATGGCGTGGGCATGTCTTCATGAGCACACAAGCAGACATGCCACCCTGTCCTCAGACCCTTTGCTGCTCATCCTGCTGGCCCAACGATGCCCAAGTTCCCAGGCTTGCAGGCCCCATTGAGAGGCATGATGGGGACACTGCTGTGTACACAGTGAAACCACCTGCAGCTGGTCCCACTGAGTGTCCAACTTTCTTCATCCCAGCAGAGAACTGGAGAAAAGGGAATCAGCTCAGAACAGACCCAGGCCCCCACAGGCTGGGGAAGGACCCCTCGAGGGAGAACACGACAGGGATGCAAACGCAGACCTCGGAATGAGAAGGCTCAAAGGCACCCTGGCTGGGAAGGAGTGGTTTGTCCCCATATCCTGGAATGACCATGCTGTGACGGAGGAAGGGACAGGAACCTGGCACAGAGTAGGGTCCCAAGGATGGGCTCAGAGGCAGTGTGGCATTGGAAGAGGAGCACGATGGGACTTGGAACCGGGAGCCTCGGGTTCAACGCTCAGCCCTGCTCCCAGCTGGCTCCATGACGTCGGCCAAGCAGGCCACCTCCCCTTTCTGGACCTGTTTCATACCCGTCAAAGGACCTTCCAGCCCCAAGATGCTAGAGTCTTCTGAACAAGACAAGCCTCTCCAGAAAGTATTTCCTGGGGTTCAGAGGGAAGCAGAATTTGGCAGTTGGAGGGGGCCAGGGAGAGGCACCCCAGCCTCAGTCACTTCACATTGTTAAATGGGGTGGGGTAGGAGCAGACCCCAACCAGAAATCAGCCCAGAGATCCCACTGTCTACAAGGGCCTGGAGACAGTTCTGTGGGCCTTGGTGGGCATCCCAGCTCTCAGGGCAGCTCCCAGCCTAGCACCATGTGAGGGAGAGTGGGTGGGGCAGCTTTTGACCCCAGCTCTCCTAGCCCAGCCCTGGCTGTTTCCTTTGGCCAAAATCCCCTCAGGGTCACTGGACTTCACGCAGCCCGATGTCCTGGAGAGAGCTGGTCTTCCCTGCGCATCTCACCACCTCTGTTCACCTGGGGTAGCCCCAGAGCAGCCACGGCACTGGGGAGGGCCCCTTCCTAAGGTCTGCTCAGCCCCAGGCCACTGAGGACACAGCCTCCCTCCCTGCCACCTCATCTCTAGCTCTAAGACAGGGTGACCCCTGAGACTGGGGCTTACCACCATTTTGTAGGACTGAATTAAAAACGAACCCAACCAAAAAAAATAGAATATATATATATACACATTATATATATATATATATATATATAACACAGTGCGACCCCAGCACCCAGGGTATAAACTCTGGCACCAAGAAAAAAAAAAACAAAATATTAAAATATTTTAGCTTCTTAGTATTTGGGAGGTTAAGGGGGTCTCTGAGAGCCCTCGGCCACAGGTGGCTAAGCAAAGCCGTGGCTGGCAGTCTCACCAGCTCGCCCATGTCTGCCTGGGCCTGAGGCTGGGAGGGTGTGGGGACCGTGTCTGTACATGGGAACATGTTACTGGCAGACCCCTGGCCTGCCTCAGTCTTTTACCACAGGAAACACCACACATCATATCCCAGGGGGAAGAAAGGGGTGCAGGTGGGGCCCGGAGAACTGGGCCCGATGGCAAGGCAGTGCCCCAAGGCCCTGCGGGAAGCCTTGAGGATGGAGTGGATACTGTAGGAACCAGAAATTCTTCCCCAGAACGGGAGGGTGAGATGTGAAGGTAGGAACCAGATGTGGAGGCTGGGAGTCCTCTTGAGGGGGCCACCCTCCCATCCAGCCTAGGACTGACTCCGGGGACCCAGCTGGCCCCTTGGAAGAGCCTGGCTCGAAACAGGGAAATGTCCAGTCTGTCTCCCCCGGCCAGGCTCTCCTCCCCTACAGCCTGGAGGACAGGGACATATGGCAGCGAATACTGAGGGGCGCCCTGCGGAAGCAGGGAGTGATGGGTGACGAGAGGGGACAGTCGGCGGAACACAGTGAGGGACAGAAAAGAGTCTCGTGGACTCCCTCCTACCAGGAAGCGGCCTCCCCAGGAGCAGCTGGGAACGGAATGGACCTCTGCTGGCGAGGGAGGTCCCTTAGGCCGCAGACCCAGCGGTGGGTGCTCCGAGGTGCTTGCAGATCCGCCTGGGTGCTCCCCCAGCCCCACCAGACCTCCACAGAGTATTGCTCATAAGTGCGCAGCTGCCCTGGTCCAGCTTCCCACTCTGCAGGTCTGGCTCAGCGTGTGGTGGGATGTCCCAGCTTTCACAAACGTTCAGTCTGGCTGTGGTGGCCACGGCTACCTGGTGTTCTGGAGGTCCTCTCGTAGCCAAGTGGGAAGTGTCTGGCCCATCTTATACAGCAGCTTGGAGAGCTCGATGTTGTGGTCCCGGTAATAGTCCTTCAGGAAGGCTCGGGACTGTAACGGGAAGGAAAGCTCAGACCTTGTGTACTGACTTAAGAGTGACCTCCTCTAAAAATCGCCATGCTCGGCCGGGCACGGTGGCTCATGCCTGTAATCCCAGCACTTTGGGAGGCCGAGGCATGTGGATCACCTGAGGTCAGGAGTTCAAGACCAGCCTGGCCAACATGGGAAAACCCTACTAAAAATACAAAAATTAGCGGGGTGAGGTGGTGGGCGCCAGTAATCCCAGCTACTCGGGAGTCTGAGGCAAGAGAATCTTTTGAACCCGGAAAGCGGAGGTTGCAGTGAGCCAAGATCACGCGATTGCACTCCAGCCTGGGTGACAAAAGCGAAACTCCGTCTCAAAAGAAAACAAAAAAACAAAAAACCCACCATGCTGCTGGCACCACCCCCCATACACCTCTTATTTATCCACAATCTCCTTCTAAATGGTAGCCTCCAATAGTGAACTCCCAGTTGGCAGGAGCATCAAAATATAGCTCACTAAGTCAAAATTCTTCTGATAGGGAGAGGAGAGAGAATTAATAATCAAAACCCAAGGCGGGCAGGGCCAGGGCCAGGCACGGTGGTTCACACCTATAATACCAGCACTATGGCAGGCTGAGGCGGGAAGATCGATTGAGCCCAGGGGGTCGAGGCTACTGTGAGCCATGATCATGCCACTGCACTCCAGCCTAGGCAACAGAACGAGACCCTGTCTCAAAAACAAAACAAAACAAAACAAAACAAAAACAGAAGCAAGTAGGAAAAGGAGGAAGTAACAAGACCCCCAGTCTGTGACCCTTTTTCTATATATTTTTAAAATTTCTTTTTTCCCCCTATGGTTTTACACATGCTGTTCTTACCTACCCTCCCATTCCATATGTCCAAATCCTACAAAATGGATCTCATCCTTCTAGGCGCAACTCCAGAGACCCCCATCCCTCCTTTAAGGAGCCTTTTTTACCCCTCTCAGGTTCAAGTGACATCCCCTTGTTCTGAATTCCCATAGCACTTGTGTGCCCTCTCTGACTGCGCGCAGCACTCTCTGCCTGTATTCTACTTAGTGGTGTTGGGACTCATACCCCTCCAAGACCAGGAGTTCCTTGAAGGCAGAGAACATGTCTGGCTCATCCTCAAAACCCCACAGCACTCAGCCCTTAGTAGAAGGTAACCAACACTTGTTTGACGAAATCAGGTCTGACCCACCATGTCCCAGCCCCCATTTTCCTCCTCTTACAAATACTGTCCAAGAAATGCTAAGGCCATGAACATGCTGAGTGCATGGTAAAGGAAAGAGAATCCCCCTCAACTCCATACAGGGACCCCTTACCCTTATGCAGGTGCTACAGGTAGTGTGTCCACCACTTACATCCAAGTCCATCTCGGGATATTTCCGGCCCTTGCTTTTGCCCAGACACTTGGTTTTTCCTCCTTCAAGCAGTTGGCACCAAAATCCTTTCTTTGGATCAAACCTGTGGAGGTGGGAAAGTCTTTGGATGGGAGCTGGCTCAGCCACCCACTTCCGACCTTAAAGCCATGTTCATGGACCCCAGGAATGGCAGAGACCAGGGAATCTACTGCTCTTGAACCCACATGGACTGTCAGAAGCTATGTGCCATCTGTGGGATCAAATGTGTCCTAGGCTGCACTAAACGTGCCTGTCCTACTTCCGGCAAAGGGCAGCTCGCACATTCTGAGTCTTCTCTCCTCCAGCCCGACCAGCCACAGCCGCTTCAGCAATCTACAACATGAACAGTTTCCCATCCTTCAGTGTTCTGGGAAATCTTTTCTGAGCATTCTCAATGCTGAGTAACTCTTTTTTTTTTTTAAACCCAAGAAGCCTTCTTTACCCCTCCCAGCGTCAATGGGAAGAGGGGTGTTTAGTGGAGGTTCTTTTGCTTTTTAATAAATTTCATCTTTATCAAAACATGCAGTATCCACAGCTGCACTTAAGCATGCCTGTCACTGGAGAATTTCATTTTTTGGAGTAAACTTCAGAAATGACACAGCAAGACTGCCAACATCATCCTGTCTTCAAAGGCATTTTTGGGATATGAGATCCGAAGCTGTTATGGGAAGGGAGGAATACTGACATCAGAATTTAGCCCTGGATGAGGAACTATGAGGAGATTCTTGAGCATGAGGGCATCAAGAAAACAGAATTCCCATGAATAGCGAAGGAGAACAGAGATTTCTGAAAGGGTCATAGGATAGGTATAGACGATGACGATGATGATGGTGATGATGATGATGACAAGGACAATAGCAGCTACCGTTTATTTAGCACTTAGTGCATGCCAAGCTCTCAGCTAAGAGCCCCACATGAAGCTTTCATTCAATTCAGTGGCCTTCAGGACGCAGGGATTATTATCTTTATCCCCAACTTACAGATGAGGAAAGCGAGGCTTGAAAGGCTGAAGAGATGGATGTGGGGCCCTAACCCAGGCATCTCTGACACCATGGCCCACAGCCTCAGCAGGTGGCCCCTTCTCCCTCAAGGTGAAGGACTGACTTCCCTTCTCCACCTTCAACTCCCACGACAGTGAAGACGGAATATTCTTGTTGCAAAACTTTCCCAAGAATGGAGCCAAGGAGGGTGACTTGATTCCTCCTTCTCTTGGGGTCCCCTCATCCAGCTGAGTGTGTCACTTATCTGTGACATAGCACAGGAAAGCAGCCTTTCCTAGCCCTGAGCCCATGCAATGCGGGCAGGCCTTTACTCATAGTGGGAGGGCATTCTCAACGCACTTGCACCAGGTTCTGAGTGAGTACGGTTATTAACTGTCAACAACATTTGTGTTTCCTTTTCCTGAAATCGTAAGTCAAAATCTAATGCTGGCTGGGGGCGGTGCCTCATGCCTGTAATCCCAGAACTTTGGGACGCTGAAGCAGGCAGATCATTCGAGACCAGGCTGAGCAACATGGTGAAACCCCTTCTCTACAAAACATACAAAAATTAGCCAGGCATGGTGGCACATGTCTGCGGTCCCAAGCTACTCGGGAAGCTGAGGTGGGAGGATCACTTGAGCCTGGGAGGTTGAGGTTGCAGTGAGCCAAAATCACACCACTGCACTCCAGCCTGGGCAACAGAGTGACCCTGTCTAAAAAAAAAAAAAAAAGCTAATGCTAAGAAAATCTTGTGGGAATTAGGGCTGCTCATTACTGATCTAATTTACTTACATAAAACACTCTGAAAATGTTCAGCCCAGACCAAAGAGAAGACCCCAGGATGGTCTGACCAGAGTAGAACAGATTCATCATCTCCCTTTTTTTTAAGGTGATACCTTTATTAATATGACTTAAGTCATATTAATAACTTTCCATACTTTCTGACTCTAACTAACTTCTCTCTCTCATAATTATTCAAGACTTTGGCTTTGTTGGCCCAGGTGCCTTATCAGGGAAATAACCTGCAGAAAGGAAAAGGCAACACTCACGCCAAGGTTTTGTGGTAGTCAATGGTGTTGGTCACCCCAAGGAACTTCTGCACCATGTCCATCACTTTGGCAGGTTCTGTGCGAAGCAGTTTGCCATCCAAGACCAGAATCTGGAAAGGGAGAAAGGGGATCGGGACCTGCTTTGACTTCGGTGGCAAACAAGGGCAACAGCCACGGCAGCAGGAATGGGCCTGCTTATAAATATGGGACCCTGCACCCTCTAGAACTGGCTCCTCCTCCCCTGTTGAAGGGCAGGTATCCCCAAGCTCAGGCCTCTGTGGTCTCACGCCTGCTTTCCACCAGCTTCTGCTGCCCAATGCCATTTCTCCTAGAATTTAAGCTCTCACCAAACCCTGCCTGCCCCTCAGGTCCCTACAAACATCCCTCTCTGGCCTCTCTCTGAGCTTCCAGTCCATGTCACTCTCCTGCTCAAACACTCCGCAAGTTTGCCTAAAAGGCCTGGTATGGCTGGGCATGGCCGGGCACGGTGGCTCACACCTGTAATCTCAGCACTTTGGGATGCTGGGGTGGGCAGAGGACTTGAGGTCAGGAGTTCAAGACCAGCCTGGCCAACATGGTGAAATCCCGTCTCTACTAAAAATACAAAAATTATCTGGGCGTGGTGGTGCATGCCTGTAATTCCAGCTACTTGGGAGGCTGAGGTGGAAGAAACGCTTGAACCCGGGAGGCAGAGGTTGCAGTGAGCCAAGATCGTGCCACTGCACTCCAGCCTGGGAGACAGAGCGAGACTCCGTCTCTAAATAAATAAATAAATACATAAACAGCCTGGTATGATCAGGCTCTCCCTCCATCACCACGCCCAGTCTCCTTGCTCCCACCTGCCTGCCTCAGGGCTTTCTGGGTCCCTTTAGGGCTACAGGGCCTGTGGTGATGGGACACAGGCTTGGGGAGTTCTCATGTATCAACCTTGGGATAAACAGGTCTACAGTCTTTTTAGGCCAGGTGCAGTGGCTCATGCCTGTAATCCCAGCACTTTGGAAGACCAAGGGAGGACTGCTTGAGCCCAGGAGTTTGAGACCAGCCTGGGCAACATAGTAAGACCTTATTTCTTAAAAAAATAAAATTAGCTGGGTACAGTGGCTCACACCTGTAGTCCCAGCTACTCAGGAGGCAGAGGTGGAAGGATTGCGTGAGCTCGGGACATCGAGGCTATAGTGAGCTGAGATCACACCACTGCACTCCAGCCTGGGCAACAGAGTGAGACCCTGTCTCAAAATAATAATAATAATAATAAAATCTTTTTATAGACCCAAGGGTCTAGCTCTCCAAGGAGGGCATATCTGTCCCCACGGCTGGTGAGAAAGAGTTGGAGGCTCTCCGCTAACCACAGCAAGCCAGTACTGTGACTGCCCTCACAAGGGTCAGGGACAGCAGCTACCTGGTTGGCGTGATAGGCACTGAGCCAGCGCTCGATGTGGGTGGCGTACCAGCCAGGGACCAGGCAGCGGTTCTGGAGGGCACGCAGCTTCGAGGATGCGTCAGAGCCGGCGGTAATCACCTCATGGAAGGTGTACTTTAGGGCCACTGGGTCGTCATGGGCTCGCTGGTGCTGCAGGCAAGGAAAGAGGGTCAGCATGCCACTTGGAGGACACAAAGGAAGTGGCCTGAGAGGGACAGCAGCCCGCAAGGTGGCCAGAAGATCCTCAGCTGGACCCAGGAGCTCTGGGTCTGAGTCCTGGCTCTGCCTCTCACTGTGTCCAGTGTCAAGGGAAGCCACTGGTCCCAGAGCCCCAACTTCTCCATCTTTGAAATACGGGAACTGGACGAAATCAGGGTTTCCTGATGCCAGGCATGGTGGCTCATGCCTGTAATCCCAGAATTTTGGGAGGCTGGGGTGGGTGGATCACTTGAGGTCAGGAGTTCGAGACCAGCTGGCCAATGTGGCGAAACCCCGTCTCTACTAAAAATACAAAAATTAGCTGGCATGGTGGTGCACACCTGTGGTCCCAGCTACTCGGAAGGCTGAGGCACGAGAATCGCTTAAACTCGGGGGGTGGAGGTTGCAGTGAGCCAAGATCACGCTGCTGCACTGTTGTCATATATAGAAGGCAACCACTCACAAATGGCAATAAAAACAATGTTCTCAAACTCCAGCCAGACACAAATGTGTGCAACAGGCCCTGAACATGCTCTCTTTGTTGAAAGCAGAGGTTGACAGTGTTAGAAAGGACGTAAGACCACTTGCACTAAAGTGAGCATTTCTCCTTTATGGAAATCAGAAGGACTGGGAAAGAACTATAAAAGGGAGACTGGCTGGTCTGAATCACTTAAAATAATGCCATGGGAGGTCCGAATCTGCAGAATTCACTAAGTCCAGAAAGCCAGAGCTCAGGCACCTGTGCGACAGGCACTATCCCCCAGCCGCCAACCCCCTCCCCTGAGGATCACACACAGCCCAGGGCTGGGGCAATATGGTGCACAGCAGCGTCCTCCTCGTCCCGACCTCCTTCTGAGACAGGCCCCCACCCTTCCTCTCCTCCAACATCTTCCCAGGTCCTCCTGGGGAGAATGAGTCTCCCTTCTCCTTCTATCCCTTACCCCTCTTGATCATGGACAGAAAAAGGAATAGGGTCTTAGATTTAGAAGACTTGGATTCAAATGCCACCACATGAAACTTGCTGAAACTTGGTTTTCTAATCTTTGAGAAGGGGACACAAACGTGAAACCCCTCCTCTGCCTTCTAGAAACCAGCTGTGACTCTCCAGTAAGGTGCAGATGTACAGCAGTGTCAGTGCAGAACAGGGACTGACCCAACCTGTGGCGGCTCTCTCTCTACCCTACGTTCCCCCATGAAAGCAGACTGCCCATTCCCTGCACAGCGCCAGGAGGCGGGGGCACACAGCACGGCAGAAAACAGAAACACTTGACAAGTGTTTCTCGGTTTTCTTCTCCTAAAGAAAAAGCCACAGGAAAGCAGACATCAGGGCATAAACAGAAGCCCTAGAGAACAAGAGTAAGAAGGGGCTTCCTCACCAGCCTCAGAGAGTGGCAGGAGGAGAGACTTCCATGGGAGCAAAGAGGAGGCAGGTGCCAGCCCTGCGGGAGACCGCAAGGTCCCAGGCGGGAGACAGCCACTGTCACATCTGAGAAAAGAGCCTCAAAGCAGGGTGGGAACTATGACAGTGGCCAGGCCTGAAGAGGCTGTCCCAGCCAGGACAGGGGACACTTCTCTGGCAACCATGGGCTAAGACCCAGGGCCCCACCCCCTCCCCAACACCAAGCACAGGCCTGGTCTGCTGGGTTAACGAGGATGCTCAGGACCTCGGCCTGGACAACAGGGTGGCTTTCTGCTGGGGCGCCACTTCTGAATCACAGTGCTTGGCTGTGTGGCATAATCACAGGAATGCTGGCAGCCAGGGGAGGGACTCCGCCTACCCCACCAGGGAAGGCCTAAAAGCATTCCTGCAGGCTCAGTGGGCTGGCAGGCAGGAAATTAAGTCAGGCCATAGGCATTAAAGAGAGCTCTGGTTCAGCTGGGCGCAGTGGCTCATGCCTGTAATGCCAGCACTTTGAGAGGCCGAGGCGGGAAGATCACGAGGTCAGGAGTTTGAGACCAGCCTGGCCAACATGGTGAAACCCTGTCTCTACTAAAAATACAAAAATTAGCCTGGCGTGGTGGTGCACACCTGTAATACCAGCTACTTGGGAGGCTGAGGCAGGAGAATCACTTCAAACTGGAAGGCGGATGTTGCAGTGAGTTGAGATCAGGCCACTGCACTCCAGCCTGGGCTACAGAGCAAGACTCTGTCTCAAAAAAAAAAAAAAAAAAAAAAAAGACAGCTCTGGTTCATACATGCCCCAGATAGGGGCTTGGATCCACACCCTCTCCATGTATCACAGCCCAGGTAACTGCCTCACTTGGTCAGGTGCCTGCCTTCTCCACTGTGAATGGCAGTCTTGTGTCTTGTCCTTCCATGAGCTCCCACTCCCACCCGTGTCCAGCGAGGAAGCTATAGTCAGTATGATCCTGCATTGCTGTTCACCAAATCTAAGCTTCCTCTAGGCGTAACCAGCCTCCACCTCTTGTCAGTGTCAGAAGTAGAGGCAGGACCCCGCATGACACTAGGCAGGTGGACAGTCAACTGGTGGCTGGCTTTCCATTTCCGCCTGTCTCCTCCACCAAGGACTCTATTCTCAGCCATCACCACGCTCCAGGCGCCTGGCTCAGGGCTGGCACACAGTAGGTGCTTACTAATAATATCTGTTGAGTGAGTGAGTAACTGAGTGTCAGACGGAGCCCTGTGTTCCCGACACAGGGACTCCACCCCAGCCCCACTCACCTGGTACCAGGAATAGGCCCGGTCCGCGGGGTTGATGAGGATGGTCAGGACCTTGGCTTTGGGCAAGAGGGCTGCTGCCCGCCGGGGCGCCACTTCTGAATCAAAGTAGTTGGCGCTTTTCTCAAAGTAGAAGTCGGAGGTGGTGTTGGAAGGGATGGGGAAGAACTCCATGTACCTGCAGGAAGCCCAGAGAGGCGGCTCACAGACAAAACTCATGAGGAGGGGGCTAAGGGAATGCAGCACAAGGGCGAGGCACTGGGGTAGAATGTCCTCAGAGAGCAAGTGGGAAGCTTTGCTCCCAACCAAACAAGGACTTGCCTCCAGTGGGGATTCTGGAGGGGAATGGCCTCTTGGCAGCCTCCCTGTTTCAAATTCGTTCCTTTTCCAGAAGACTCTGGAGTTGGGAGGATCTGAAGACTTGTGGGTGCGCCGGCAGTTGCAGGTCATGGGGAGGGGGTAATGCCCCTCAATCCTAAACTCTAGGATCCCGCCCCCTCAGCTGCTCCAGGCTTAACTGCCAGGGCTGTCACTCTCTCTGCCTCTAGGGGGCGAGCTGGGGCTCAGAGTGGCTCCAGGACTGCCCCAGGGAGGCTGGCACAGAGCAGAGGGGGCCTCCAGAGGGCGGACTTTCTTTCCTGACCTGGGGGAACACCTTCTAGGCCGTCACTGTGGACCAGGACCTCCTGCTACCCACAACCCCTCCCCAGCCTGCTGTGGGTGAGCACGGCTTTCCAGACTAATGCCCATATCCCACCAGAGCAATGGCCACCTCTGGATGAAGGAACCTCTGGAAACCAAAGGAACACTCCAGACCCTCCCAGGGGAATCTACCTATGCAAACTCAGGGTCCAACTTCTGGGGCTTGTGGGAAGCAAAGTCCACTCTCATGAAGGGTACAGGGTCCCTATCCTATCCTGTGAGGTGGGGCTGATCCAGGCTGGTCCCAAGGATGTGCTTCATCAGAGCGTTCTGGGGGCCTGCTGGATTCCTGCACCCCACTTTAGACCTACCTACAAAATCAAGCTCTTGGGAATTGGGCCAAGGAATTACGTCTTCTCTCATCTTTCTGAATTTTCTTTGCATGTCCACAATCCTTTGTTTACAATATCTCAATTGAGAAAGCTTTGAAAACACAGGCTTTGTTTCCTAGGTTTGTAGCAAAGCCATTTGGCAACAAAACCTGACTTATTCCTCTTACTTAGTGTAAATATTCACATACTTTGCTACAGACATATTAATGAATTTGCTAACAGGGTGCTGCCCCAGGTGTCGCTGAAGATGTTACTAAATATATGGTTTCGCACCACATTACCTTTCTAAAACCTGAAAAATGTTGACTTCCAATAATTCATCTGACCACACTAGATTTTAGACAAGAGACTGTGGAGATGTTAGAAATGTAGGTAGATGGGCCGGGCGCAGTGGCGCACGCCGTAATCCCAGCACTTTGGGAGGCCGAGGCGGGCAGATCACGAGGTCAGGAGTTCAAGACCAGCCTGACCAACATGGCAAAACCTCGTCTCTACTAAAAATACAAAAATTAGCCAGGCATGGTGGCGGGCACCTGTAGTCCCAGCTACTTGGGAGGCTGAAGCAGGAGAATCACTTGAACCCGGGAAGCAGAGGTTGCAGTAAGCCGAGATCGCGCCACTGCACTGCAGCCTGGGTGACAGAGCGAGATTCCATCTCAAAAAAAAAAAAAAGAAAGACAGAAGGCCCATAACCTCTCCACCCAGGGAACCCACTGACATAAAAATAATAAATAATGGTAATACATGGACAAGGTTTAAAAAGGCAAACTTTGCAGTCCATGCACGTGATGATTGGGTGTTCACACACGTGTGAGGTGTACCCACCTCGAACCTTGTTATGATCTCAGCACATTACCTACCTGACATGAAACATTTTTTAAAAAGAAAGAAAAAAGGCAAATAGAGAAAGATGCCAACTGAAAAGGTGGAGAGTAAAACCATCTCTGCTCTGGCCCCCACACCCTTAAGGGAACCTCTACTAGGACCCTCTGCTGGGAACCTCTACAAAGGTAACCTCTGCAGGCTCTGGTGGGAAGTGGCAATCTTAATGACTTCCCCAAGTGACGCCCAAAGACCAGCGACCTGTCCCTGAAGGGCCCACAAGAACACCTCTGCTTCACAGTCAGCCACACGCAGTGAGGAGAGCCAGAACATTTGGATTTCCGACCTTGGGACCCTGGGCAAACCCTTCTCCTCCCCAAGACTCAGGATGTTTCTCTGCAAGCAAGGGAGGGGTGGACTTCGACCTCAGCGTCTGACTACAGGCGGTAGAGCAAAGGGGCAAAGGGCCTCCTCATCGAGTGTCCTGTCTATGACAACGCTGTCACACCATGATTCAAGGGTCACTGCACTTTGTCCCTGTTTACAGGAATGACAGCTGTGTGTGAGCAAGCTCCAGCTGCTTCCTGCTGTGGCCACAGCAGACTCCTGGGAGGCCCCAGGATGGCCTTCCCGTCCCGCTGTGGACAGAAAGGCCAACTCACCAGTCGATGCCTTTGTGATAGTTGTGGCCATTAAAAAACTGGATCTCCTCAAAGGTCTCAGAGCTGGGGTAGTTGCTGCTTAGGTCAGGGTGCATGCCCAGGAACAGGTAGAGGGCAGTGGTGCCTGTGGGGAGGGTAGACACCTGAGACCCAGGGCCCAGCCCCCAGCCAAAAGATAGAGTCTGGGTTCTGGGCCTAGCTCCCCACGACCCACTGGGGGCTCCTGGGAAGGTCTCTGCCTTTCTCTGGTCTTAGCTTCTTCATCTGTGCAATGAAGGAATTACTAAATCCAGGGTGGCAAATATATGGCATGCATGTGAACACCGCAACTCCTGTACCTACTACGGACATCGCTAATCTATCACAGCACTCTTCACTAAACGAGGACGTGGCCTCAGAATCTGCCTCACCACTGCACTCTGGTAGCCATGTTTAACTGACTGCTGTCCCCTCAGCATCCCAGAAGAGCTGGTCCTTTCCAGCTCTGGGCCTCTGTCCTCTGGCACTTGGTAGGAGCTCAGGGAAAAGGGAGTTTGTCACCCTGCAGTTCTGTTAATGTGAAATTCTTAAAGAACTAAGAAATCTTGTTCCTATGTCTCTTCTTCCCAATACCCTCTGCTCACTCATGCACCCTGCCCTACCTCCTCCTCAGTGAGTTCATTCACTTTCTGTGGTATAAGTCTATGGTTTACATGCTATAATGAGAGAGCCCAGAAGAGAAGGAGGCTATAGAGTTTGGCAATTAAGAGTATATGTTTCAGGGTCACAGAGATCAGAGTTCAGGCCTGGAATTGCCATTGCCTAACTGAATGTGTTAAGGGAAGTCACTTGACTTCTCTGAACCTTGAGTTTCTGTCTACAAAATGGGAGTGCCCATTTGTGCCTTGCAGGGTTGTATGGATGACAAATGCTTAGCAATCATGTCACTGCTTCTCCCTACTGCACCTCTGGCAGACATAGCTAATTGATCACAGTCCTCTTTGTACCAGTTTTGCTTGGCATTACTCAAACTAGCAGAGCAACTGATCTGGGCTTCTCTGACTGGACTTGGAGACTCCCAGGATAATGCAGGGAGAGCTCCCTGAGGCTATGGTTCAGGATAAATAGGAGAACTCCAGGCCCCTCCTCCACCTCTTTCCCCTCCATACTGACAGGCAATTTGTGTTCACCCCAACTTCATTCCTACTTCCTGGGAAAGAGGGAGCAAATTATCCGGGAGTGGGGCCAGGGCAAGGCAGTCCTCAGAATTCTGTGGCTGAGACAGCAGGCAGTTGGGGAAGCTCGGTCAAGAGCAGAGAGACCTGCCTGTTTTCTGGGGGCCGATGATGAGGAGCTTTGGGAAGCGGTCACACGTCTTCTCCTTGGACCAGATGTCTTTGTGACGTTTGTCCTCGCAGGGGTCCTAAAACAACAGTGGAAGGGATGTGTGGGGCGCCCCAGAACCCAGTCAGTGGACTCCCACTGCACATGGATATGTGGCCCTTACAGCCCAATGGGCATGATACCTACATGCTACATGTGTCCTTGTCACATCCCCACCCCCAGACACTGAGCCACTGACAGGCAGGCTCCACTTCTGGTCAGTTTCATGTCCCCCAAAGAGCTCGCAAAATGCCCCTTAGCACGTAACAGGAACTCATAAGCACTTGTTGAATTTAACTGGACAAGCTGCGTCTGAACCAGGGGGTCAAGAAACGCTTCCTATAAAGTTTAATTAATCTTTTGGTAAGTGTTTAGTAAATATTTTAGGTTTGGGGCATGGAAGTTTCCATTGCAACTACTCGACTCTGCCGTCATAGCATGAAAGCAGCTATAGACAGTAGATACAAGAATGAGCGTGGCTGTCTGCCAATAAAACGTTCTTTACAAAAACAGGTCTCAGGCTGGTTTTGGCCCATGAGTCACGGTTTGTGGACTCCTGGTCTGAACTATGAGACTGTCACCAATTCCAGCTTCTGCTTCCACTTTTTAAAAGCCCGTAGGAGCAGACTTTCCCAAAAACTGGCCCCCAAACCCTCCCATCAATCCCTTTTCCCACTCAGAGCCTGCTGGAGTTAGAAGAGATACAAGAGATTATCTAAGAGCCTGACCAAGACAACGCATTCACTTTCTGTACTTTGTCTGCACTGTGTTCACTTGGAGTTGTTTTTTGTTTTTGAAACAGGGTCTCACTCTGTTGCCCAGGCTGGAGTACAGTGGTGTGATCACAGCTCACTGCAGCCTCAACCTCTAGGCTCAACTGATCCTCCCACCTCTGCCTCACGAGTAGCTGGGACTATAGATGCGCACCATCATGCCCGGCTAATTTTTGTATTTTTTGTAGAGACAGGGTTTCGCCATATTGCCCAGGCTGATCTTGAACTCCTGGGTTCAAGCAATCCAGCCACCTTGGCCTCCTAAAGTATTGGGATTATAGGGGTGAACCACTGCGTCCAGCCCACTCGTTTTTTTAACACTGTTTTTTCCAAGGCTATGTATGACTGCATGCATGTAGGTCTGCGTGGGGAAGTATGTACATGTATGAGCATGCATGTGTGCAAAGGAGTGAACGCACCCATGCTGGTAAGTAGATGGGGACCTGAGTTTACATTCGAGCGAGAGTGTGAAGGCATGATGGCTGAGCCTTGAGTCCATATCTGGAGTGTGTGCCTGTGAGTGGTGGCGTTCCATCCCTGTAGCAACCTGCCCAGGCTGCCCAGCCCCCCACCTGCCAGAGCGGGTCCTTCTCCTCGGAGAAGATCTGGAAGTACTTCTGCGCCAACTGCACAGGGGGCAGTGTCTGCAGCCGGAGGTTCGTCCAGGAGTGCAGGAAGCGCACCAGGTGCTTGAAGGTGTACAGGCCCAGGCGGTCATTCCCATAGTTGGACAGGTGCGTCATGAAGATGCTGATCTGCTCCAGGGGAGGGGAGGAGAGAGGCAGGGCCCATCAGTGTCTGAGCCACCCTCACCGCCAACTCTGACCCTTCTGACCCTGCCTTAGCTTGCAAGGCTCCTGATGACCAGTGGAAGTTACGCTGGCGCTGTCAACAAACTCGCTGCGAGTACTTGGATGAGGTGACAGACGAACCAGGCCTGACTGACCCCAAATATTACAATCCTGAAATGGAAAGCAGACCCAATGTGGGAGCTATTTGGGTTTTATTTTGTAAATGTTAGGGGTGGGGTGCATGGAAGATAAAGAGTACTCAGCCCACAGAGCTGAATAACAACCACCACTTGAAGTTTATTTAATATTATTAAAGCAGAGGTAATTGTTTGCATTTTACAAATAAGGAAAGCGAGACCTAGAAAACTCAAATGTTGTTCATATATGTGTGTGTATCTGTGTATGTGTGTATACACACATGAGCAAAGACTGAAGGGAACATGCATAAAAATGCCAACACTTTTGTATTAAAGTACATGATTAGGAAAGGAAAAAAAAAGCATGCTCGGATTCTTTAGCCAAGGTCACACAGCCGAGGCAGGGCCAGTGCTGGAGAGTGGGTCTCCCAACTGCCAGGCACTCACTCATGCCTCTCCACCCTTTCCTGGCTCCAGGAAGCCTGTGTCAGCTGCAGACAGGCTGTGCAGCAGCCCCTTCTCACCAGCAGCCATGGGCTGTGGAGCACTCACAGGATTGAGGAGCACGGTGAGGAAGAGCTCGCCCCCGTTGATGATCTTGTCCAGCTCACTGGAGCCGCCAGGGTACTCGTTGTAGAAGATGGTGTGTGTGAAGAGGCCGCAGGTCTGCCGTGGGAGAACCTGAGGAGGGGGTGGGGGAGAGGAGCTATGGTGCCTTCTGGCATGAGGGTGGTGGGAGGACTCTTCCTCAGAGGAAGAAGGCCCAGCTGCTCCTCAGAAAGGCAGTCTCCATGTGGTCGCACAGCCCCTACCCTTGGGTGCAGCCTACAGCACAGCGTTCCCCCCAGTGAACTACAGGCCCTTGCCATTTTACAAACTTCACTGCTATTCTCTGCACAAAATGAGCAGGCCTCAAAGTAACAGAGTGGGAATGTTTCTGGAAACTTGGGACTGCTGCAGCCACGGCCCCTGCCTGGCCCTCTCTGAAGCAGCAATCCCAGACATGTTCTGCAAGCCCCCTTGCAACATTAGAACCTCACCTGGTGACACTCGTTGTCACACACTGGCTTAGCCATTTGTCGTCTGTCTCCCCTCATGAAACTGTGAGCTCCAAGGGAGCAGGGAATGGGCCTGCCTTGTCACCACCTCATCCCTGGAGTTCAGGGTTGAGGACCTAAAGGAGTGCCTGGAGTTCAGCACGAGGGCCTGGTGCTGAGGTCAGTGGATGGATGGATGGACTGATGGACAAATGTACAAACCTTGCCTACCCACTGCTGCCCCAGCTCAACTGATGACAACTCATCCTTCCAGCACCTCAGACTAAAAACCCTGCAGTCATCTTGGACTCCTCTCTTCCTCCCACACCCTATATCTAACTCATCTAACCACAGGCCTAACTATTCTAAGCCCAGAGTATGGCCACATCCCAACATTGGGCCCTGGTCCAAGCTGCTGCCACCTCTGGTCTGGAAGACTGCAGTGCCTCCTAACTGGTCTCCCTGCTGCCACTTTTGTCCCCTACAGTCTCTGCTCCACACAACAGCCAGAATGATAGAAATCCCTTTCAAAGATGAGTCAGATCATGCTCCATTCAAAACCTTCCCATCTCAGCCTAAAAGCCCATGGCCATCCAATGGCTGGCCTTACATGGCCCTATCGATCTGGTCCATCACCCACCCCGACCTCATCTACCACCATCCCTCACTCCCCTCCAGCCATCCCGGCCTCCTATTTGGCCTTCAAACACAGCCAGCACAGCCCGCTTCAGGGCCTTTGCACTTGTGTTCTCTGCCTTGAGTGCTCTTCCTCATGTGGCAGCGTGGCTTATTCCAGGAAGGCCCACCTAGCCACCTTATTTAAACCAGCTTCTCTTGCCAGCATTCCTTCCTTCCATTCCCTGCTTAACTTTGTCCGTGGCACTCATCACCATCTGACCACTGTATATTTTACACATGTATTGGGGGAAACCAACCCCCGATATTCAGCATGGGTCCTTTTCTATTTTCCCTAAGTGTCTGTCAGTCTGAGAAATAAAGGGAAAGAGTACAGAAGAGAGAAATTTTAAAGCTGGGTGTCCAGGGGAGATGTCACATGTTGGCAGGTCCTGTGATGACCCCCAAGTCACAAAACCAGCAAGTTTTTATTAGTGATTTTCGAAAGGGGAGGGAGCGTACGAATAGGGTGTGGGTCACAGAGATCACATGCTTCCCAATGTAATAAAATATCACAAAGCAAATGGAGGCAGGGCGAGATCACAGGACGGGGCGAAATTAAAATTGCTAATGAAGTTTCGGGCACACATTGTCATTGATAACATCTTATCAGCAGACAGGGTTTGAGAGCAGACAACCAGTCTGACCAAAATTTGTTAGGTGGGAACTTCCTTGTCCTAATAAGCCTGGGAGCGCTATGGGAGACCGGGGCTTATTTCATCCCTTATCAACAACTGTAAAAGACAAACGTTCCCAAAGCGGCCATTTCAGAGACCTCCTCTTGGGAACGCATTCTCTTCTTAGGGATGTTTCTTGCTGAGAAAAAGAATTCAGCGATATTTCTCCTATTTGCTTTTGAAAGAAGAGAAATATGGCTCTGTTCCACCTGGCCCACAGGCAGCCAGACTTTAAGGTTATCTCCCTTGTTCCCTGAACATCGCTGTTATCCTGTTCTTTTTTCAAGGTTCCCAGATTTCATATTGTTTAAACAATTTGTGCAGTTAACACAATCATCACAGGGTCCTGAGACGACATTCATCCTCAGCTTATGAAGATGACGGGATTAAGAGATTAAAGTAAAGACAGGCATAGGAAATCACAAGAGTATTGATTGGGGAAGCGATAAATGTCCATGAAATCTTCACAATTTATGTTCTTCTGCCATGGCTTCAGCCAGTCCCTCTGTTCGGGGTCCCTGACTTCCCACAACACACATGCATGAGCATATGGTCTGTCTCCTGCCACTAGAATGTCAGGTCTACAAGGGCAGGAACTTTCCTCCGTTCTGTGCATTTCTGTGTCCCCAGTGCCAAGGAAAGGGATAGATGTGAGGCTGGGCACAGTGGCTCACGCCTGTAATTCCTGGCACTTTGGGAGGCCAAGGTGGGCAGATCCCCTGAGGTTGGGAGTTCGAGACCAGCCTGACCAACATGGAGAAACCCTGTCTCAACTAAAAATACAAAATTATCCAGGCATGGTGGTGTATGCCTGTCTTCCCAGCTACTCGGGAGGCTGAAGCAGGAGAATTGCTTGAACCCAGGAGGCAGAGGTTGCAGTGAGCTGAGATTGTGCCATTGCACTCCAGCCTAGATAAGAGTGAAACTCTGTCTCAAAAAAGAAGAAAGAAAGAAAAAAAAAGGGATAGATGCATGGTAGAAGCCCCAGGGGAAAAAAAAATTTTTTTTTTTTTTGAGACAGAGTCTCACTTTGTCACCTAGGCTGGAGTGCAGTGGCGCAATCTTGGCTCACTGCAGCCTCGATCTCCCAGGTTCAAGTGATCCTCCTGCCTCAGCCCTGCAAGTAGCTGGGACTACAGGCATGCACCACCACACCTGGCTAATCACCAGGCATATTTTTTTTTTAGTACTTTTTTAGTAGAGATGGGGTTTCACTACATTGCCCAGGCTGGTATGAAACTCCTAGGCTCAAGCAATCTGCCTGCCTTGGCCTCCCAAAGTGCTAGGATTACAGGTGTGAGCCATCAGGCCCAGCCAAGAAAAAAATTTTTAATCAGCAAAAAGACTGTAACAGAGCCCTGTCCCACATCCTCATCAGAAACCTCTTTCAAGAATGCTGATTATTGCTTGATCCTCTGTCACAAAAGCTAAGAAAGAGCTCATGAAAGGGGTCGGAGTGGCAGCCCACCTTCCCTGGGGCAGAGAGCCTCGGGTGCCAGAGGAGGCAGCAGAAGCTGATCTGCAACCCCTAAGCCAGCAAACCAGAGCCGTGCTTACCAGGACAGCGTATGCACACACATGACAGACTGTGCTCTCCATTCTCCCACCTCCTGGGCTTCCAGGGGCCCACTCACCATGATGCCATTGTGGATGAAGCCACGGCGGTAGCGGGCTGGCTTCAGGTGGGGGTACTCCTCCGTGCTGGTCACGCGGATGCTCCACACCTGCTTCCAAGCCTCGTACAGCTGCACGTGCACGGGGTACACGCCCGAGTGGTGGGGCGCCACTGCATACCCCATGTCTGTGGGAATGCCATGCTCCTAGGGAGAGGATGACCAGGCCAGGGTGAGCATAGGGGTCCTTCCCCTTTGGGCCTTATCCCCCCTTTGTAGAATGGGAGAGAGAAATCAGAGGTTAGGTCGGCATGGCTGCTGGTCTGAGACTTCATGGTAAGATGGGAAGCTGAGGCCTGGGAGGGCAAGGAATGTGCCCAGAATCTCAGTGTGGGCAACTGGCAGAGCTGGGATTAGAACCCAGGTCTCCTGACTCTTGGTCCGGTGCACATGCCTCTAGCACAAAGGACTCAAGTACCCTGTAGTGAGGGACAAGGACGAGGGCCTTTCCTACCTTCTCTTCATTCTACCTAGCACCTAGGGCTCGTTCCCTCCTCATTGACCACCTCTTCCAGCTTTCCAGAGCCTCCCCTTCTAGTAAGAGCTTGGGCACAGGAAACAAATGGCCTGAGTTTAAGTCCCAGCTGGACCTCTTAGTAGCTGGTGTGACCTCCCTGAGCCTTGGTTTCTTGTCTGTAAAGGGGTTATTCTCTTGGGGCTTCAAGGAGACAGTGGCTATAAAGGCAGCTCTCCCTTGGCCCTGGCCCAGAGGTGTTAGTAAAAATCCGTCAGAGCAGACTGCAAAAGCAGCAAGAGGCCAGCAGTCTGGACCTCCAGCCCAGCCCTTAGCCCGCCCCGCTCTGCCCTGCAAGGAATCTTACTCACGACAGCGAACTTCTTGTTCAAGGCCATCTGCTCGGCCAACACGGACTGGTTGTGGAAAAGGTGGGGCTGCATGTGGCTCCACATGTGGGGGAACCACCAGAACTCCTTCACATACGACAGCAGCAGATCATCCCCAGCGTCCTCAGCATTGGTACCTGCAGCAACACAGGCAGCTCAGAACCACCCACTGGGCCATGAGGCCCTCTAACCTGGGCCTGTGCCTGGGGATGGGAGAGCATGGCCAGAGCCCACCCAGGAGCTGCCTGGAAGAGTTATCTGGGCTACAGCACAGGAGCAGACAGAGCCCCAGCCCAGAGCCCTGAATTCTAGTCTAGAGTGTGCCCTTGACTCAGTGGGGGACCTTGGCCAAGACTATCTGCTCTCTAGATCCTTGGGACCATCTGCACAATTCAGGGTCTGGAGTCAATGATCTCAAGGGTTTCTTCTACCTCTGACATACCTGCTCTGATTCTATTCCAATGATCCAAATCAGGTCACTTGTCTTTTATCTAATTATCTATGGAAGCTCTTTGTATATATACAGGATGTTTGACCCTCTATCTCAGACATATTACTATAACCACCTCTGATATGCTAAGGGTTATGAATATAAAAAACAACCAGGTGCAGTGGTTCACACTTGAAACCCCAGCACTTTGGAAGGCCAAGGTGGGAGGATCGTTTGAGCCTAGAGGTTTGAGACCAGCCTAGGCAACATAGTGCAAGGCCCCATCTCTACAAAAATTTTTAAAATATTAATAGCCAGGCATAGTGGCATGCACCTGTAGTACCTGCTACTTGGGAGGCTAAGGCAGGAGGATTGCTTGATCCCAGGAGTTCAAGGCTGCAGTAAGCTGTGATTGCACCACTGTACTCCTGCCTGGGTGACAGAGAGAGGTCCCGTCTCTAAAAATAAATAATTTTTTTTCTTTTTGTTTTGAGATGGAGTCTTACTCTGTCACCCAGGCAGGAGTACAGTTGTGCGATCATAGCTCACTGCAGCCTTGAACTCCTGGGATCAAGCAATCCTCCTGACTTAGCCTCCCAAGTAGCTGATACTACAGGAGCACACCACCACGCCGGGCTATTTTTTCTATTTTTTGTAGAGATGGGGTTTTGCCATGTTGACCAAGGTAGTCCTGAACTCCTGACCTCAAATAATATGCCCACCTCACCCTCCCAAAGTGCTGGGATTACAGGCGTGAGCCACAGCGCCCAGCCAAAAATATATAAAAAATTTTAAAAAGAATATAAAAAATACAGACAGACAACCCAGGATCACTCCTATTTGGCTTTGGGGCTATGTTGCATATACCCCTCCATCTGCTGAATTATTGAATAAATGGTTTTCTTAGAATTCAAGAGAGGTTGTCTCACTGAGGCCTGGGCAGAAGGCAGCTAGGGGGAATGGTCACTGCAGATGACCAGCTGAGGGGTTCTGCCCAGTCCCTGAAGGACAGCAGATGAAGAGAGGACAGCAAGTGAGAGAGCCCCAAAGAGGAAGGAAAGTGCGCACCAAGCAACCTATAGCCCTCACCCTCAACCCTTAGGACTCTAAAATAAACCCATGACACTGGTCATCCAAGGTGGGTACAATTACAGGGCATCTTCACTTTCTATGCTACATGTTTCTGTAATGTTCTTAAAACTCAACCAGCTTCTT
Organism: Homo sapiens; assembly: GCF_000001405.40. Classification (NCBI taxonomy): domain Eukaryota; kingdom Metazoa; phylum Chordata; class Mammalia; order Primates; family Hominidae; genus Homo; species Homo sapiens. The sequence continues at coordinate 150,533,358 of NC_000005.10, read as the reverse complement.
TTATAAGCAGAAATAATACACATAATTGTAAAAGATAGGAGGGAGAGGCAAGAGGGAGAAGATGCCCCACCCAGGCCAGCTCAGCCCGAAAGGACAGGGAGGGACAAGCGGCTGCTGTTGCTGCCGCTGCTGTTGTCCCCAGATGGCCTCTGCCTGGGTTGTGACTGCTCTTGTAGGCTGTTGGCTCCACGGGGGCAGAGGGGTCACCTCTGCCTCTAATGTGGGCCAGTAAACCCACCCGCTGCCCTCATGGATGGGTGCTTTGAGGGTTTGGGTGCTGAGGAGTCCTGGAAGTTGCTAGTGAGGGCAGGGGCAGGCCCACTTACCTGTGTGGAAGAATTTCCCTGAGTAGCCCAGGTTGAAGGTGAAGTTTGGGATGTGTGCGCGTAGTTCGTTCTGTGTGTCAAACAGGGCCTAGGACAGGCAGGGGAGAAAGGAATGAGTGAGGGAAAGCCAGGAGCTCCCTGCTTTTCCCACTGAGGGCAGTGAAAAAACGTGGAAATCCCTTGTTCAAAAATTATAAAGAATGTCAAGGACGGCGTGGTGGCTCATGCCTGTAATCCCAGCAGTTTGGGAAGCTGAGGTGGGTGGATCACTTGAGGTCAGGAGTTCAAGACCAGCCTGGCCAACATGGCAAAACCCAGTCTCTACTGGAAATACAAAAATTAGCCGGGCATGGTGGCACGAGCCTGTAATCCCAGCTACTTGGGAAGCTGAGGCAGGAGAATCGCTTGAACCCGGGAGGCGGAGGTGCAGTGAGCCGAGATCGCACCACTGGAGCCAAGATCACTCCAGCCTGGGTGACAGAGCGAGATTCCGTCTCAAAAAAAAAAGAATGTCAAGAAGGCAACAGCAGGCATTAAACCACATAATGGGCTCCCTCTGAGCGTGGGGCTCTGTGTGGCTGCACAGATCACATACTCTTGAAACCAGCCCTATGCTGCCGTCCGCCAGGCCTCTGGCAAGGGAAAATCTAGAATCCTACCCAGCTCTGCTATGTGTCCTTGAAAAGGCTTCACATTCCTCTAGGCCTTGGTTTCATCAAATGTAAAACAGGGATGATAATATCTCCCTCATAAGGCTCTTGGAAGAATCAAGTAAGATAACCGCATGTATGCCAGCTATTCGGGAGGCTAAGGCAGGAGGATTGCTTGAGCCCAGCAGTTAGAATCCAACACAGGTCCAACTGTAAGACCCTGCTCTAAAAAGATTAAACAATTGTAAAAAAGATATTGTACGTAAAACTGCCTCACATCTGGTAAGTGATGAAAAATGGTGGCCAATGCTACGTCTGTGGTCACTGCCGCTGTAAGCCTGTGTCTTCATCTATCAAATGTGGAGGATTTCTCTTTGCTGATGGAATGCAGTGCTGACTTTAAAGGGCCATACCCTTTCCAAGGATGGGACACTGTGTGCCCAGCAATGCGGTCTTCCCGCGCACCGTGCACCCAGTACTCTTCGAGTCAATGAGGGGACACTGACACTTGTGAAACAAACACACAGGTGTACTCTGGGGTTAGGACACACGAGCCACAAAGCAGCTCAGAAACCTGTAAGAGCCGCCAGGTGCAGTGGCTCATGCCTGTAATCCCAGCACCCTGGGAGGCTGAGGCAGGCAGATCACCTGAGGTCAGGAGTTCAAAACCAGCCTGACCAACATGGTGAAACCCTGTCTCTACTAAAAATACAAAATTAGCCAGGTGTGGTGGCAGGCGCCTGTAATCCCAGCTATTCGGGAGGCTGAGGCAGAAGAATTGCTTGAACCCAGGAGGCGGAGGTTGCAGGAGCCGAGATAACGTCACTGCACTCCAGCCTGGGCAACAAGAATGAAACTCCATCTCAAAAAAAAAAAAAAAAAGAGAGAAAAAGAAAAAAGAAACCTGTAAGAGCCAGCTATCAGAACACTTTACAAACTAAAAGTCCTGGCCCTCCCCAGGCAATGTAGTCACCATCAGCATCTTACCAGGGCCGTGCACCGCCTGGTGGACGTGCATGCTCCAGCTGTGTGGCCTTGGGCAAGTTACCTCAACTCCCTGAGCCTCAGTGCCCACCTCTGTTAAATGGGACTCAGAACAATACCCACCTCACAGGGCTGCTGTAAGGACCCAATGAAGCAACGGCCAGAAAGGGCTAAGCACAAGGACTCACCAAGCCCTGAATAGGCAGCTGCTATTGGTATTATTTAAATTGCGCTGTACAGCCAGTACTGTACAAGCTAATGAGGCGACATTCATGTCTCTGAAAGAAGGGCTCTGTTGTAGGCTGTGCTTGGGATTAAAGAAAAAAAAAAAACTCTGCCCTTTCTTATTCACAAAAATGTTTAAGGCAAGTAGGATTGTGGCTGGAGAAGCACTTTGCAATCTGGACTGAGCTGAGTGTGTGAAAGAGGGTGCCTCTATTTGTATTTTTGGTTTGTATCCTATTTTTCTATTTCTATTGTTCTATAGAAATGGCTTCAAACTGCTATCATTCCTTTCACTTTAAAAATAGAAAAAATAGGGCCAGGTGCGGTGGCTCATGCTCATAAACCCAGCACTTTGGGAGGCCAAGGTGGGTGCAGCACTTGACTCCAGGAGTTCCAGATCGGCCTGGGCAATATGGCAAAACCTGGGCTCTACAAAAAACTAGCTGGGTAAGCTGGGTATGGTGGCATGTGCCTGTGATCCCAGCTACTCAGGAGGCTGAGGTGGGAGGATTGCTTGTGCTTAGGATCACTTAAGTGAGCTGTGATCCCGCCACTGCACTCCAGCCTGGGTGGCAGAGTAAGACTCTATCTCAAAAAAAAAAAAAAAAAAAAAAAATTTAAAATACGGAAAATTAATAAGAGAGAGAAATTCAGGGCTTATAGGAACACAGTGAGCCCAGGAACCTGATCTCCTCAGGCTCAACCTGACCCTGGACCACAGTCTCTCCAGAACTCACTGGACAGACAGCAAGAACCTGGGTTCCTGCAGGAGAAAATGAGCTTGGGCCACTGGAAGAACACCTCGAGTAGAACACAGAGCAATCTACCTTGCCAGAGGCAGGTGGTGGCACTGCATGAAGACTTAGACTGGAAGGCTAAAACGTTCTTTAAACAGGAGAGCCTTTAAGAGAATGGAATTTCAGGAGGAAACACAATGCGTAAAAGCAGCGCAAAGCAGCACCGCTGGAGCAACTAAGGTGGAGCCTGGAGGGCTGAGCCTGGCACCAAAACATCCCCCTAACCCCCACCCCAGCTATCCAGGCACCTATGGGAGACCCCTGGGCACCAGGAAATAGCCTGAAAACTTCCCATTCACCCCATTTCATCATTTTATAGCTGAGGCTCAGGCATGGGAGGGGACCTGCCCAAGTCACCTAGTTCATTAGGGTCAAATTAGGACTCGATTCAAATTAGGTCTTAACTCCCCAGACAGTGCCTGCTCCCGAATGTCATCCATTCTGCTCTTCTCTAGAGGTGTAAGGAAGAGCAAAGTTCACTCCTGACCAAGGCAGGGCGATGAATGCCACCAGGACCCTCCTTCCAGGCCCCAGGGCCAACCCCTACCAGAGATTTCAGAATTCCTCTTACAAGTCTCTTTTTAAAGCCTCCTGCTAACATCAAAGACAAGCCTGGGTTTGGTGCTAATATGTTTCTAACACTTGCTAATCTCCTATAAGAGAGGACAGGCTGTCAGCAGGCAGCAGAATGTCTCTAGAATTTAATCCCCCTGTTTTGTTTTCATTGGATTTATTGTTATGGTTGCCCTCTATTTATGGCAACTGATCCGGATTTCCTATTTACACTAGGATGCCATCTCCTTTGCGAATAAGTTTAAATAAAATAGTGAGTAGATGAAAACTGTATTTTAAAGATTGTTTAATGGTCTTAATTTGTAGGCTGTTTCTCACAATGACAGTTCACATGTGTGTAAAATCTTGTGGTCTGCAAAGTACTTTTACACAGTTTTGTTTAGTAAAAACTTTTTTTTTTTTTTTTTTTTTTTGAGACAGGGTCTTGCTCTGTGGCCCAGGCTGGAATGCCATGCACAGTCATGGCTCACTGCAGCCTCAACCTCCCAAGCTCAAGCAATCCTCCTGCCTCAGCCTCCCAGATAGCTAGGACTACAGGACTACTACCACCACACCCAGCTAATGTTTTATTTTTTGTAGAGACAAGGTCTCCTTATGTTGCTCAAGCTGGTCTCAAACTCCTGGGCTCAAGCAATCCTCCTCCCTTGGCTTCTCAAAGTGCTGGGATTACAAGCACAAGCCACCACACCCGGCCAGCAAACCTTTTTTGAATTAAACACATGCATTCCACTGTCTACTTACACCTCAGTTAAAATCTGCCTCATGCATGATTCAAGCTCTCATCCTTATTTTAAGAGTTTTGTAGGCGCTCTGACATTAACATAAACATTTTTAAGAGTTAAAAATCATATTTAAATTAAAGGCAGACAAACAGCATTGTACAGCTCCCATCTTTGTCTGGATGTCTTCTTCCATACATATTATACAAACTTAAACTCCACATTCCAGATGCAAAATTCCTCATATTCAATACTTCAATACAATAAAGTTTTATTTTTTTAATTTTTTTGAGACAGAGTCTTGCTCTGTCACCCAGGCTGGAGTGCAGTGGCACAATCTCGGCTCACTGCAACCTCCACCTCCTGGGTTCAAGCGATTCTCCTGCCTCAGCCTCCTGTGTAGCCAGGATGACAGGCATACGCCACCACACCTGGCTAATTTTTTTTTGTATTTTTAGTAGAGATGGGGTTTCGCTGTGTTGGCCAGGCTGGTCTCAAACTCCTGACCTCAAGTGATCCGCCTACCTCAGCCTCCCAAAGTGCTGGGATTACAGGTGTGAGCCACCACACCTGGCCAATGCTTCAATCAAGTTTTAAATGATACTTGCTTCTAATAAGACAATTAATAAGAACCAACTGGCAGGACAGGAAGCAGAGTGGGACTGTCTTTTAAGTAACTCCCAGCATAGGGGAGATGCAGACAGGGCACACCCACGATGGGGCACCTGAAGGCTGAAGCTTGCCAGGCCCCACCTGCCTTGCCCGGTCTAGCACCCCCGGCCATACCTTCACGTCCTCCACCTTCATGCGTGTGCCCTCCTTGCCCACGAAGATGTCATCAATGTCCACCAGGATGTAGCGGTCCAATGGCAGGGAGAGGCGCTTCCCCGTGAGGAAGGCCACGGCATCCACGAAGACAAGCTTGTGCAGCCAGAAGTTCAGGTTGTTGCCAAACAGCACGCGCTGGATGCCGTCGTGCAGGCCCAGGTCCTGGACCACAGTGGCGTGCAGTGCAGCATGCAGGCCGGCGTCTGCGCCCAGGTGTGGGATGGACTCAGACGAGCGCGTCTTGGCCAGCAGCACTGGCTCATAGGTGGAGTGATTTGACTGGAAAACCGTCCAGTCCTCGCCGGGGAGCACACCTTTCTCCACCTCGCTAGGTCGCGTCACGTAGAGCAGCGGGGACTTGGGGTTGATGCTGCAGTCCTTCAGGCCCAGGTTTGAGTGCAGGAACAGGGGGAAGCCCTTGAGCTGCGCACTCAGCAGGCTGTTCTCATTGGCCTGCAGTCAATGGAGGGCAGGAAGGGGAACAGAACTGTCACATCCAGAACCCCAAAGGACACAGTCTCTCACATGTGGACCATAACAGTGGTATCAATATTCACCAACATTCATGGAGGGCTCACCACCCTGGCCCTGCGCTCCACCCTGCACAATAATATACTCACAAACACACGACTCACTTACCAAAGCCAGGCACTAGGTGCTGTGCACTTTGCAGACAGGAATGCTGTTAATCCTCCAATGACCCCAGATGGAGACACTGCTCTCATACCCATTTTACACATAGCAGACGGAGGCCTAGAGAGGCTAAACCACATAGAAGAAAATCTAGCAGTTGAGAACATGAATCCTGCTAGACTGCCTGACTTTGGGCAAGTTATATCACCTCTCTGTGCCTCAGTTTCTGCTGTAAAATGTGGCTAAGAACAGAAAGTAACTCCAGGAGTGGTAGAGGATGATCAGTATCAATACCGGCAACGTGCTCAGAATAGGGCCTGTGGCATGACCAGAAACTGCTCATTCAGTCCTCACATCAGCCTGCGTATCCCACTTCACAGGTGTGAAAACCGAGGCTTGGAGGGGCATGCTGCCCTCAGTAGCACAGTGGTTGGGAGGAGCTATGAATCGCTGCCAAGAGGTCGAGCCCTAGCACCCACACACCTAACCATTAGGCGTGGTTGCCTGGGGTTTCCAAACTGCCTCTGGCCACGCAACCTTTTCTTCAGGAGACATCTTATGTGGATGCCAATGCAGATGTTCAAAGAGGAGGTTTCTGCTGGGGGTGCCCCATATGCCCCTAGCACCCCAGAGGCCACTCCCTCACTATGGTGCCTGCCCGGTCACTGCCATCAGTGGTGAAGTCTCTGCCTCCCTTCTCTCAAGGCATGTGGCTGCTCAGCTCCCTGGAAGTCTGAAGACAGTGTGCCCCAGTCCCCTCTTCCTTAGGCTCACAGCCCCTGTTCCTTCATGACCTTCCTCACCCTCTCAGCCACCTGCCCCTGAATATGGTACAATTTGTCCTTGTTCCTGTGCCAATTCCATTCCGTCTTCTTGGCCTGACAAACTCCTGCTCATAATTCACACCCAATGCATATACCCTCTTCTCTGCACTGGCCTCCCTGAGACCATGTTAAAGCCTCAGCTGCAGCATTTCTCACCTCAGCTGCAATATTATATTTTCAGCGTTCTATCTCCCACCAGCCTGCAACCCCTTAAGGTTAGGGGCTATGATGTTTCGCCTTTGGACCCCTAGTGCCCAGCTTGATACCCAGCAGGAACACACACAATTCAATGCAGAACTGGATTTTTAAAAGGAATAAAAGAGGAACAGCCAGCTCTCTAGTACCTGGCATAGATAGACGCTCAATACAGGTTTCATCTGTTCATTCCACAACTATTTGCTGTGTCAGGCACTGTTTTAAGTGCCAGTGATACAGTGAGAAAAACAAAGACATGGCCCCTGCTCTCATGAACCTTAAAATCAAGGAGGGAAGAGAGACATTCACTGAAATCACAGGAATAAATATAAAACTTCAGTGTGGCACATGCTACACAGAGGAGGTTCATATTTGTGGAACAGTAGATTACTGGGCACAGTTAGTGGGCTCAGGAGGTCTCCTGGAGAAAGGGACTTTTGAGCTAACATTTAAAGAACAAACAAGCACAAACAAAGGGAAAGGTAGAGGCCAAGAATAGCAAGTGCAAAGGCCCTGAGGTAGGACAGGCCTCAGCATGACCAAGGAATAGCAAGAAGACAGCAGAGTGACCAAGAGGGAAAGGAGGAGATGAGGCAGATAGGTCAGCTGGAGCCAGGCCTGCAGGGTGCTGGAGGATTGAAGCAGCAGCAGGAAGCCCTCAAAGACTCCATCAAAGGATGACAGGTTCTAATTTGCATTTTAAAAAGATCCATGTGGCTGCTGCCTGGAGAGTGAGTGGGGCAGGGCAAAGCAAAATGAGTTTGGAGGGGGAGATGGGGTCATGTGTGGGGCCCCCAGGAGAGCTGCTCAGGGAGCACACACAGGGGTGCGCAGGTCAGTGGCGGGGGCAGGGTAAAGTCTCAGCTGAGCCTGTGCCCGTTGCAGAGCTGTACCTGTCCAGAAGAGCGCCTTTCACTCATCTCCTCTAATTCCCAAAAAGGCTCTGCAGGGCCCTGGCCTTGTAAACCACATTAAGTAGCCTGCATGTGATTCTCCAAACATCAAGAGTACCTCCCCACCCTGTCCTGAGCCAGCCTGGGGTGCTGAGGCCCAGCGCACAGACCAGTCCTCAGCTACCTCCCCAACTCCAGGCTGCTCACGACTCCTAAGACAGCCCTGACCAAGGCTGGGAACTACTTGGGCTGTGTGGGGACAAAAGCGGTAGGGGCCAGAGACATTTCAGGCCTTGTCCATCGCCTGCTGAGGCCTGGGATGCCACACTGGACCGCGGGTGCTGAGGGATCCCATTTCAAAGTCCCGACCCTGAGCTGACTGCCAGGTGCTGGAGGCTCAGTCAGCTGCCCAGCCATCCAGGAAGGGAGGAAGCCAAGTCACTGATGGCCTATCCATTGGCAATGAAATGAACCAGGCAAGAAGGGAATAGAGGGCCTCAGCACCGAGAGGCTGGCCTCACTGCAGGCCTCACCCCACAGCAGTGGAAATCCCTCTTGCTCCTCACCACTGAGTACCCACTCCGGAGACACCAAGTCTTCCAATGGGGTCCCCCAGGCAGAGGGAGGAGGAGCCCTGATTCGGGAACGCAGAGGTGGAGGCCAAGCACAGACCTCACCATTACCTGGGGGACCTTGGGAATCCTACATCTCCTCTCTGAGCCTCAGGCTCCCTGTCAGCACATTTGCTCCTGTGGCTGGGTTAGAAACAACAAGCTTGACTGTCAGATCTTGGCTCTATGACTTACCACAGGTTGAGCATCTCTAATCTGAAAATCCAAAATGCTCCAAAATCCAAAACTTTTTGAGCACCAATGTGACCTCTAAAGGTCATGCTCAAAGGAAATGCTTATTGCAGCATTCTGGATTTCAGATTTTCAGACTAGGGATGCTCAACTGGTAAGTAGAATGCAAGCATTCCAAAATCTGAGACACTTACGGTCCCCAGCATTTCAGACAAGGGACACTCAACCTGTAGCTATGTCATTCGGGACAAGCCATTTAACTTTTTGAACCTCAGGTCCTTATCTGAAAATAAAGTGCCTACTTCACAGGATAGCTGTGAGAATTAGCCATGAAATGCCTGCAAAGCACCGAGCTCAGTGACTGGGACACAGTAAGTGCTCAATGAAAGAGGTCAGGTACTCCTTGCCAGACCCCTGCCAGGGTGTGTTTAGCCCCAGGTCACCTGGAATTTCAAGGTTGAGGCACGACAGTGCCAGGAAGTAGGGATCCAGATGAGGATGACCCTATTCCCACCACCCTCCAGGATCTCACAGGGGCACACATTGGTCAGGGCCACAAGACGGACACAGTGCTACCACTGCTGTTTACTGAACCTGGAGATGACAAAGCACGATAGCTACCATCTATTGAGTGGCTCCGGTACCAGGCAATGGGCTCAGTGCTCCCCACCCACTGTCTTGTTTTCAACACAGACCAGTGAGGCAGCAGCTGTAATTAGCCCCACTTTGCAGATGAGTTGAGCATTTTACCCAAGTCACTCTGTTTCTAAATGACAGAGAGATTTGAACCTGTCTGGACTTTTAAGTCCCTGCTCTCACACTGCCCTGGGAATCCAGCATCAGTGGGAACTGGAAAATGAGTTTTCAGATCCCTGGAGCCCACAGACAATCCCCACTTGGCAAGCCCAGCACACAGCGGGGAAGTTGGTCTTGCAGAAAGAGTGGAAAGATGTGCCTTGACCACCAGAGGGCATGCATTTGAGCAGAAAATCACAGGCCTCTGCTCAAAACCAAGGATAGTCTTGTCCTAGGCAACAGGGTAGGAAGAGCACCAAGTCCTGGAATTACCACTGGCCCCACGATGAGACTCTGAACATGCCCGCACCCCTCCCTAGGCCTCCTGTTTACCTTCTGCAGAGCAAGGAATTGGGGCCAGACAGCGCCCAAGCTCCATTGTACCAATTACGCCCAATGGCCACAGCCCACCGCCTGGTCCCCAAAGACTGTGGGAGCTCTGTGCACTGGGTGTGGCCTCTGATGTCACTTCTCCTGAATAAGTGGTATGTGAGGCTCCTGGACTCATCACATCGTGGTTAAGACTAAGGCCTCTGGGGCCGGACTGCTTGAGTTCAAATCCCAGACCTATACTCATCAGAGGCGTAGGCTTGGACACATTGCTTATCCTCCTTTGCCTCAGTTTCCTCCTATCTTAAATCAGGCTGCTAGCCACCTGCCTTCGTGTGAAGTGCGTGAATCTGCACAACGCATGTAGACGGTGCATGGCACTGAGTGAGCACTCAATAAACGTCAGCCTCTTGACGCTTTTCAGGCCTGGGACTCTGAATAGAACTTAACGAAGTTCATGGCAGGAAAGGGTACAGAGTCCAAGAGAAAAGAGACAACCAGACAATGGAGATAATCTGACTTGATGTCATTGTAAAGCCATAAACCAGGCCAGCGTTCCCCTGAGGGTGCTCTGTAAAAGAAAGGGTTTTGTGATCAAGCCAGTTGAGAACAAATCTCACTGGTTGCTCTACTGCAGGACTTCTAAGGGCCTTCAAATTCTTGGCTCACAATACCTTTCAGTGGCAGAGCTTCCTGCTGTATTAGGGTGTGAAAGAACACGCCATGAGAAGCCCTCCAGGAGACAGGGCCCAGTGCGCAAGTGCACCAGGAAGGCCTGGCACAAACGGGCACCCAGCAGCGGACACAGGCCACTTCTGACCCATCTCCCGCTCCTCCTCTCCTGGCTCACACCAAGCAAGAGGCTGCTTTAGGACTCGTGCACTTAACGTCCCTTCTTCCTGGAAGACTCTTTGCACAGAAAGCCACATGGCTCCTCCCCTCATTTATTTCAGGTCACTTTATCAAAGACGACTTTCCTAAAATAATGTCAAGCTCCCACCCCCACTACCCTCTGTGTCCTTTCCCTGCTTTGTTTCTTTTTGTACTGATCACACCTGCCCCATCCTGTGTTTATTTGCTCACTGCCTGTCACCCACCCACTCCCAAAGCACTGAAATGCCAGCTCCATGACAGCAGGGACTTTGTCCACTTCGATCACCGCTAGCACAGGACCACAAACACTGTGAGTGCTCAGTAAATATTTGTTGAATGAAGGAACAAATTCCCTGCCACCTCCAAAGCATCCAACTAAGAGTCCCAGCTAGTGTCTGCTTTCATCTTGCAGGTCAGACTTCTCTGACCACAGCCTCTGGATCCCCCGCCCACCATTCCCAACCTCCCCCCGCCAAGGACAGATTCTCTGGGACACCCTTCCTGCAAGGACCCCAATCCCGGCGGTCATTCTGGAAGCCCCATAAAGCCCAGAGCAGCTCCCCATCTGCCAGTGGGATTTCATTCTCCTCTTTCTCCTCATGCAAAATGGCTCTGGGTCAGGAGGTATATTAACGCCATACTCCACCACCACCAAGAGGGAAGAGCATGGGATAGAGAGCCCAAACTGTCTATGTCTAGGTTCAAATCTCGGCTTCTCCACTTACAGGCTGCAAAACCTCACATAAGTAACTTAACACCCGGAGCCTTGGTTTGCTCATCTGAAAAATGGGTGCACACGCCCTCCCTAGGGGAGATTGCCTTGACAGATTTTGGGGCACCTAGCAGAGCATGCTCCTCTGACTTCACACTTACTCTGTGGCCTCCTTTAGGCAAGCACCTGCTGTGTGCTGGACCCCACGCACAGCAGGCGATCCCCCTGGCACGCTCCCCTAATACTTACAAAGCACTTGCCAGGCAGTGGGCACCGCATGCTCCCAGTGCTTTACATATACTCACTCATTTAACCCTCCCAACAACCCCAGGAGGCGGGTGCTACCATTACACCTATTTCACAAATGAGAATTCAGGCACTGAGCTGCAGAGGGGGCTCTGAACTGCTCGGGGACCCTGCTTCTTGTGTACCTTGAAGAAGCCAATGATGCCCACGCCGTAGGCCACACAGTACTTGTCCAGCAGCTCCCGGTTCCAGGCGTCCAGGTTGACATACTTGAGGATGTTCTCATAGATGATGAGGGCGAAGCGGCCACGGCCCTTGTCAGTGAGCGTGGGCATGTCACCCTTGCCCGGCGCAATCTCTGTGCGGTATTTGAAGCGGCTGGACTCCAGGATGGCCACCACCTCCTGGCCCAGTTGCGAGTAGAGGCTCTCCACAAAGACCAGCACCAACGGGTCTGTGCGGGAAGGGGTGGCTGCCTGCACAGGCTTGAGTGGCAGCAGGCGACTGGGGGCCACAGGCGGCGGGTCCCCGCAGTCAGGCTCGGGGGCATCCGCCGAGGGCTCCAGGCCTCGCTTCCAGCCATATAGGTAGTAGGCCGAGATGAAAACGCTGAACAGGCAGAAGATGAACAGCAGGAAAAGGACAGCCTGCGGGGACACGTGCCGACACAGCCTCCGGAGGCATGCCAGGGCAGGCATCCTGGCCTCCGAGACCTTGGCCACCGGAGGCCCGGCCTGCCCTGGCTACCCCAAGGCCCCACACAGGAGGAGACACGAGAATCGTCCACTGACCAACAAATTCACAGAGACTTAGGAAGCGACGCCCTTGTGGGGCACTGGGAGTGGAGGATCTGGGCCCCCAGTCCTTCCTCCCAGCCAGGGGCGCAGTCCACAGGCTGGTCACGCTCCTTCCTTCCTCCGCGCCCCTTTATGTCACCATGGCAAACCCCCGCGTGGTCCTGTGCAGAGCAGAAGTGCCCCAGGGCGTCAGGGCCTTCTGGGGGTGCAGGGCAGCAGGCCAGAGGACACTGGACAGGCCCGGGGGTGCTGCATGCCGCTCACTCCGTGGGGCCCACGGGGCTAAGGCTGTGGAGAGTGGAGAGAACAGGAGCGTCAGAGTGCGGGCTTCAGGGTTCAGCTAACTGTGGACACACAGGAGCTGACCTAGGAATGCCCAAATGCAAGTACGGCTGCCGAACCAAGGTTGCATGATTTGGAGCAAGCTCTTTAATATCTCTGAGCCCCAGTTTCCCTACTTGTAAAATGGGGCAGACAATAAATAATATGAACCCATCTCATAAGGGGTTGGAGGATTAAGTCCAACAACGTTTGTAAACGACTTAAAGCAGTACCTAGCATATGGTATCTACAAATTGGAGTTGCTATTTTTGATCATTATCAGAGTCCAAGACTAGGCCAAGAAAAATCCAGGAGCAGGACGGATGGGGAGAGATGATAAACATTTGCACAGCCTGGGAACTAGAGGTAGAATTCTAAATCACGACTGAATACCACATCCTCACCATATTCCATTCCCTTCCTAACCCGTTGCTCTCTTTGAATGAGCCCAGCAGCCCCATATGATAGATGAAAAGACTGAGTCTCCATCAGTCTTTTCATTCTGAAGACTCAGAATGAAGCCAAGCCAGGATTCATTAGCAGGCTGCAGGGCATGTGTGCCTTAGCTGTGTGAGAAGGCCTCAGGTGACCATTACACCTTTAAAGCATCAGTGAGCTAATCTGTAACACCAGCACCCCTGTAGCTCATGGCTGTAGCTGAGCGTTAAGTAAATATGTCTGAGGAGCTTGGCACAAGAAACATGGCAGCTGTCATATTTGCCCATAATGCAACCAGGTATCTCTCATCCTCGGGGTACGTACCCACAGGTGCACACAGCAGCCCAGGACAACAGATGACCAAATAGCCTTCCTGAGGATCGCCATACTGCCACCACAGGATGCAGAGGGGAGGCCTCCCCCGCCCTGGACCTTCTGTCCACCCAGGCAGCCATAACTCTGGGTTCCAGCCTCCCCCTCAGCCTGAACCCCCCGCACCGCCTGCACCCAGGCCACGCCTCCTATACTCATCTCACTGGAAAGAGTTAACGAAGACGTACATACACGACACAAAGGCCCCAATTGTCTCATCCCAAACAGCAACCCCAAACACAGTCTACCAGTCTCCCTTAAATAGTAATGAAGTCACAAGAAGTGAGATTTCCCAGCAACCCAAGGAGCAACTTTCTTTTCTTCTTACTTTTTTTTTTTGAGGCGGAGTTTCACTCTTGTTGCCCAGGCTAGACAATGGTGCAATCTCGGCTCGCTGCCACCTCCGCCTCCCCAGTTTAAGTGATTCTCCTGCCTCAGCCTCCTGGGTAGCTGGGATTACAGGCATGAGCCACCATGCCAGTAGAGATGGGGTTTCTCCATGTTGATCAGGCTGGCCTTGAACTCCTGACCTCAGGTGATTCGCCGGCCTTGGCCTCCCAAAGTGCTGGGATTATAGGCATGAACCACCACGCCTGGCCCCCAAGGAGCAACTATCAGTCACAGCAGCTCAAAGCTAGAAGGAGAGTTGCCCAGGTCTAGATGGAAGGTGTAAGAGCCAGGGCTAAAGAGGCCAGGGGGGAATTCAAGGCTTGGGCCCAGCCTAGAGGGTAAAGATCTTTGAAATCCCTTCCAGCTCCAAGACTATATGATGTGCTCAGCATGGGTACAGCATGCTCCAGACCCGACAGCTGCACTTCCAGGAATTTATCCTAGAGGTATTACTGCAGAAGTGTGTAAAGATTTTTCCACAAGAACACAAATCCTAGTGCTGCTTATAACAGCAAATCCCAAACAATGGGAGATTGTATTTAGGAATTATAACACAAGGGTCGGGCGTGGTGGCTCATGCTTGTAATCCCAGAACTTTGGGAGGCCGAGGTGGGTGGATCACTTGAGGTCAGGAGTTCAAGACCAGCCTGGGCAACATGGTGAGACCTCATCTCTACTAAAAATACAAAAACTAGTCGGGCGTGGTGACACACACCTGTAGTCCCAGCTACCCAGGAGGCTGAGGCAGGGGAATCACTTGAACCTGGGAGGCGGAGGGTGCAGTGAGCCGAGATCACGTCACTGCACTGCAGCCTGGGCGACAGAGCGAGACTCTATCTAAAAAAAAAAAAGCAATTATAATACAAGCATATGATGAAATCCTAGGCAGCCATTTACAATATGTTGGAGAAGGACATGTACTGACATAGAAATATAATTACCGTATGTATTGTCAAAGTCAAAAACATTTATAAAACAGTTTGTACGTGCGGTCATAATTTAGTTAAATATTTTTGTGCATAGGCTAGAAACTGGTGCTAAATGCAAAAAAAGAAACATTAACAGTGATTATCTCTGGGTGATTTTTATTTCCGCTTTTTGTTTGTGAAATGAGGAGGTGACTGGGACAACAGGTCTGGTCTCAGCTCTGCCATGATGCACTGTGTGGCTCCCTCTGGGCTTCCTGCATGTTACAAGGGGGTTGGGGCAGGTGATCTCCGGGGGCTCCTTCACCTCTGATATTCTACATTTCAGTGCCAGTACCCTGAGGAACCAGAGGCAGCCAAGAAAATAGGCATCTGCAATGCAGGGGGATAAGTGTGACAGACGGGGATGGGATGGGGGTTTGGGAGAGCTCAGGGGTCCTTAACTCTTCTGGCAGGGGGAAGGAGGGGACAGGGAAGGCTTCCTGGAGGAAGGGTACCTAAGCTGACCAGAAGAAAAAGTAAGGGTTGGGCAGGGGTAGACAGAGGAAATGGCACATACCACAGCTTGGAGATAAGAGCATGTGTGGCACTTTCCAGGGACTCCCTGCAATTCTAGCTGAGAGCAGGGCAAGAAGGAGCAGGTGTCCTGGGCAGAGCCAGGAAGGCTGGGGTGACTGGTCCTGTTTACACTCAGGGTACCCAGGTGTCCCATTTACCATTGATAAGGGCAGCCTGTGGCCGCAGCCCAGCCCCACCCCTTGGCCTAGGGCCAGGACAGAAGCACAGTGGATAGGAGGTGGGGATGCCCTGATGGCGCCCTGCCCACGTTGGCCACCCAATCCCATGGAAGCGGAGGAGAGCAGCCACCAGCCACTCCTCGCAGGCTTGAGTGCTGTGGTCAGTGACCCTCTATCAGATTAACAATCTTTCAGAGTGTGAATGATGCAGCTCAGAGTCTCAGGAATGTGGGAGCCACGAAACCCTGTGGGAATCTGACATTTTTCAGACATAAAAAATATGCGCATTAAAAAAATGCACACGGTTGCCAGAGGTTGGGGGTTGAGAGTATGAATCAGCGGAGCAAAGAAAATTTTTTTGGCAGTGAAACTACTGTGTATGAGACGACGATGGTAGATACATGTCATTATACATTTGTCCAAACCCACAGAATGCATACTACCAGAGGTGAACCCGAAAGTAAACTATGGACTCTGGGTGATAAGGATGTGTCAATGCAGGGTCATCTGTTGCAACAAATTTACCACTCTGGGTTGGGCACAGTGGCTCACACCTGCAGTCCCCTGACCCTGGGAGGTCGAGGCAGGAGGATCACTTAAGGCCAGGAGTTCAAGACCAGCCTGGGCAATATAGCAAGACCCCCATCTCTACAAAAAAAAAAAAAAATGAGCCAGGTGTCAGGGCATGTGCCTGTAGACCCAGCTACTCAGGAGGATCACTTGGGCCCCTGAGGTCAAGGCTACAGTGGCCATAATTGTGCCACTGCATTCCAGCCTGAGCGACAGAGCGAGACCCCATCTCAAAAAAAAGAAAAGTACCACTGTGGTGGGGGATGTTGATAATGGGGGAAGCTGTGTGTGTGTGCAGGGGAAGAAGGCATATGGGAAATATCTGTATCTTCCTTTCAATTTTGCTGTGAATGTAAAACTAAAAATCTAAACAATAAAGCCATACACACACACACACACACACACACACACACACACACACACACTAGAAAATGTCATAATGGTGTGGTGGCTCACGCCTGTCATCCCAGCACTTTGGGAGGCCGAGGTGGGCAGATCACTTAAGGTCAGGAGTTCAAGACCGGCCTGACCAACATGGTGAAACCCCATCTCCACTAAAAATACAAAAATTAGCTAGGCATGGTAGCAGGCACCTGTAATTCCAGCTACTCGGGAGGCTGAGGCAAGAGAATCACTTGAACCCAGGAGGCAGAGGCTGCAGTAAGGTGAGATCACATCACCGTACTCCAGCCTGGGCAATAGAGCGAGACTCTGTCTCAAAAAAATATATATCATAATAATTTCAAGGAGTTCAGAGCCTCCCTGCCACCCATCCACAGACCTAAAGTCCTAGATTGATGGACCCTACTGGTTACACGTGCAGACTGGAGCCAAGTGGCTTCGATTCAAAACTAAGCTCCACCATTTAGTAGCTATGTAATCTTGGGCAAGTTATTTAACTTCTCAGTGCCTCAGTTTCCTAGCATGTAAAATGGAAATTCTACCTACTTCCCAAGGTTGTGAACATTAAATGAGTTGATACATAAGATGCTCAGAACCACGCCTGGCACACAGCTGCTGTTATCACGCACCCCTGTTGCTTATTTAACATACTTATGACAATCCCTCACGATGTGGATCACAGCTTAGCTCACGAAGCACTTTCAAGCTCATCCCTCTCTTGAGAGTCTGACAGCCCCAGGACTCAGGCAGGGGAGGGCAGCTCATTTCACAGAGGGAGAGCAAGGGCTGAGGCAGGCAGGCACCACACACACTTATTACACAGAGGGCCAGGCAGCCAGGGCTGCCGTCCTCCTCTCACAGCATGTCTGAAAAGTAGCCCTATCTTTGGAGGCTGTGGCCCTTACTGGGAGCTGGCTGGCTGCCTGGATAGAAGCCAAGAAGCTGAAGATAAGGCCATGGCAAAACCCAGGGCAGAGGGAGAGCAAGGTAGCCCCTGTCCTCAGAGAAGGCCAAATACCCTGGGGTGGGGGTGGGTGGGGGGAAGCCAGTTGCTTTGTAGCAAAGTGCCAGCCACTCAGCCGGCTGGCAAAGGGGGCTTCCAGCACAGCCCCTCTGCAACCCACTCAGAGGCTGCCACCCTCCACCCAAGGCCCTCCTCACCCGCCTGCACTCCAGAACTCCCGTGGCTCAAGAGGTAAGTAACTGAGGGGCTTCTAGTCCCCCTGCAGCCACCAAGGCCTCAAGGACAGCTGGGGCTGAGGCCTCAATGACCCCCACCACCCTGGGCCTGCTGGGCCTTGCAGACATCACCAGCAGTTTCCCCTAAATTCCAGCCTCACCCAGCCAGTCACCAATCTCGGGGAAGCATTGAGGCTTTTGCTGATGAAATTCCCATTGCCTGGAATGCCTCCCCGGACCCCTTGGGACACTTACTCATCTTTCAAGATCCAGGTTCCAAAGTCATGACCCCTCTGAAGTCATCACCAACCACTGCCCCCTCTCCCACTCCTAAGTCTCATTCCTCAGGCTCCCGCCTCATCCCCACTCCACGGTGCAGAGGCTGAAAACCAGGACCCTGGAGCCCAAACAAAATGCAGACTGTGCTCTTTGGCTTGCACAGTATTTTTCTTTAATTTGGGATTCGTTAGCAACATTTTTAAATCAGGAGATTTTATATAAAAGTCAGAACTTCTAACTTGTCTCTAAAGAGGGCAAGTTCTGGTGACACTGGGCACACATCCTCACCTGCCACCATCAGCTGAGGCACTTAGAGTGCCAGCCTCAAATGGGCTGTGTATCCTGCAGTTAACACCATCAGCATCTCTATGTACAGTCTCACAGCCAACCTCTTTCCTTCATCTGGCTTCCTGCCCAGCCCCTGGGTGCACCTGAGCATGTGGTCTGTGCAGAGTAAACTGGGGGCATTCCTGCACATGGCTCTACCTCCTGTAGCCTGCAGATCTGTGGGGCAGGACCAGGGCTTACTGACCTCTGCACAGGCCCTCACCAGCACCCGGCACACACAGCCCTCAGCACAAAACAGTGTCCTTTCTTCCTCCTCCCCCAGTGCCCGGGTGCCACTCAAGGGCAGGAACCAAGTCTGATTCATCGTGGAAGCTCCCACTTTTCCCAGGGTCAGGTCCTTATTGAATACTCAGGATATGAATGAATGAGCAGCTGTTATTATTTCCAATTTACAGATAAGGAGACAAAGACTTCAAGGTGAAGTGACTTGCCACAGTCACATGGAAACCACCAAATCTTGACTCAAATGGGTTTCCTTCCTGACTTTGAGTTTGGTCTTTCATTCCTCCCTGAAACCCAAGGGTTCCTACAATAAAAATAACACCAACAACATTATAATTATCATCATTATGAATACTGCCATACTATGAGCCTGGCACTGTGCTAAGCACTTTTTTTTTTTTTTTTTTTTTTGAGACGGAGTCTCACTCTGTCACCCAGGCTGGAGTGCAATGGCACTATCTTGGCTCACTGCAACCTCCGCCTCCCAGGTTCAAGCAATTTTCCCACCTCAGCCTCCCGAGTAGCTGGGATTACAAGCACCCACCATCATTCCCGGCTAATTTTTGTAGATATGCGGTTTTGCCATGTTGGCCAGGCTGGTCTTGAACTCCTGACCTCCGATGATCCACCCACTTCGGCTTCCCAAAGTGCTAGGATTACAGGCGTGAGCCACCACGCCCAGCCAGCACTTTTTATACCTCATTTCATGTAATCCTTACAACTAATATTGTTATCCACATTTACAGTTGAGTAAAATAAGGCTCAGAGAGGTTGTCACTTGCCCAACATCACACAACTGTTCAGTGGCAGAGCTGAAATGTGAACCCAGAACCCATGGGTGGGAGATAACTCCAGAGCCTGCAGAGGAACCTTGGCTTGGGGTAGGCAGGGGCATGAGGGGAACCTCAGCCACAAAGGCCAGTGGCCCACAGCCCTCAGCCAGGCTCCCACTGCACTCCCCTAGCCCTAGTCCCAGCTTTCCCTGCCAAGGTGCTGAGGATAATGAATGAGATGCTCTGGTCGTCATGGAGACGCCATGGCAACGCTGCACTTTCGGGAAATACCACGGTAACCGTGGCCACTGCTCTGGAGTTGAAGTCACTCTATCTAACATCCCCACCTGAAAATGCTGCCCCGGACCCATAAGAGAAAAGGGGCAGAGGTACAAGGGCCTTCTTACAGGAGCAAGCTGTCCAGAGACTGGGACCAGGGAAGGGGGTCCGGCTTGGGCCTGTGATGAATGGGTGGGCTCCAGGAATGAGACCAAGAGCTCCATAAAAGCAGGTATGGAGACTGAGCAAGCCATGCCTTTCATGGTGAATTGTGCCCAGTAACCCAACTCACATGTACACCATGCCTACTGTGCGCCAGCAGGCCTCCTTAGAAGGGCTGTGCACACCCTTCTATTTCACTCTAGTGGTGACAGCTAGCATAACAGTTAAAGGCCGAGACTGGAGCTAGCCTGCCTGAGCTTGAATCTTTGAATCTTTTCTTTCTTTTTTTAAGAGTCTTGCTCTGTTGCCCAGGATCACTCCAGCCTTCCCCTCCTGGGTTCAAGCTTCGAGCGATTTTCGAGCCTCAGCCTCCTGAGTAGTGGGGATTACAGGCACCTGCCACCATGCCCAGCTAATTTTTGTATTTTTAGTAGAGACGGGGTTTCGCCATGTTGCCCAGGCTGGTCTCGAACTCCTGACCTCAAGTGATCCACCTGCCTCGGCCTCCCAAAGTGCTGGGATTATAGACGTGAGCCACTGTGCCCAGCATATTTTCATTTTTTGAGACAGTGTCTTTCTCTGTTGCCCAGGCTGGAGTGCAGGGGCACAATCACACTTACTGCAGCCTCAACTTCCCACGCTCAAGTGATCCTCCTACCTCAGTCTCCCAAGCAGCTAGGACCACAGGTGTGTGCCACCATGCCCAGCTAATTTTTTAATACAGACAAGGTATCCCTATGTTGCCTAGGCTGGTCTTGAACTCCTGGTCTCAAGCAATCCTCCTGCCTTGGCTTCCCAAAGTGCTGGGATTACAGGTAATTCCCGGGTGCAGTGGCTCCCAGCTGGGGCTTGAATGTTGGCTCCATTATTTACCAGCCTCATGACCTTTGAGCAAATCTCTCAACCTCTCTGAACCTCAGTTTCACTAAATCTAAAATGGGGTTTATACTACTTATCTATCTTGCAGGGCAGCTACCAAGACAAAGAGAGATGAGGCATGTAAAACACTGAGCTCAGTGCCTGGCACATGGTAATATAAGCTAATAAAATGATTACTCAGTAACAGATTTGGAAAGTGAGGCTCAGGAAGGAACTGGCCCAAGGCCACATATCAAATTAGTAGTGAATTGAGAAAGAGAGAGGAAGGGAGGCCAGGCTGACGCCAGAGGGAAGGAGCAAGAGAATGGGATCCAGGAAGGAGGTTCGAGATCTTTCTGGGAGTGCGGAACAAGCAAACGACCTGTTTCCTCATCCTGTATTTACTGAGCACCACTAGGTGCCAAGCATGCCACTAGGCACTGAAAATGCAGTGGCGACCATGACCTTTCCACAAGGGTTTCTAGAGGTCTCTGGAACCCAAGGTTTTATGTCTCTGGTACGACATGGCTGCAGTGAATGGGGGAAGGTGCCCAGGGCCTTGAATGCTCACCCAGCCCACATTTTATTTCCAGCCTAGGTCACTCTTGACAATGCCCTCTGTGGACCACACACTGCTCCCTGCCCCCCCAACACACACACCACATTCACATGCACATGACAGGCTCAAATGGCATCATCATAGGCATCTGGGCCACATGCACATGGGGTGGGGGCTGAGAGGAGGTCAGTGCAGAAAGAGCTCTGCCAGCAACCTCAGAAGGATGTGAATGGGTGGGTACCTGGACTTGGGCAGGGACCTGAGCAGGGGAGGGCGTAGCAGTGGCTGCAGGCCTGGGGAACAGGTAGCCCCACATGCACCCAGGGCCACTCCCCATAGCTGATCCAGCCCCTCCCAGCCAGTCACACCCCCAGCACAGTCACATCATCACCCCCACCCAGCCACACCCCACAGCTTCCCAGCTCCACCAGCCACCCTACCACAGCCTGCCCCACCCACCACATCCAGCTCAGCAAGGAAAATCCTCCACATTTGCTTCCCAGCTGTGCGGGAGTTTCTCCAGCGTGATTACATCCCTGGGAGGCCGAGACCAGAAGCAAATCCCTTCCTCTGCTGGAATCTGCTACATGCCCCATCCCCCATCACCCCCACAGTGCTGCCTGGCCAGGAGCCAAGCTGCCGCCTGTCAGTCACCCCAGAGTCCAGGACCACCACCACCGGGAAAGAGACTGTTGGAGGTCTGGCTCAGAGTCGCAGGGCCACAGAGAGCACAGTCTACCCTGCAGTAAGCCCCTGGGGACACTGAGACCCAGAGAGAGGAAAGGACCTCCTGGCTTGTGCCGTCTGGTGTGCCCCACTCTCATTTACCTTGGTCCATTTTCTTGTCCATTAAAACCCTGTCCCTCCTCCTCCAATGCCAGCCTCAGCAGGGAGGTGAACAAGCCTGCTCTGGATTTCTAAAGTCCTGATTGAGCTCCCCTGCTCCACATCCCACCACGCAACACCAGGTATCAGTTGTTCTTGCAACTAGAACATGGGGCTCCCAACTTCACTGAAAGCTTTCCAAGGCACAAGCCATCTCCTACCCACAGCAGGTACTCAAGAGCCTTGTGCCCTTGCCAATTACCTTCCCCTCTGTGAATCTGCTACGCGGCATCTCCAAGCTAAATGCATTAATAACATTAACTTCCATTTATGAGACATGCCATGTCTGCGTTACATGCCATTATTTCAACCTTACCACAGCACCATGACCTAGATTCCCCCCATTATACGGATGAGAAACTGAGGTCCAAAGAGGCCAGTCACTTGCTGCAGCCCACAGAGCTAATAAGGGGGTGAATGGGAACTTCAGCACACAGCTGCTGGGCTCCAGAGCCTGGGCCCCTCATCCCCCATCTCCGCAGCCCCTCTGTGATCACCTAAGACAGCTAACATTTGCCAGATGCCCTGCACATCCCTTTCTCCATTCCTTTTCAATAGTTTTCTGTCTGTGTTTGTTTTCATCCATTTTATATGTGTTTTAGTATCACAAGCAGCCTCTAGTGATCTTTCTTGGAAGTAGCTCACAGATCATCCGTCAATCAACAAGGAAACAAAGCATTAAGCACTACTGGTTCACTCCCTGGTTCTCAACTTGTGAATCTGTTCTGGGTTCCCTGGCAGGGAAGGCCCAACAGAAAACCTCAGGAACTTAGACCTCACTTGTTGAGAATGTGTCCTTCTTCCAACAGGGCCTGAGTTGCGAGTTTACCTTTGTACCAGCTCTGAAAAAAAGGGCTTACCGAGCAAACATACCAGACAGCCTGGGGGTGGGGCTGTGTG
Organism: Homo sapiens; assembly: GCF_000001405.40. Taxonomy (NCBI): domain Eukaryota; kingdom Metazoa; phylum Chordata; class Mammalia; order Primates; family Hominidae; genus Homo; species Homo sapiens. Next base: position 150,510,555 of record NC_000005.10, on the reverse strand, counting down.
GGGAACACGGCAGGTCACCTGCCACCCTCCCGTCCCAAGGACGGGACAGTCCTGACAGTCCCACTGAGGCTCTTCACGCACACCAAGGCTGTCAGGTCCATCACACAGAATGTTATGCAGTGGCCACAAATCTTCCCAAAATGGGGCTCTCTGCCCACCCTATCCCCAAATCTGCCTATGACAGAGTCAAATCCATCCAGAACTATTTTTTCCTTAGGCTCAGATCACAGACACTCAAAAGGAACAAAGCAGCATATCCCAACACATATCATAACCTCCCTTACTGGCGGCCAACGTTAAGCTCCTGCGAACATGTGGGGCTGTGCCAGGAGCCTTACCTGCTCCATCACGCTCAATCCTAACACCCTGAAAGAGGTGTCACTGCTATGAGCACTTTACAGACAAGGAAATGGAGGCTCAGAGAGGGTAAGCAACCGCTCGAAGTCACACAGCTGGGCAGAGGTGGAGCTAGGATGCCCCTCCCAGCCCACCCCACAGCCCCTGTTCGTTACCCTTCTGCAGTCCTACTTTCCACACCACTCCCAAGCCAGGTCTGCAGCCCAGGAGAGAGGCTTCCTGGAGGTGACCAGGCCCAGGGCTGCTGACCCAGCTTCTCTAGCTGAGCTTCAGCCTCCTGGGAAAGCCTGCACTGCAGAGAGGTGCACCATGGAACCCAGCAAGGCAGGACTTCAGCCAGAGGGTCCTCACGCCCCCATCAGACACCCCAATATAAGAAAGGGGGATGGCGGCTCGGGGCAGTGGCCCCTGCCTGTAATCCCAGCACTTTGGGAGGCTGAGGCGGGTAGATCACAAGGTCCTGAGATCGAGACCATCCTGGCTAACACGGTGAAACCCCATCTCTACTAACAATACAAAATTAGCCAGGTGTGTGGCACATGCCTGTAATCCCAGCAACTCCAGAGGCTGAGGCAGGAGAATCGCTTGAACCTGGGAGGCGGAGATTACAGTGAGCCGAGATGGCGCCATTGCACTCTAGCCTGAGCGAAACTCCATCTCAAAAAAAATAAAGAAAGGGGGGCCACCTCCTGCCCCAGGCAGAGGCCTCATGCTAAGGAAGAGGCAGGAGCGAGGGTCAGAAGCAGGAGATCTCAGCTAGCAGGGCACCGCAAAGGACAATGGTGAGCACCTCGCCTCACGGCCTGGCATGTGCCAGGCGCTCTACCAAGCACTTCCCAACCCTCACTTCATTTATTTGTCATTTATGCCCAGTGAAGTAAAAACAATTTTATCACACCCTGAGCTTCTCCCCTATCTGCCTCCCCTGCAGAGGAGCTGGGAAATGTGGGTCACCACTAGCCCCCACCCTCCCGCATGCCCGACTCCAGGCCTCAGATACACCCTGAGAGATTCCAAGGCACAGGCAGACTCAGGGGCCTCCATCTCAAGGATGCAGAAGCCAAAATCCATGCGGGCCTGGAAACCACAACAGCCTCCCAGTCCTTCCCTCCCAGTCATCCCCTTCCTCTCATCAGGGGATGAGAGGTCATTGTCCCCTGAATGAGCCAAGCTTCCCCAGCTTGTAAGGTCAGGCAGAATGCTGGCAGGAAGACAGAGGCAGGGGGTGCCACAGCCTCCATTGCCGCCTGTGAGTCTCTGGGCAAGTCCCTTCCCTTCTCTGAGCCTCAGTTTCTGCAACTGCAGTGAGGGGTATGGACTAGAGGAGAAGTCTGTGACCTTCTGGGGGTTATAGAACCCTTTGAGAATCTAATGATGGCTATTAGCAGATTCTCTCCCCAGACACACAAATTCAGAGTGGTTGTGACTGGCCCCCATCAAAAGCCAAGTTAAGAACATGGAAATTCTCTAGGGGCCCCTCTGGCTTTGACAAGCCATGGCTCTCACAGTCTAGACAGGACCAAAGCCACAAACACAACATCTGAGAGCCCTGGGATCTCACCATTTCAGCTTCCCCCGTGGCCCTGAAATAAATCTTTAAACTCTTGGACCTGCTGGCTTCAGGTGGATTTGTGGACATGCCTAGCTGTCTGGAGAAGCCACAGGAGAAACTGAGCCCTTCCTTCCCATCCCTCAGCCTCCTCCTCCTTCTCCTCCATCAGGAATCTGCCAGGTCAGCCTAGACCTCTCCCTGGGGCAGTTCCGGGAGCTGCTTCTGATCTGGAATGAAGGCAGGACCCAGTGCCAGGCTCAAGTGCCAGCCTGTACCCCCAGATCCCTCCTGGGGACACACACACACACACACACACACACACACTCAGATGGACCTGGAAGGACTGGACAGGGCAGGGGGCCAGGGACAGTGGTCAGAGTGGACAGGAGCCAGCGAGACAATGACCAGACCCAGACCCACCGGAGCTCCAGGCAGTGGCGTGAGGTTCCTCTTCACTTCGCCACGCCCTCTCGAATGTCCTCTCCTTAACACGGCTGCACCTAATCCCAGGGCCAGGAAAAATGGCATTACTGTTGGCCCAGTCCCCTCCCCAGGAGAAAGGGAAGGCAGAAGCAAGGGAGGGAGGTGGCCCTAGAGCACCCTGCGCCACCAACCACGTTCCTAGAAACCTCCACGCCCCTTCATGCCACCTCCCTTGTCAAGGCCTCCAGCCCCTACCTCCTTAACCTCAGAAAGAGGATGTCCTCCTCCGATTCTGCCCCGTGCCCAGGGAACCACTGGCACCTCGCCTGCCTCACCCAAGCCCTGCCTGGAGGAGCCTTCCACGGGAAAGGAAAAAGCATGTCCCTGACCCTCATGCTAGTGGGTCTTCTGACCCTCTCAAGAGAGGTAGCAGCCAACAGCAGGAGGAGCACTCACTGGCAATAAGGATAACTGGGTCCTGGTTCCAGCCCTGGCCCTTCCCCCTCCAGACCTCAGTTTCCCCACCTGTCCTGAGAAGAAGAGGAAGGACTGGTATGCCCAGCTGGAGGGAAAAGTGTCTATGATGCTGGCTTTTGGCCCCTGGCCCCACCCAGCTCAGCTGCCAGGCCCTTCCCTGTGCCCCACCCTGCAGAGAAGGAAGAAAGGTGACCGGCAAAGGTGTGGAGGGTGTAAGAATCCATGCTGGAGCCTCAAAGTGCTAGAGCTGAAAAGGGTCTTACAAAGACGAGACCCAGAGAAGAGAAGCAACTTGGCCACGGTCACACAGAACACTGGAAAAGGGCCAGGCTGGCCAGGGCTTGCTTCTTGACAGCAAATGCTTAAAAGCACCCAGCTGAAAAGGTATTTGCCTTCTTAGAGGATGCCAAGGAGAGCACAAGGCAACCTGACAACAGTAGAACTGCAGGCTCTGAGAGCTGCAGTTAAAAAAAAAAAAAAGGTATGTTTATACGTGGGGCTTAAGGATGGAGGTTGGGCTGGCTTTCCAGGCTCCTCATGTCACACCACGTGGGTGGCCAAGGGTCCTGCCAGCCACAGGGAAATCCTAGGAGCCCCTTCCAGGGATTAGCAGCTTTGGCCACCTCTCAAGAAGTCACCTAAGGCCCAGCAGGCAGGCCCAGCAGTGGTGACAGAAAGAATGGCTCAGATGGACACTCCAAGACTAGCCCACTCTGGAAGATGCCAGAGCCTTGGAGAGACTGAAAATCCCCCAAGCCCCGTGGCCAGTGAGGACGGAAGCCAGGTGGGCTAGGGATAACACAGAGGAAGGGAAAAGCTTTGAGCCATCTGGAGCCACAGAAGCCCCCTAATCTCCTAGAGGCCTGGTGGGTACAACACAGGGCCTGCTGAGACCAAGGAGGCTTCACCGAGGGCCCACATGAAAGCAGCCAGTCCCTGTAGACTTGCTGGGGCTTGTCATCACGACAAAAGCTGGCCACCAACACGCCTTGGGGTGTTAAGGGACTCAAAGTACTTACATGGAGGCGCAGCTGGCAGGGGGAGGGGGCAGAAGGTGGGGAGAGGTGGGGGCAAGTGGGCCCGGCTTTCTCTAGGACACAGACAACAGCTAGAGAACAGAAACGTGGAGCAAAAAGCACTGGGTGACCTACTTCACAGAGGCTCCTTTTAAAGAGGAATAGGAGGCCTCAGCGAGACTCTAAAAAGTACCTCGCAGGGGTCCAGAACAGTTCATGGGGCCAGGAGACCAGGGTTCCAGTCCTAGATCAGGAACTCACCCAGGACTAGGCTCAGGTGAGGCCCGCGAGGAGCCTTTTAGAAGGTGCTCACTGCCAGGTGCAGTGGCTCACGCCTGTCATCCCAACACTTTGGGAGCTCAAGGCAGGTTGACCCAGGAGTTTGAGACCAGGAGTTCAACACCAGCCTGGGCAACATGGCAAAACCCCTTCTCTACAAAAAAAAATTACAAAAATTAGACAGCGTAGTGGCGTGTGCCTATAGTCAGTTATATGGGAGGGCTGAGGTGCGAGGATCACCTGAGCCCAGGAGGTTGAGGCTACAGTAAGCCCAGATTGCACCACTGCACTCCAACCTGTGCGACACAGCTAGACCCTCTCTCAAAAACAAAGGTTCTTATTCTCCACAATGTGCAAGCACACAGCGGGCACCTCCTGAGACGCTGCACTTAGATGCCTCACTTGCCTCATCCTAGGCCCGGCCTTCTTACACAACCTGCCTGTGACCTCAGGCAAGTACCACTCCTTTCTCGGCCTCAGTTTGGTCACATAAAACAGAATCATGAAGCCAGGCATGGTGACACGAGCCTGTAGTCCCAGCTATTCAGGAGGCTGAGGTAGGAGGATTGCTGGAAGCCCGGGCATTCAAGGCCGCAGTGAGCTACAACTGCACTATGGCACTGCAGCCTGGGAGATACAGCAAGACCCCATCTCTAAAAAAAATAAAATTTTAAAAAACGAGTTAATTTAAAAAATTGAATCATGCCATATGATTCCATAGACCCTCCTAAATCTAAGCTGGGTTATTCTGTAGGGAGCATAACCGACCTCTGCAGCAAATCCCCGAAATGGGCACAGTGGCCCCAGCTTCCTGCCATCGATAACCTGTCAGTCACCACGTTGTCAGTGACCACGTTCCAGGCAGAATACACATTATACAACCACCTGATGCCATTATGTTCTGGGCTCTTTGTTAAATGCTTGGCCTCTACTTGATCATGGCCTCATTTTACAAATATGGAGCCTGAGGTCCACAGAGATTAAGCAACTTGCTTAAGGTCCCTGTTGGGAAGTGCTTAGCTGAGATTCGAACCAGCATCTGTCTGGTTCTTAATCCCCACATTCCATGGCATCAGCCACAGATAACAGAAAACCCACCAGGGCTGGGGAAATGCCATCAGCTCTTTGCACCTCCCACATTTTCTAGCATATAATGCCGGGGCTAATGTGAAGGCAGGCTGGTGGACAGCCGGGAGCAGGTAGGCAGGGATGGGGAAGTCCGTGTGGGCACTAAGCATTCCACAGATGAACCAGCCTCCAGCCCGGCCAGCTGCCCACCACTGTGGTTACAATGCCCTCATCGCCATCAGCACACCACAGCCACCGCTGTGCCATTTTTAAATCATTACACAGATGCAAAGCATTTTCACAGGCATTGCTGCGGTATCACATGCCAACTTTATTAAAGTATAGCAGGGATTTCTTCCCCCTTTCTCAGAAAAGGAAAGTGGGGTTTCCAGAGGATAAGTGGCTTCCCAACACGCACACAGGAACACAATGTTTGAGATGAACTTGGAGCCCACATCCTCTGCCTCCCAGTCCAAGCTTGGGTCTACTCCTCCATGCTCACGACTTTCCAGTTCAACCAACTGATGGGCCTTTGGGACAATGATGACCATTTCTGAGAGTTTACTTGGTACCAGGTGTTGTACTCTGCATTTCACACGTTATCCCATTTAACTGTCCTGACATTCCTATCAACTAAGTATTGCTACTGTTTTCATTTCACAAAGACAGCAGCTCAGAAAAGTAGGGTATCATGCCCAAGGTCACCAGGCCAGGAAGGGGCAGAGCTGGCATCCAAACAGAGTTCAGACTGGCTCCAGAGCCTGGGGCCTAAACCTCATGCTGCACAGCTCTGTCGGGGAGACTCTGTCACGGGCAGTCAGTGGAGGGGACAGGAGGTAGACACATCAAATAGTGTGTGCATCTGGCAGATTATGGCAAGATTACGATAATGGAGGACAAACAAAGCTCTTAGGGAGCCCACAAGAGGGAGGTTGTTACAAACGTCCAGGCAGAAGGCCAGGAGTCTGTGCAGAGGACACGGAAACAGAGGGGAGTGGCAGATATGAGGGAGGCGGCCTTGTGAGACCTTGGTCAAGTGCCTTGCTCTCTCCAGACCTCAATTTACCAAGCTGTTAAGAAAAGTCCTTGGAACATCTCCAGAACCCCCACCATCCCTGAAGACTCCTGGGCCCTGGGAAAATAAGCAATGCCCGGTGACAGCCTGGCTATGAGCCCTGGGGACTCTGAAATGTCCTTGGCTGTCCTGGCACAGCTCAACTGCTGGGAAACAGGCTTGCAGAAGCAGAGGGCTTGGCTGGCATGCCTGGGCACCAGTGAAGTGTGGGTTCTGAAGGGGCCACATTCCACCCATTGTCAACCTCTCCACGGCTCTGCTGGAGCAAGCACCACCCAGCCTGGATGCAGACCAGAAACCGAGGTCACTCCCAGTGTCCAGTGGACTGCCACTCCAGGATCCGCCTGACCCATCAGCCCTGTCCAGAGCCCTACCTACACGTAAATTAAGTCCCTTTGATGTCACACACCCCCAAAGCCCTTCCCTCACATTTCCCTAAGGCTAGCCACTGGGATATAGAGACAAGGGGTCCTATAGGAGGCCTTAAGGAAAATGACCACCCCACCCCAAGGGACCTGTGCAAAACAGAGGCTGCCCATGCCAAGCCAATGAAGACCCTTGGCTAGGGAAAGGAAGATGGTCCATTAGGGCCGGCCCGCAGCTCTCACTCTGGAAGGTGGAAGGGGCTCTTGGACTTGCTAAGAAAACTCAGCCCAAGTCTCCACACTCACAGCTGCCCCATCAAACCACATGCCTGGCATGCTCCTATTCAATAACCTCCCACGGTTCCTCCCACTCACTAGGCCAAGCCCCTTACCTGCCTGCCTGCATGGGTCACTGTGAGCAGAGGCCTTGGTTTACTAGGTGTGCTATATGCCAGGGCCTTGCTAAGTGCTTTATTTTTTTGTTTGTTTATTTTTTTGAGACAGAATTTCACTCTTGTTGCCCAGGCTGGAGTGCAATGGCACAATCTCGGCTCACCACAAGCAACCTCCACCTCCCAGGTACAAATGATTCTCCTGCCCCAGCCTCCTGAGTAGCTGGGATTATAGGTGTGTGCCACCGTGTCTGGCTAATTTTGTATTTTTAGTAGAGACGGGGTTTCTCCATATTGGTCAGGCTGGTCTCGAACTCCTGACCTCAGGTGATCCACCAGCCTCAGCCTCCCAAAGTGCTGGGATTACAGGCACGAGTCACTGCACCTGGCACTAAGTGCTTTATGGACATTTCCTCATTCAACCTCACAGTAACCCTGTGAGGCAGGTACTATCACTGGCCCATTTCTACAGATGAGAAAATTGAGGCTCAGAGAGGTTATGTTACTCGTCCACAGTCTCACAGCCAAGCAGCAGGCAAGGATTCATGCCCATGCCTGCCTGACCCCAAGCCCAGATTCTTAACCACTGTGCCATGTGGCCTCCTCAAATGCTCCCTGCCACCCTCAGAACCCTGGGGCCACCTCAACCCTTCTCCATACAGGAGGGGAAACCAAGGCAAAGAGCTCTGTTGGTAGCAGAGCCAGGATAAGGCCTGAACCTCCACCCCACCCTTCCGCCCCCAACCTTGCCTACCCCAGAAGGAACTCCCTGTCAGGAGGCATGCCAGGCAGAAAGGCTAGGACCATCACAGTGACAATGAGGCTTCAGAATCTGCCTTTTTCCTCGTCCAAAAGGAAGAGAAAAGCAGAGGGAGGTTTGCAGAGAGAGAAAAGGACATGAAGGGACCAGGAAACATTTGTTCTCACAGAACAGACTCCTAGCATTGGGGCCCCTCACACAACCCCTGTTGCTGTTCCTGACAGCAACAGGAACATGCAGGACCCAGCACCCATGTGCACCATGCCCCTCCCCCACCAGCATAGGCCCCACCCCAGCACAGCTGACCCCAAATCTTAATTGCTCTTCCCAAACCTGCTTGTCCCACAGCCTTCTCTGTCTTGGTAAATAGCAATACTGTCCAACTGTCCTTCCAGTTCCTCAAGCCAGAAACCTTGCGGTCAACACTCTATTCTCACACCCCACATCTAATCCATCAGCAAATCCCATCAGCTCATCCTGCAAAATAAATCCAGAACCAACCCCTGGTTGCTCCCCCGCCGTCCCCACCCACCACTGACTCGCCCAACCTCTCTCGTGGCAAGACTGCAGCAGCCTCCCAGCTAGTCATCCTGCGTCCACCCTCACCCCCAGCAGTCTCTCTAAAATGTGTACCCAAACCAGTCAGTCCTCACATCGGGCCCGCCAGCAGCTTCCCCTCCACTCAGACTCAAACAACAAAGTCCTCCCCATGGCCAAGAGGCCCTACCTGTCTCCACATGCCCTCTGGCCCCTCTCCTCCACCATCCTCTCATTCTTTCAGCCCTGCCTCTGGCCACCCATGCCCTCCAGTTCCAGCGCCTTTGCCCTGCAGCTCCCTCTGCCTGGAAAATTCTTCCCTCAATTTCCCGTGGGCCACCCTCCCGGAGTCTACTGCCCCTCACCAGGGACCATCCTGACCACCTGACATGGCTGGGTCACTCCCCCAAATCACACTCTTGACCCACAAGCCAGTTTTATTTTTCTTCCAGGCACATCTCACCACCTGACAGTGAGCTTGTTGGGCTGTTCATTTCATCCCACCACTCAAATGTCAGCCCCACGTCCAAAACAGGGTCTCCATGTGTTTTGTTCACTGCTGCATCCCAGTTCTAGAAAAGAGCCTGGACCAAAGTAGATGTTTAATACAAATATACTGAATGAGGGACTATTGTCTCCCTCATCTGAACACACAACTTTAGGCTTACACAGCCCCTACAGACCAGGGGCTAGAGGCTGATACAAGACTCAACCTGGGCCAGCTAAAACCCTGAGGGTTTTCGCCTGGCCAGTTCCCAGCCAAATTCCCAGTCCTGTTCTAGTCCAATTGACTGCTTGGACCAATGGATGACAAGACTTTACGTTTGTCCCTGTCCGGTGCCTTTTCCTCTCCTTTTGGCCATGAGGGAGAACTTCTGAGTCCTGACAGTTGGGCTGCCAGAGGGAATGTGGACTGGACCGCCGCCACCCACCTTCATGGCCTTTCCAGCATCCATCCAAGGCTGCCTACCCCATGCTCCCAGCAAGAGGAGGCAGAGGAGGGAGGCTGGTGCTACGCTTGCCCTTTTCCTGTGGTCAGCAGGAGGACTATCAGAAGGAAGCTTTGTTCTCAGAATGAAGAGCACGAAGCCCAGTGTCAGGCGGAAGCGGGCACAGAGGCAGCTGTCCCATCAGATAGTTTAAGGAAAGACAAAACAACAACAACAAAAAATGGGATGGAGAATGTTTGAGGGGTAATTTGCACACCCAACCGGTTTCATGCCTCCGGGGTGGCTGTGACGATGGTTCATTTTTCCAGGCTCTAACTAGGTCGTCATAGACAATCAGATGATTGTCCCAGCTAGATGATCTGCCACTGCCCCTGCAGAGGGAGGTGGAGATGGAAGAGTGTGGCCTTGCCTGGCATTGGAAGACCTGGGGTCCCAGCCCAGCTTTCCACCCACTCAAGTGACATTAGGAGAGTGTCTTCCCTCTATGTACCTCAGTTTACCCGGCTGTAAATGGCTTGTTCATGCCTGCACTTGATGTTTCAGCCTGCCTGCCACAGGACCACACAGCAGGAGAGCCCCTCAGCCTGTGGCCAGGTCACTGGGCCACCCAGGCCAGGCTTTCCCTGTGGGGCCTGATACCAGGGGCACAGCACTTGCCCACTTTGAGCCAGGCTTTCAGTCTGCCTCCTCTCCTGACCTGTTCCCTAATGTGAATGTGAAACTCCTCTGGGCCTGGCTAGGGTGGGGCCAGGACTGGCAGCCCTCACCCCACCCAGACACTGGCACCTGCCCCAATCCACTCTGTGTTATCCTCTCCAAGGATAGCTCACATTGCACTCAGCCACGACAACTGGGGAAGCCCAGAACATTGGCACAGGGGGCAAAAGAGTAGCCCAGAGAGAGAAAGGGGCATGGTTAATGTCGCCCAGCACAACAGCCACCCAAGGCTCCTCCCTACCAGCCCTGGGCTCCATGCACTAAGACAGTCCTTAAAGAGTGGTCTATAGACCCCCTGGTCTGAATGTTCTCAGGATGGGGAGGCTACACCCTAGAATGAAAGAATCAGAGCAGGAGGCAGCGGGTGGGGGCAGCAATCTGCATGCATTTTTGCAAGCTTCCCAGGTTTTTCCTGTAGCCAGAACAATTGCAACCTCTCAGCTAAGACCTCTTCCAGGAGAAGACATCTTAGCAGGCCCCAGGGAATACTTAAGATTTCAATTGAATGAGTTAAATAAACCTTGACGGGACAGACAGTTGGACAAGGGAGCTGTCGGATAAAGCAACATACTCTAGGAGGAGAAAGCACAGAGAGGCCCAATGGAGAAGAAGCCCAGGCCAGTAAACATCTGAACTGGTCCACACCCCTCTTCACCCTGCTGGCCTCAGCACACAGAGGTCTGGACCTGATATCCTCTGAAGGCTGCTGAGCACAGTCCTCCCCTCCCTAAACTCCTCCAAGCCCACCATGAGAGTAAGACCTGGTGACAGCTGCAGGTGGATGCTCCTCTCCTTGGTTACACTGCAGGGTGGGGCCCGCCCTTTCAGGGACTGTTATCTGCAGCTTAAGAAGCCGCCTGGGTCAGTGGCTACGCAGGCAGAGCTTATCTTGGGGGAGGATTCGAGGGTCACAGAGCAGGCTGACCCAGAGGCCTCTAGCAAATGGAACCTTCACAGCTGGAGGGATAGACCATGGCCACACCTGCTTTCACACAGGAAGCACTTGTTATGCTCCTACTGGGGAAACCGTCCTGAGCCTAAGCATGATGCTCCAATGCTTCCATGCTTCGAGGGACACAAAGGTGATTCAGCCCACAGCCCTTACACCCGCTGCCTTAGAAGAGCCCACAAAGGAACAAGGTAGGAGAGAAAGTGGTTCATAGCTTAAGGACAGGGTTGCAAACTCAGATGCCTCCAGTGACCAGAAAGATCATGTAAGCATATGAAATGGCTGGCTGGGGATGGGGTGAAGTGTACATGCCTCACCTCCAGCAATGACCCCTGGAGAATGTAGGCTCAAGGTTTTCCTGTCTTCCAATTTTTGAAATAAAGCCAGAAGTCTGAGTTTTTATGTAAAACCTCTGGTTGGCAACCAGCTCAATATTTGGCATGGACCAAACAAAATCTGCCCATAGGGCAAATGTGGCCTGCCAGTTTGTGACCTCTGTTTTCTTAAAAGGGACAGAGAACACACTGTGGAGCTCAGTAGAGGCCAACTTCCCTGCAGCTGAGGTACCTTGGAAGGCTTCCTGGAAGAGAAGGCATTGGTGCTGGGCTGCAAGGATGGAGAAGGCTCTTCTGGGGAAGGAATCCTGGATAGGGAGTGGGGTGTACCTCTAGAACTTCAGAGGCCATAGGCAGGAACATCCTGTCCCTACAACCTGGCAGGCTGGACCAAGAGCCCAAGTCATCTAGACTCCTGTGTTTCCTCCCCAAAAAGGAGGCATGAAGCAGGCATAGAGGTATCAGTTTAGTGCTGTCCCCAGGTAGCGGGAGGAGGGGCCGCCAGCCCAGCAAACCTCTGGACTAAACTAAATCAATTGGTGGCAGAATAGCAAGGGTCCAATTTCATCCCTGGAGCTTGAGGAACAGGTCAGCTAACGACAGCTCCGTGGGGGGAAGGGAGAGAAAGAGACAATGGAGGGACAAAAGGAGGTTGAGAATCGTGCCCTGCCTGGCCAGACCCGGCTGGTTACATAACCCTGCCTCAGGACAAAGCCAGGGAGGGCCTGGGCTAGGGAGTCCCAGAATGCAGAAAGGGTTTCCCCTACCTCCCCTGCCCACCCCTGCTCTCTAAGCTGGTCCTGCAGCTCCTAGAAAGCCCAGCACAGAGTGCGGAGCCAGGGGTGGAGACTAAGACCCCAGGATCAGACACTTACAAGATCACTCAGCAAATTCATAGCAGAGCTAGAACTACCAACAGCAAACTTTTACCAAATGATTACTTTGTACCAAGCACGAGGTAAGTCCTTTACAAACATTAACTTACCTAAAAGTCTAACTATAACACCATGAGATAAATACTGTTATTGCCATTTTACTGAGGAAGCACAGACAAAGTAACTTACCCAATGTCACACAGCTCCTAAGTGGAGGTGCCAGCTCAGAAGCCAACAGCCCGTCTCCAAGACCACACCCTGACCCAGGATGCTACACTGCCACCAGGCTACTTTCTATTTGCACCACGCTGCCACCATTTCTCAAGCCCGCAGTGCACACGGCCCCGTCAGCACTCCACAGGGACACCCAGCCTTCTGATGATCTGATGAAACCAACAAACTCTTTCTTCAGAAAAAGAAAACACAGAAATGCCTACAACTCACTGCACCTTTGGGGGCTCATGGACCCCTGCACTGGTGGGAATGGACAGGTCACGATCACAGGATACTCAAGAGACAGGAGGTAGCAGAGGGAGCCGACTCCCTCAGGTCCCCTGGGCCTCCTCATATCAGCTTTCATCCACAGGCGTGGGCATGGATCGGTGCTCAGGGCCTCGTCATCCCTTCGGGGCCGGGAGAACAGAATGAATCACGGCACACAATGGCCTGCGCCTCTGTATCCACTGGGTGTGACTCACAGCTCCCAGCTGCTGGGCAGACGGTGCACAGCTGGGCCTGGCATCTGGATGAGGGTGGCATTACCAGGTGTACCATCTCAGCCTTCTCCCCACCAGTGGGCTCATCTTGCCCAAGACCAGACCTGGCCTTATCCTATCCCCAGCAGCAATGAGCATTTTGAAGGGAACCCCTCATCAGTGACCGCCCAGCCCCCATGCCAGCCAGGTCCCAGGAGGTGGTAAGTCAAGATGGACAGCCTCTTGCAACACATAGGAAGATCCAAGACCTCGGCTGCCTCACTGTGTGACCTCAAGCAGGCCCCCCACCTCTCAGCCTCCATTTCACCAACTATAAAGTGAGGAGACTACTTGATCGAGTCCTTCCCAGCTCCAAAGCCCTGAATCTATAAAAACAGCACCTAATGGCCAGGCGTGGTAGCTCATGCCTGCAATCCCAGCACTTTGGGAGGCCAAAGCAGGCAGATCACCTGAGGTCAGGAGTTCGAGACCAGCCTGGTCAATATGGTGAAACCCCGTCTCTACTAAAAATACAAAAAAAATTTAGCTGGGTATGGTGGCACACACCAGTAATCCCAGCTATTCGGGAGGCCGAGGCAGGAGAATCGCTTGAACCCGGGAGATGGAGGCTGCAGTGAGCCAAGATCGCGCCACTGCACTCCAGCCTGGGCAACAGAGCAGACTCTGTCTCAAAAAAATATAAAAATTTAAAAAAACAAAAAAACAGCATCTGACAAGCTTCACAGAGTGCTGGGATCCTGCCTTCAGAAAGTTACACAAACATCCTTCAGAGAAACAAAAGTCAAACTTAAAGCCTGTATTTTTTTTTTCTAAGGATATCAAGAAGCCCTTTTTAACTTCCCTCATCCCACCTCCATTGTTCCAAATATCCTCTCAGGGCCCAGAAAATACATTTGGTTTCCGTCTGGGGTTTGGGCTTCTTGGTGCTCTTCCTCTTGGAAGTTGCCCCACCCCTTCTTGGCAGTGTCTTCACAAGGCACCTTCATCTCTACCCCCAGCACTGCTCTGGGCCACCCTGAGGGCGACAGCTACTCCGCCTGCCAAAGAAGGGGTGGGGTAGGGACAGGTTTTGGGAAACAAACCCCTTCCTGGTTGGAACTGAAACAATTCTGGATTCTGGCCTCAACAGTAATTCTGACCCCCTGTGTGGCCGTGGGTGAGTCCCTGCTCCACTAGGCCTCAATCCCCTAAATGTGAAGTGAAGGGGTTCCTGTGTCAGACAAAGACTGCCCACCCTTGGGCTCCTGGGCAGCAGCTTGGGGACACCGAGGCACGAAAAGACAGCAGAGTGGACAGTGGGCTCTGATCTTGAATCTCACATCCCCTCTTGTTAGAACCAAAGGAGATCTACTCTTTTTGCTGTTTGAGACAGGGTCTCACTATGTTGTCCAGGCTGGTCTTGAACTCCTGGGCTTAAGCAACCCTCCTACCTCAGCCTCCCGAGTAGCTGGGATTTCTGGCACATGCCACCATGCCCAGTTAGAGATCCACTTTCATCTCTCTGATTTGTTCTTTTGCCCTAGCAGTGGAACCTTGAACTCACTACTGAATCTCTGAGCCTCAGACAGCCCATCCACAAAACAGGAGAACAACAATGTCTGCAGTGGAAGCCCCAGCTTGGAGGCTGGAGCCCTAACCACCCCAACACAATCCCATCCACCTTCCTCCAAAGCATAATTCACTCATTTGACAAAATATATATTTGGGGACATCTTTAGAAAATCACCGTAAGTTGTGCCTATGATACAAACACTCCATGACAATCCCCTACTGCTCTCCTTCCAATGAGATCATGCCTTTAAGCACTCTATATATCTCCACAGAATTCTTAGATCTATCCTTTTATAGCTGTGTGGCCTCAGTATTTTCATCTATTAAGTGGGGACAGTAATAGTGATGATACTGCCTACCTATAGGATTGTCCTGGGGATTGCTTCTGATGAGGTGACATGGAAGTGCCCAGCAAGCATTTATAAGCTGTCAATAAATGTGAGCAGCAATTATGATCATCATCATTAAAATTATTAAGGCCGGGCACGGTGGCTCATGCCTGTAATCCCAGCACTTTGGGAGGCCGAGGCGGGCAGATCACTCGAGGTCAGGAGTTCGAGAACAGCCTGACCAAAGTGATGAAACCCCGTCTCTACTAAAAATACAAAAATTAGCCGGGCGTGGTAGCAGGCGCCTGTAATCCCAGCTACTCAAGAGGCTGAGACAGAAGAATTGCTTGAACCCGGGAGGCAGAGGTTGCAATGAGCCCAGATCGCGCCATTGCACTCTAGCCTGGGCAACAAAAGTGAAACTCCATCACAAAAAAAAATAAAAAATAAAAAAATAAAATTATTAGGCCGGGTGCAGTGGCTCACGCCTGTAATCCCAACACTTTGGGAGGCCGAGGCAGGTGGATCATGAGGTCAGGAGTTCAAGACCAGCCTGGCCAATATGGCAAAATGCTGTCTCTAGTAAAAATACAAAAATTAGCTGGGCGTGGTGGCGTGTGCCTGTAGTCCCGGCTACTCGGGAGGCTGAGACAGAAGAATCACTTGAACCCAGTAGGCAGAGGTTGCAGTGAGCTGAGATCGTGCCACTGCACTCTAGACTGAGTGACAGAGCAAGACTCCGTCTCAAAAAAAAAAAAAAAATTATTGAGGCCGGGCGCGGTAGCTCAGGCCTGTAATCCCAGCACTTTGGGAGGCCAAGGTAGGTGGATCACTTGAGGTCGGGAGTTCGAGACCAGCCTGGCCAACATGGTGAAACCCCGTCTCTACTAAAAATACAAAAATTAGCCAGGTGTGGTGGCACACATCTGTAATCTCAGCTACTTGGGAGGCTGAGGCAGGAGAATCGCTTGAACCTGAGAGGCAGAGGTTGTAGTGAGCCAAGATCACTGCATTCCAGCCTGGGCAACAGAGTGAGACTCTGAAAAAAAAAGGAAAGAAGAAAGAAAGAAAAGAAAGAAAAGAAAGAAAAGAAAAGAAAAGAAAAGAAAGAAAGAAAGAAAGAAAGAGAAAGGAAAAGAAAAGAAAAGAAAAGAAAAGAGAGAAAGAAAGAAAGAAAAAGAAATTATTGAGATGCTGACTGGGTGCGGTGGCTCATGCCTGTAATCCCAACACTTTGGGAGGCCAAGGTGGGAGGGTCGCTTGAGTTCAGTTGGATTCCAGCCTGCACAACATGGTAAAACCCCATCTCTACAAAAAATACACACAAATAAATAGCTGAGCGTGGTGGTGCACACCTATAGTCCCAGCTACTCAGGAGGCTGAAGTGGGAGGATCCTTTGAACCTGGGAGGCAGAGGTTGCCGTGAGCCAAGATCGCACCACTGCATTCCAGTCTCAGTGACAGAGTGAGACCCCGTCTCAAAAAAAAAAGGAAAAAAATTATTGAGATGCTTAAAACCACTGGATTGATAGCAGTTAAGGCCACTCAGCCCCCTCAGACTACATATGGCCATTGTAATCGCATATGTGTGCACCCACACCACACACACGTGTGCATATACACACCTAAGCACACTATACTTTTTTTTTTTTTGAGATGGAGTCTTGCTCTGTTGCCCAGGCTGGAGTGCAGTGGCAGAATCACGGCTCACTGCAACCTCCACCTCCCAGTTTCAAGCGATTCTCCTGTCTCAGCTTCCCAAGTAGCTGGGATTACAGGCACCCATCACCATGCCCAGCTAATTTTTGTATTTCAGTAGAGATGGGGTTTCACCATGTTGGCCAGGCTGGTCTCAAACTCCTGACCTCAGGTGATCCACCCGTTTTGGCCTCCCAAAGTGCTGAGATTACAGGCATGAGCCACCACGCCCGGCCCTAAGCACACTATTCTTTAAGGCAGAGCCCATGCTCTCTGCCCAACCCCTGCCCTGGCCCCAGCCCCAGAAGAGAGCTGCCATGTCTCTGGCACCCAGGCTTGCAACCCACAAAATCTCCCCTGCTCTTCCAGCTCCCCAATCCTGCCTTCCTCATGTTGCCCCAGCACTGGCTCCTATAATCATGTTGGGGTTCTGTTGTATCCCATCATTGTGTCACGAGATTGTTTCCTGGGGGATAGGGAGCTGTTACAAGATGGGGGCTCCTTGAAAACAGGGTGGTGAGAACCTGGGCTTTACTCTGGGTCCCCCACATCTGCTGGGTGACTGAATAGGCTGAAAACAAGAGAGCCCAAGGAAACAGGCATCAGTTTTTTTTTTTAATGATCTATCCTAGTATTTCTTAAAATTCAGCACGCGGCCAGGTGCGGTGGCTCATGCCTGCAATCCCAGCACTTTGGGAGGTCGAGGTGGGCAGATCACCTGAGGTCAGGAGTTCGAGACCAGCCTGGCCAACATGGTGGAACCCTGTCTCTATTAAAAATACAAAAATTAGCTGGGCATGGTGGCAGGCATCTGTAATCCCAGCTACTTGGGAGGCTGAGATGGGAGAATCACTTGAACCTGGGAGGCAGAGGTTGCAGTGAGCCGAGATCACACCATTGCACTCCAGCCTGGGCAGCAAGAACAAAACTTTGCCTCAAAAAAAAAAAAAAAAAAAAAAAAAAAAATTCAGCATGCATTAGAATCAGCGGGAAGGTTCTTAAAACAGATTGCTGAATCCCACCCTCCAGGATATCTAATTCAGCAGGTCCAGTATAGAGCTAGATAATCTGCACTTCTAACAAGTTCCCAGGTAACGCTGACGCTACTGATCCAGAACCCAACTTTCAGAACCACTGACTTAGCCTGCAGGTGGATCAGGAAGAGCTTCCATGAATAGATGGTGCTTACACTCACAGAAGCATTAGCAGGAGTTGCCCGGGCATAAGGAGAGGGGGAGGGAATGAATGCAGGCAGAGGATGCAGCATGAGTAAAGGCCCTGCTATGACAACACTCATTTCTCCTCATCTGGCCTCTGCCTGGGCAGGTCATACTTGCAAGGCTGGTGGTGTAAACCAGAGGTGGCTGCCGTGCAGCGATGACTATAGCAAACCTCCACCTAATGCCACCCTGGGACCTGCCCAGACAGGCCGATCCCTTGGACAGCCTAGGATGATAAAAATCCAAGCCCTCCCTCGTGGAGCCAGACCTCAGGTCTGAACGAGGCCATCCCCACCACTTCTTCATCACATGAGCTCCAGGATTCTGCTTCCACCTCCAGAAACAGGGAGCTCGCTCCCTGCAGACACAATCCCTTCCATCTTGGCTTGCTCTAATTTTTTTTTTAAGTCTCCTCATTACACTGAGTTGAAGTCAGCCTCTCCTGGCCCATCTACCCATTGGATTTGCCCTCCAGCACCTCACACAAGTCTACCTCCTCTGGCCAGAGCAACCCCTCAGAAAGCAGCGGGCCCTGACTGTAATCCCCTGGGACTAAACTTCTCCAGGCTGGCCACCTACCTCTCTAAGCCTTGCTTGCTACATCTGCTAAAAGGGAATAATAATAGTGCCTATCTCTCATTGCTGTTGTGAGGATTAAATGAACTCCTTAGTTAATAATATCAACTACAATAATAACGATAATTCACATAGATTGGGCTCACAGTGTGTTATCTTTCTAAATCCTGTCAGATGGGGATAATTATCATCCCCTTTGTACAGAGGAAGAGCTAAACAGCTTGCCCAAGGTCTCACACATAGGAAGCAGCCCAGCAGGGACCTGAACACAGGCCACCTGGCTCCAGAGCCTGGCTCTCAACCTTTGCTCTGTCTGGATCTTCTAGTCACCTGCCCCAAGACCAAGCCCATGTCACCTGTCTCTGCCGCCATCCTCTCCCCCTTCCCAGGCAAAGTGAGACTGGGTGGGAGGCCTCCAAAAGCTCCAGCCCATGCAGTCTGGGGTACGGGTCCCTGGTTACGAGGACAGCCACAGGGCCGCCAGCCCAGCGGGACCTTCTCAGCCAGCCCAATTTATCTGGTGTAATCTTTAGACATCCTTCAACATGGTCACCAGGGAGGAGATTGAGCCCATGGAACTTGAGCACCTTAGGCTTGATGACAGGAAGGAAGAAGAAAAACAGAGGCATAACAAAGAAAAGAAATCCTGTCCAGCTTCCTAGATGAAACCAGATGTTCCCACATACCATGCAAATTGCTCTATCTCTCCAGGCCTCAGTTTCCTCATCTGCACATGCCATCTCAGGCCATTAGGCAGAAAGTTCAGAAACTCAAATTCCAGGGATTCTTTCTCTCATCTCTAAAAGGACAGATCCCCTCTAGCTACAAACAATAATTATAACAACTGTTATCTTTGAACAGCTTCTACTTACTGCACACTTACTATGTCAAAGCACTGATTTCCTTAACCTCCCTAACAAAACAGAACTATTATTATCCCCATTGTGAAGTTGAGGAAACTGATGTCCAGGGAAATTTAGGTAATTTACCCTAGATCATGCAGCTAGTAGTAGCAGAATGGTGATTTGAACCCAGGACTTTTGATTCCACTCTACAACACTGCCCACCCCCATTGGAAAGCGGTCATGTGCAGCCCCTGCCTCCAGAGTACAGAGCCTAGAGGAGATAAGACTTGTCTTTAGGAAGCTAGAGTTCAAAGCTAAGAGCTGAAGGGCCCATGAGAGGTCCAGGTAACAGGTTCTACACATGTAAAGGAGGGAGCAGGCAATGCCAGCTCTGGAGAATTAGGGATGGCTACATGGAAGAGGTGACCCTGGAGCTGTGTACTGGTAGGGAGGATTTTAGGGTGAGCAAGGGGAAGTGACTGGAGTGCAGCATTTTCACCATGAGCAGATTTGTAGAGGTAGGAGGGGCCAGGAGCACAGCCAGAGAGAGGGAAAGAGGCCAGTTCTGCTTGAGAGTTGAGGGGGAGTGGGAGAGGGGGCCCTGCAGTCACACAGCAGGCACTTCCCATACATTGCCCTCAAATAAACAAATGCTCATTCGTCATGCACATTTTAAAATTAGATTAATCCAATCTGTATTCAAGAAACAAGGTGAGTAGAAATAAAAGGGCCAGGAGGCAACTTAGCACAAACTCTCCTCCATCTAGATAAGGATTTTGATGGCAAATTGGCTTTAGCCCTGAGGCCGCAGGGTCCAGGACCGCTGCCCCCAAACATCCACCTCTTCCACTGAGCTCCACACCTCCAAGACAGAAGCTGTGAGGCAGAGCTTTGTAAGAGCCCCACAGACAGAGAAAGCAACTTTGCTGGTGACCCCCAGAAACCAAGAGAGCCTCCTTTAACCTCCACTGCAGGGAAGGAGGGGAACAACCCCCGCCTGCGTCTTCACTTTCAAATCCACAAACTCACCAGCCCTTTTGCCCTAAGCCCTACTGATTCAGCCTGATTCATGATTTAGCCTTATTTCTTCACAGGTGAGGAAAAAGAGACTGACCCCATTTCACAGATGAGAAATGGAAGCAGAGGGTTCAAATCCTCTGTGAAAGTACAGTCCTTAGCCCAGCTCTGGCCACTGCTCCAGACATCCCCAAGGGGCCCCTTGACAGTCAGCTGGGCTGAGTGTATTCCAAACGGCAAGGACTCTCCCAGTGGAGCTCTGCAGGCCAGGCCATATGGAACTCCCCAGGACGTGCAGGAAGGGCAGCTCCAAAGCTATGAGAAAACAGAGGGTGGAGGTGGGCCAGGCACCATCCAAATGCTGAGATTCTTGGGTGAAAAGGGAACTGAGAGTGGCCACCCAGGCCTGCCCCTGCTGATGCATCCTCCTGCCGCCTCTGCAGCTCTCCAGGCTCTTTGCATACCTTCAGCCATGCTGTTCTCGCCTTCTTTCTGGGCAGCTTACTTCCGGACTAGCTTCCTTGGAGCTGTCACCCTTGTTGCTTTCTCCATCCTCAGGAACCCTGAAGGACAAGACTATGCCCCCTACCTGTAGAGGGCCTTTCAGGGATTTGAAAGCAGTAATATTGCCCCTTAAGGGTTATTCCCCAAACCTTAAAACCACCTGTGACGACCCCAAATGCCAAGACAGCTACAAAGTCCTGCAGCTTCCCCCTCCTTCCCTGTCAGTCCGCTGCCTGAGTCAGCCTGTGGTCAGCTTTCTGCAGGACCATGATGAGCGCAATCTCTGGCCTGGTCTTAACTCTGCCAGTCTTGCTCCCATCTTTGGTCAAAAGACCCCTGAGAAGCAACACAGTAAGGCAGAAATAGTTCAGGCCTGGGTTCAAATTCCAGCTCTATAAGTGACTCCACCCCTCTGAGCCTCTATTTCCTCATCTGAAAATGGGGCAGGGATAGGGGACCAGCAGCAGCAGCTACTTTGCAGAGTATTGTGATATTTCAATGGGGTGTCTGTAAAGAGCCTGGCATGGTGCCTGACACAAGGCACAGGAACAGGCATCGAGTCAATGAGCTACTTACAACCCTCTGTCCTCTCTATAGGCTACAGAATAAAATCCAAACTCCTGAGCAGGGCACTGCAGGCTCCCCATGACCTAATCTTGTCTCCTATTGTCCCATTTCCCGCAGTCTGCACCCTCGAAAACACTTCCTCCTCCAGGAGGCCTTGCTGACATTAATAAGCAGAAAGCGTTTCCTTCCACTGACCTTCCAAAACCCATCTATAACTGATCAGATCCTGCCCCATAGCCATCATTTGAATCCTTGTCTTCTGTCCTCCATCAGAACAGCCTCTCCTGAATCCAGCAGGACTGCACCCCATTTCATGTCCCCTGTCACCCTCAGCCACAGACATTTTCCATACACATTTCACAAATTACCCTAATGTTCCATTTCAAGTAAAGAATGTCCAAGTCCTCCAAACAGTCCAGATATTTCAAGCCATACTCAAATCCAAATTCCAGGCCAGTAGAAGTCGGCCCAGCCTCCAGAGACTTGCAGGCCTGGCTTTGGTCCCAAAGCATGGAAGGGCGGCCAAAGCACAGCCAAGCAGGTCCAAAGCCTAGGGCAGAGAGAGCTCTGGGCTGCCTAGACCAGAGCCCATTTGTGAGTTTGTCAGACGCCAACCCCCAGCCTATGATCTTAAATTCTTGACCACATCCTCAACTTGTGATTACAAAACTGTTCGTCGCATACCTCCTTGCGACAGGAGGCTCACTATCCATGTTCTCTTGCTTGCTGGGGCCCTCCCTTTACTTGTTGATTCCCCCAGAGGCCTTTCCTCTTGCTCTGACCACAATGACAAGGACAGTCTGACCATATGACGAGTCAGCCTTCCAACTCCTCCATTCAATGCCCTGCTTTTCTGAGTCCCCTCAATGTCCAGCAAAGCAACGGAATTTCCACATTTATTCCTACAAGCTGAACTATCAGCCCAGGAGGGCCCCCTATTTCCAGGGCCCTCAAAAAGCCTACAAACCCTGCAAAACCCAGACACAGTGCTGGAACACCCCTCGGAGCAGGCTGAAATGCACAAACTTTCCTTCCCCAAGAACTTCTCTCATTATCTACCCCCACCCACCACACTCTCTCTCAGCCCTAGATTTAAGATGTTGTTAATTAAATTGCAATTTGTTTTCCATTTTTAAAGTAATTACTCAAGGACCTCAATCAGAGCCCGATCAGTACTCATAAGATGTCACCCCCACCAAATGATTGGGCCAACCCAGGGTGTGAAAGCCAGCAGAAATCTAAGCCACTTCACGTATTCACTTGTGGGATATTTACTGAGGGCCTACAGGGTGCCCAATACTGAGCTAGCTAGGCTCAGGGACCTGTACACACATGCATTCTCCATTAGGGTTCTGCAATCCTGACACTATTACTATCCTCAAGGACTCTGCGCATCCAGACCCGTCTATTAGTTAGCAATGAGAACCCCTGCCATGGCCAAGTTACACAAGAACACCCTTGCCCTACCTCTGCCCCCTGCTGATCTGAAAGTAACCTGGTCTGAAAGAGAAGTAAAGATGTGGCTGTCCCTGGGTGCTAGGGAGAGAGGCCTGTTGACAAAGCCACCAGCTGTCTCCAGTCAGAGCCAGGGAGACAGGCTTCTCCCTGCACCATCCGCACTGCCATAGACACAGCAGCCAGCAACAGCACTTGGACCATTACGGAGTTCCAGGCCCAGTCTCCAACTGACCTCCCTCCTGCTCCAGCTGCCCATGCTAACAAGAGCCAGGGCACAAGACCTCACTTGGAACAAGTACCAGGCAGAAGAGAGCATTACCTGCCGGTGGGGAAAATGGGGAAGAGGACAGATGTCCCCATAATTTCAATTGAAAATGAAACTGTACAGGGCCAAAGTTGTAAAAAAAAAAAAAAAAAAAAAAGGAGAAATAAACTGTGAGCTGTCACAGCAAGACACTCTAGAGATCTGTGGCTGAGACACAGGCTGAGAGAGGGAGGTAAAATCCAAGCTCCACCACTTTCTATCTGTGTGACCTTTACAACCCTGCGCCTCAGTTTGCCCCTCCGTAAAATGTGGTTAATAGTAATGCGGGAGAATTAAATGAGAGAATGTATGTAAAGCAATGAATTAGTCCAGCGCCCTAACACACAGTAAACGTGAAATGTACTTGTTGAATATAAGCATGACACCATTTACTGAAATACCACACACTCCTCTCATCCTCATTCTAGCAAATACCATTCTCCCCATTTTACAGGTGAAGAAACTGAGGCTAGGGGAAGGTAAGGAACCCACTCAAGGTCACACCGCTGGAAACTGACAAACAGCCAGGTCGCTCTGAAGAGACCTGGGGGCAAAACTGCCCGCAGGCCATTCTGAAAGCTCTCCTGGGTGGGGAGGGCAACAATGGGCGTTCAGGGGGTGGGGCTCTGTATTCCCTTAGCCTCGCAGGGCACACCGGGCTGCTCGAATCTGCAAAAAGCCAAGTGGCCAGTCCCCAGATTCCCGGCCGGTCCTAGAGCCCACCCGTCCCACCGGCGCCCCCTCCTCACCCCTGTCCCAGGGCGTTAAAGAGCTGCGTGCAAAGGGAGAACTTCTTGCTCCCGAGACCCTGAGGGAGGAGGGGAGTTAGACAGCAGGCCGCTCAGAGCCCGCAGAAAACCGGTCCGGCTGCCTCAGCCTTCGCGAAGCCAGGACCCGGCCTCTAACCCCCTCCCTCGCTAGACAAAAGTTTCCCCTGTTCGGGAGCAGGGGAGGGGGAGGGGGCATTCCTCGTGAGTGACATTATCCGTGACCTACAGCTGCCGCGCTGCCCTCGCCCGCACCCCAGCCTGCCCCCGGCCCCGCGCGGCCCCCTACCCTTTGTCCTCCCACCCCCGCGCGCGGGGCCCGGCCGACTCCACCCGCCCGCCCGGCGCCCGCCCGCACCAAACTTGCGCCGGCGGCCGCTGGGGGCCCCGCGCGGCCTGCACGCCGGGCTCGGGCCCCACCGGCTGGGCGACAGGGGACTGGCAGGCCCGGGCCCTCTCGGCCTCTTACCTGCCACGGCTGGGGCGCCACTCGGGGGAAGGGGCGCTCCCGGCGAGGAGCGGGACGCCTGGGTCCCCCGGGCCGTGCGTGCGCCTCCGGGCTCCGGCCCGGGCCAGGGTTAACCCCTTCGCGGCCGCCTCCCGCCGCTCCCACCCCCGCTCCACGCCGCCGCCGCCGCCTCCTCCCGCCCGCTCTCCTCCCCCTCCCGCTCCCTCCCGGTGCCCAGCCCCCAGTCCCGGCCCGGCGCTGCGCCGGGGCAGCTCGCAGCCTCCCCCTCGTCCCGCAGCGGGGAGGGGTCTCCCTGGAGACTGAAGGTTGGGGCGCGCTGCCTCGCCCCCTAGCCCAGAGGGGCGTACCCGTGCGCCGAGAGCCCCCAAGCCCGTCTCCCCTTACCTCCTCGGCCCAGCGCCTACCTCCCCGAATCGCGGCCGCTGGGAGCGGGGTTCGATCCCGTGATGCCGCGTGGGTGCCGGCCAGAGAAGAGCTCCGGAGGCCGGGGCGGCCGGCGGGCGTGCGGTGAGCGCCCCGGGGCGGGGGCCGGGGCGGGACCGAGCGCTGCTATCGGGGCTGGATTTCTCGACTTCCACCCGGATTCTCCCTCGGCCCTCCCGGCCGATTCGGTGCTGCTCGGCGACCACGTGACGCGGGCTGCCTTTGACCCCTATCTCCGAGCGGGTAGGGGGCGGGGGCCGGAGGGGGTGTCAGATGCAGGACCCACGAGGGCCGGGGCGGCTGCCCGGCGTCCCCGAGGCGGTGACCCCCGGGAAACAAAGCCCGGGGGGAAACCAACAAGTTATTCGGGGTCAGAGACGAAACAGCGCTGGGGGTCGGGAGAGGCGGCAGAGAGAATGTGGGAGACAAAGACCCGCGCCCGCGGCGGCTCCGAGGGCCCTGGGAACGCTCTGGCTGGGCTCGAGAGGGCCTCCAGGCTCTTCCACCCCTGGGCTTGTGACAGCTCTCCAGGACCTCCTGGGACAGCTCCCCGACCACCAGTGCTCTGCCAGAATGACCCCTCCTGGGCAGACCCTCCCTCCCCCAACACACACCTTTGCCCTGACTCTCGAAAACCCCTTTATCGTGATTATGTGGTTCATTTACTGGTTTCATTGTTTACTAGAATGTCATCTTTCCCAACAAGTTGTTCCCAGCAGAATCCTCTCTCCTGGCACAAAACAAGCAGATGAAGAGGTAAATGACCTTGTGCAAATCTCTTCTCCCGCTGAGCCTGCCCCCCAACCCCTGTTATTCTAGCTATCCCAAGGACTCTGCAAATTAGGCAGGATGACAGTGGTTGTTCCCGTTAAACAGATGGGAACAATGAGGCTCAGAGAGATGAGATGATTTGGCAGGTTAATGAGAGCCTAGGCTGGCACTCGGATCGGCCTGCTCCCAGTGGAGGGCTTTCTGCCACCCATGAGCCAGCCTGTAAAATGAGCAGGGTGGGGTTGGATGAGTGAATCCCTTAAGGAGCTTGTAAGGATGCAGATCACCCGGCCCTGGAGATCCTGAGTCTGGGAAACAGTGGATTGGTGGATTCCTAAGGACCTTTAGAGGCTCAAGATTATCCAACTGGGCCGGGCGCGGTGGCTCACGCCTGTAATCCCAACACTTTGGGAGGCTGAGGCGGGCGGATCACGAGGTCAGGAGTTCAAGACCAGCCTGGCCAACATGGTGAAACCTCCTCTCTACTGAAAATACAAAAATTAGCTGGGGGTGGTGGCGCATGTCTGTAATCCCAGCTACTCAGGAGACTGAGGCAGGAGAAAATCGCTTGAACCCGGGAGGTGGAGGTTGCAGTGAGCCGAGATCGTGCCACTGCACCCCAGCCTGGGTGACAGAGCAAGACTCCGTATCAAAAAAAAAAAAAAAAAAAAAATTTAGAGTATCCAATTGTAGGAACAAAGCTCAAAAAGTATACAAGGCCGGGTGTGGTGGCTCATGCCTATGACCCCAACACTTTGGGAGGTTCAGGCGGGCGGATCACTTGAGGTCAGGAGTTGGAGACCAGCCTGGCTAACATGGTGAAACCCATCTCTACTAAAAATACAAAAAAAAAAAAAAAAAAATTAGCGGGGCATGGTGGCAGGTGCCTGTAATCCCAGCTACTCAGGAGGCTGAAGCAAGAGAATCACTTGAACCAAGGAGGTGGAGGTTGCAGTGAGCCATGCCACTGCACTCCATCCTGGGTGACAGAGCAAGACTCTGTCTCAAAGAAAAAAAAAAAAAGGCTGGGAGTGGTGGCTCATGCCTATAATCCCAGCACTTTGGGAGGCCAAGGTGGTGGATCACAAGGTCAGGAGTTCAAGACTAGCCTGGCCAACATGGTGAAACCCTGTCTCTACTAAAAATACAAACATTAGCCGGGTGTGGTGGTTCGTACCTGTAATCCCAGCCACTCGGGAGCCTGAGGCAGGAGAATCACTTGAACCTGAGAGGCAGAGTTTGCAGTGGGCCGAGATCACGCCATTGCACTCCAGCCTGGGCAATAGATTGAGACTGTGTCTCAAAAAAAAAAAAAGGCCAGACATGCTGGCTCACGCCTGTAATCCCAGCACTCTGGGAGGCCGAGACGGCTGGATCACGAAGTCAGGAGATCAAGACCATCCTGTCTAACACAGTGAAACCCTGTCTCTACTAAAAATACAAAAAATTAGCCAGGCGTGGTGGCGGGTGCCTATAGTCCCAGCTACTTCGGAGGCTGAGGCAGGAGAATGGCATGAACCCGGGAGGCAGAGCTTGCAGAGAGCCTGGGTGACAGAGCAAGACTCCGACTCAAAAAAAAAAAAAAAAAAAACAGAGTGGGTGGGGTTAGATGAGTGAATCCCTTAAGAGGCTTGCTAAGGATGCAGATCGCCAGGCCCCTGGAGTCCCTGAATCTGCCGGTCTGGGGGTAAGGCTGGGGCAAATTTGGAAAACAGTGGATTGGTGGAATCCTAAGGACCTTCAGAGGCTCAAGATTATCTAACTGTAGGAACAAAGCTCAAAAAATATACAAGCCACCAGAGCAAAGCAAAGGAGGACAGAGAAGCCAAGTCAGATGCGTAAGAGTGGGACAGACTCCTGTTTCCTCCAAAAGCCAACCTCCTTGTGTTGAGGAAAGGGGCTTTCTGTCAGCCTACTCATATCACAGAGGGGGAAAGAAGCGGAGGCCTTAACAAAGTGAGATGCTGGGAGACGGGACCAAGCTTCTGACTTCCATATGTGACCATGTGACATCTTTGGACTGGGTATAGTCAGATAGGACTGGACCTGATGGTGATGGCCACAAGCCCAAACTGCAGGCCACATACAGAGATAGGCTTGTGACTTCCTAGAACATGGTCCTGTCACTGTACCAGTTTGGTGAGGGTAACCAGCATAGACCAGCAAATTCTCCTTGGTGATCTGTGTTCCTGTGCTCAGCAGTCTAAAATCCTTGAAGATGGTCTGGGTCTTTGTCATGCTAATTTCTGCCTTAGAGGGTCCCTTCCAGCTGCATGAGGCCCTGTGAGCATCTTTTCTGTGCCAGGCACTGTGCTCCTGGTAAGGCAGATGCAGAGTTGAAAGAGACGGGAGCTTGCACTCCCAAGAAGTGTCCATATTTGTTTGGAGATGACCTGCATGTCCCTCCTTATGTCCAGAGGCTGGTGGAGCTGAGTGCCTGCTGGTGAGATATAGTATAATGCTGTGGGCTGTGGCTTAAGGAAGAGAGGGGAGCCTTGTTTTTTTTTTTTTGAGACGGAGTCTCACTCTGTCACCCAGGTTGGAGTGCAATGGTGAGATCTCAGCTCGCTGTAACCTCCACCTCCTGGGTTCAAGCGATTCTCCTGCCTCAGCCTCCAGAGTAACTGGGATTACAGGTGCCTGTCACCACGCCCGGCTAATTTTTGTATTTTTATTAGAGATGGGGTTTCACCATGTTGGTCAGGCTGGTCTTGAACTCCTGACCTCAAGTGATCCACCCACCTCAGCCTCCCAAAGTGCTGGGATTACAGGCATGAGCCACTGTGCCCGGCCAGAGGGGAGCATATGAGGGAGATTTTACGGGAGGCAGCTTCTGAGCAGGGTCAGAAAGAATGGATGGGATCAGGGTGGGGAGATGGACATTCCCAGCACAAGGAACAACTCGTGCAAAGACCACGTGGAAGGCTCAGGAAAAGCAGAGTGTTGCATGGGGGAAGGGGATGGAGGAAGCAGGGAGGAAAAAATGAGCAAGAAAACTGGAGAGCTGGTCAGGAGCAGATGATGAGTGACCTTGTATGTGATAAGGTCCACGGACTAGACCTTATCCTGAGGGCCTGGCCGAATGAGCAGACAGGTGAAAGAGGTGATAAGAGTAACCTGTGGGAATGTGGAGGGGAAGGGAAGGGCCAGAAGCCAACAGGCCAGTCAGGTCAGGGAGCTGAGCTCGCTGGCTCACTAGGGGAGTGGCAGATCCATAGCATTTGGAGGCAGCCTGTGAGTTGGGGCGACTCCATGTCTCTGGCAGCCCTTGCTCATCTTCTCAGGTCTTCCGAGTTGCTCTTCACTGAGCTGGGCCCAAATCCTTCCAACTCATTGTCACCCGGAGAACCTATAAGGAGGCGAGGCCCGGGCCCACCCAGGGAGGTGGCTGCCGTGGGTCCAGGTGAAGCATGGGACCTACATTTCTAACCACGCCCTGGGAGGTTCTGAGGAAGACTGCTCTTAAGAGCCTGGCTCCTCCCTCTCCACAGGACCATCTTTGTGCTGAGGGGCCCCCCTGCCTAGACTCCATCCTCAACCCCAGGTGGCTCCCACTACCCACTTCACACCCTCGATGGCTGTCCCAAAGTCAGCTCCAACCCAACAAGTCAAAGGCTGAACTCACCAACCTGCTTCTTCTCTTCCTCCTGTGTGTCCAATTCACATGTTCAGTCCTAAAACCTGATGCTCCACTCGTCCCTACATCCCATCCATGAGCCAGTCCCATAGGTCCTATGTCCAGTTTTTTTCTCTAACCCAACCCCACTTTTCTTTCTTTTTTTTTTTTTTCTTTTTGAGATGAAGTCTTGCTCTGTTGCCCAGGCTGGAGTGCAGAGCCGCGATCTTGGTTCACTGCAACCTCCACCTCCCGAGTTCAAGCAATTCTCTGCTTCAGCCTCCCGAGTAGCTGGGACTACAGGCACCTGCCACCATGCCCGGCTAATTTTTTTGTATCTTTAGTAGAGATGGGGTTTCACCATCTTAGCCAGGCTGGTCTTGAACTCCTTATCTTGTGATCCATCCGCCTCGGCCTCCCAAAGTGCTGGGATTACAGGTGTGAGTCACTGCACCTGGCCCTCTTCTTTATCACGACCACCCTAGTCCAAGCTGCACAGGTCTCTGCCGTGACCATGTTTACAGCCTCCTCACTGTGTCTCTCCCTCTCTCTGACTCTATTGCAACCTCATCATGACCATTTCCTAATTAAAACCACCAGAATGGCCCATAGTTCCCAGGATAAATTATTTGCCTTGTCTGCCTTATTGGCTCCACCGCCCTCCGCAGTATACTCCACCTTCCCCTTTACCTAATTTCCCATTTAGAGTAGGGATGCCATAATATGCCATGAAATTAGAGTTTAAAATAAAAAAATAAATAAAATAAAGTATGGACTCAAGCCAGGCTTCCTGGGTTTGAATCCTGACTCTGCCACATATAAACTATGTGACTTTGGGCCAGTTTTTCAAACTTTCTGTGGTCAGCCCTCCTCTCTAAAGTGTAGATAATAATAGTACAACATACCTCCCAGGGCTGTTGTGAGAATTACATAAGTTAAATATGTAAAGCCCTTAGTGTGTTATCTGTTATAGGACAAGCACTGTACAGTTACAGTTGTCCCTCAGTATCCATGGGGGAATGATTCCAGGACATTTCATGGATATCAAAATGTGTGGATATCCCTGATATAAAATGGCTTAATATTTGCATATAACCTATGTACATCCTCCCATATACTTTAAATCATCTCTAGATTACTTGTAATACCTAATACAATGTAAATTGTATGCAAAGAATTGCTATATTTTTTAGAGAATAATGACCCAAAAAAAGTCTGCACATGTTCAATACAGACAATTTTTTAAAATATGTTTTCGATCCATGGTCGGTCGAATCCACAGATTCAGAATCTGTGGGTATAGAGGGTTGACTGTTTAAATGTTAGATGAATGATTCATTGTGATCCTTTAGGTCTGAGATTTTTTTTTTTCTTTTTTTCTTTTTTCTTTTTTTCCTGCAGGCTGGAGTGCAGTGGTGTGATCACGGCTCCCTGCAGCCTTGACCTTCCAGGCTCAAGCAATCCTCCCACCTCAGCCTCCCAAGTAGCTCGGACTTCAGGCATATGCCACCAAGCCCAGCTAATTTTTAATTTTTTATAGAGACAGAGTTTCACCATGTTGCCCAGGCTGGTCTTGAACTCCTGAGCTCAAGCAATCTGCCTGTCTCTGCCTGCCTCGGCCTCCTAAAGTGCTGGGATTACCAGCCTTTTTTTTTTTTTTTTTTTTTTTTAAATGTGTCAGGCTCTCGCTGTGTCATCTGGGCTGAAGTACGGTGAGCAAGATCACAGCTTGCTGCAGCCTCAAACTCTTGCACTCAAGCAATCCTCCCATCTCAGCATCTCTAGTATCTGGGACCACAGGTACATGCCACCATCCCCAGCTATAAGTCTCCAATTAAACTTAATTTCCTCCTGGGCTTTTCCTCAGACCCTAATCCAAACCAGGCTTCCTGTATACACTTCACATCTCCCTCTTTATCACCCTCGTAGTTACCTGTCAGCTGCCACTCTCTCCCTCTAGATTGTGAGCTCCATGTGGGCAGGACTGTGTGTGTCTCAGACGCCCTGAGCCCCAGTGCCCCAAACAGCACCAGGCACATTGTAGGCAACCAGCACATACTTGCTGAATAAACAGATGAAATGAAAGTTCACAGGTTCATTATGAAACAGAGGACACTGTCTACCTAACAAAATGCCCATCAATGGTACTTCACTCTTCATTCAACAATTATTAGTGCCTCTTCTATAGTCTTCCTCACACCATCCTGGTGGCAGAAGGGAAATAGGGAGACACAGAGATGAATAAGATAGATGTGGTTCCTGTCCTCAAAGACTATACGGTCCACTGTGAGAAAGTGCCGTAATGCATAGGAAGATACAACGCAGTGTAACCACGTTGTTTTAGTCTGTAACAATTTTGTTTCCTAGGAGGCTGGGGCTGGTCTTTGGAACAATGAAAGTGAAAAGTAACTGAAAACAAACACTGTTGCCTACTTCAGCCAGCACCACCAGTTCCCAGCAAGCTACTTTTCTGTCTCTCTCCCTCCCTCCCTCCCTTCTTCCTTTCTTTCTTTTTTTAACAGGGTCTTGTTCTGTGGCCAAGGTTGGAGTGCAGTGGTGTGATCATGGCCCACTGCAGCCTGGACCTCCCAGGCTCAAGCAATCCTCCCACATCAGCCACCTGAGTAGCTGGAATTACAGGCACGTGCCACCTAATTTAAAAAGAAAAATTTTGCAGAGGCTGGGCACAGTGGCTGAGCTGAGGCAGGAGGATCACTTGAGCCCAGGAGTTCAAGACCAGCCTGGGTAACATAGGGAGATCCCGTCTCTACATACATACATACTCTAGGCATAGTGTTGTGCGCCTGTGGTCCCAGGTACTTGAGAGGCTGAGGTAGGAGGATCACTTGAGCCTGGAAGATCGAGGCTGCAGTGAGCCATGATGACATCACTGCACTCTAGCCTGGGTAACAGGGTGAGACCTTGTCTCTTAAAAAAAAAAGAATTGCCGGGTGCAGTGTCTAATGCCTATAATCCCAGAACTTTGGGAGGCCAAGGCGGGCGGATCACCTGAGGTCAGGAGTTCAAGACCAGCCTGGCCAACATGGTGAAACCTGGTCTCTACTAAAAATACAAAAATTAGCCAGGCATGGTGACGCACGTATGTAATCCCAGCTACTCGGGAGGCTGAGGCAAGAGAATCGCTTGAACCTGGGAGGCAGAGGTTGCGGTGAGCCGAGATTGCGCCACTGCACTCCAGCCTGGGTGACAGAGCAAGACTCCATCCGTTTCAAAAAAAAAAAAAAAAGTCCAGGCGCGGTGGCTCACGCCTGTAATCCCAGCTCTTTGGGAGGCCGAGGCGGGTGAATCACGAGGTCAGGAGTTCGAGACCAGCCTGGCCAACATGGTGAAACCCCATCTCTATTAAAAATACAAAAAAAAAAATTAGCCGGGCATGGTGGCGGGTGCCTGTAATCCCAGCTACTTGGGAGGCTGACGCAGGAGAATCGCTTGAACCTGGGAGGCGGAGGTTGCAGTGAGCTGAATTCACGCCACTGCACTCCAGCCTGGGCAACAAGAGCGAAACTCTGTCTCAAAAAAAAAAAAAAAAATTGTAGATACAGGGTCTCCCTATGTTGCCCAGGCTGGTCTTGAGCTCCCCAGCTCAAGTGATCCTCCCACCTTGGCCTCCCAAAGTGCTGAGATTATAGGCGTGAGCCACCACACCCGGCCAGTGCTGTCTTTAGAGCAGGAAGAGTAAGTCCTGTCCCAAGGGCATCCAGGCCACCACCTTTTTCTCTGCCTGGAAACCTATTTAGCCTTCAAGGTCCCACTTAAGTAGCGCTTGGTCCAGGAAACCTTCTTGCTCCTGCTAGAGGTCTGTATGGGCCCCAGTCACAGCTCTAGTGATTTTCTGGGAATATAGCAGGATTTGTCAAGGACAATCCAAATTTCATGTCATTTGCTTCTTTAAAAAAAAGAAAAGGTGATTCAATGAATGTGTAACTACATGTGATTTCATGTTTGGACTTCAGTGGAGGCAGAAAATAGCCTCTGTCAGACCACGTGACCTGATTTGTGGTTTGGAGAACATGGTCACCATAATTACAGCATTGACCACATGCTGTAACAGTTTCCTCTCTCTTTCCCTCCGCCCCCCACTGCGCCCTCCCTCCCCCAACACACACACACACACACACACACACACACACACACACACACACTGAACTTTTCAAGTGCTAGGACTGTTTTCCTCCTGGCAGACCTTGATATCTGTTAAACAAACAGCAGAGAAAATCTGTAAAATGGGAAGGCTATCCCTGCTTCAGCCATACAATGGATATAAAATGTAGAAACCGAAGACTGATATAGGGGATGTGGGTAATTCACAGCAATTAATTACTGACTCTGATGCATGCCACCTGCTTTCTTGTATCTGTTACTTCAGCAGCCCAGAGAGGTACAGCAACTTCCCCCAGGTCACACAGACAGGGGTGGCAGAAGACGTTTGGAATCCGGGTCCATCCAACTAAAAGATGCAATTATTGTCACCACTCACACTACCTCCCAGTACCTAGGGGCCATAAGCCCCCAAATTCACCAAGACCACCTGGGCTCTGTGCCTCCTTCCCTCACTTCCACGGGATTCCCTCGTGCCCTTTCCTTCTACACACCACTTTCATCAGTGCCACTGCTGTTTGAAGAGCACTTCCAGTGGGTTCCCAAAGAAGTCCTGTCTTGGGGTCCAGGTTTCCTGTTTCAGGCAGAGCCTAAAGATGCATGTTGTGCCTTCCCAGACCTTCATCCCTCACTCCTGTGTGCTGCTAGCACAATCCATTTCACATGTAGTACTTTCCTCCTGGTTTTGGTTTTGTTTTGTTTTGTTTTTTGTGACGGAGTTTCGCTCGTGTTGCCCAGGCTGGAGTGTAGTGGCGCGATCTCAGCTCACTGCAACCTCTGTCTCCCAGGTTCAAGCAATTATCCTGCCTCAGCCTCCTGAGTAGCTGGGATTATAGGCACCCACCACCACGCCCAACTAATTTTGTTTGTTTGTTTGTTTTTTGTTGTTTGTTTGGTAGAGATGGGGGTTTCACCATGTTGGCCAGGCTGGTCTCAAACTCCTGACCTCAGGTGATCTGCCACCCTTGACCTCCCAAAGTGCTGGGATTACAGGCGTGAGCCACAGCACCTGGCCAGAAAGTACTTTCTAAAAACCAGGAAGAAGCCAGGCAAGGTGGCTCACGCCTGTAATCCCAGCACTTTGGGAGGCCGAGGCAGGTGGATCATGAGGTCAGGAGTTCAAGATCAGCCTGACCAATATGGGGAAACCCCGTCTCTACTAAAAATACAAAAATTAACTGGGCATGGTGGCATGCGCCTGTAGTCCCAGCTACTTGGGAGGCTGAGGCAGGAGAATTGCTTGAACCCGGAAGGCGGAGGTTGCAGTGAGCCAAGATTGCGCCACTGCACTCCAGCCTGGGCGACAGAGTGAGACCCCATCTCAAAAAAAAAAAAAAAAGAAAGAAAGAAAGAGAGAGAGAGGAAGGAAGGAAGGAGGAAGGAAGGAAGGAAGGGAGGGAGGGAGGGAGGGAGGGAGGGAAGGAGACCATCCTGGCTAACCTCATGAAACCCTGTCTCTACTAAAAATACAAAAAATTAGCTGGGCGTGGTGGCGGGTGCCTGTAGTCCCAGCTGCTGGGGAGGCTGAGACAGGAGAATGGCGTGAGCCCAGGAGGCAGAGCTTGCAGTGAGCTGAGATCACGTCACTGCACTCCAGCCTGGGCAACAGAGCGAGACTCCGTCCCCCCACCGCCCCCCCGCCAAAAAAAAAAAAACAGAAAGAAAGAAAGAACAAATGAACTTTCTCATTCTGTACACCAATTCCTTGGTGCCCCACAGCAGCCCTGAGAGGTAGACACAGCGGAGATTTTTTTCACCCGCATTGTACAGAAGAGAAAATGAAGCTTTGCCCAACCTGCAGGAGATCCCCTCACCTTGCAAAAGAGCCAAGCTGTGGGATCTTCAGTCCCTGGACCATTTAGCTTGACTAAGAGAACAGGAATGGAGGCCAAAAGATCTACAAAATGCTCACACAGAGAAGATGACAGCTTCTACAAATAAATGTCAATCAGTTCATTTCCCCTTTTACTGTGTTCATTGTAATGCACCAATTACAACCTGACAAAAGTAAAACACTGCCAAGCACAAGTGGTCTTTAGATGACCCTTATCATCTAGAGGCTCAAAGTCCCTTGAGGATAAGGCCTGGTCCAGGGCCCAGGGCTGAGTCCAGGCCTGGCGAGCAGAGTGCTAGGCTCAGGTGCCGTCAGGGCGGTAGGTGTGAAGGGCCGTCCAGGGATTGTTCCTTCCCATCCTCTCAGCTGCTGGTCAGAGGGGCTCTGCCCTGGACTTGCCCTCACCACAGGCCATTTCTCATCCACTCCTCCACCATCTGACCTCCTCATTCTGCGATTCTGATTCTCTTCATTTTAGAACTAACACTTTTGACATCATTCAAACCAAAACATTAGATTAACCCCCAGAAGAGGGGAGAGGTTCAAACGGACACTGAAAGGTTAAGTGGCTGACTCAGGATCCCAGTGTCTGCACAGCAGAATCCAAAAATGCTCCCAATGAGTGAAGCAGGAAGGGGTGGTTGAAGTTGCCTGGCCTGGAGGTTGTCTGCAGTTCTCCATGCCCATCACTCCATACACACACACAAGACCACTTTGTTTCTCTGTGTTATTCTCCTGTCCCTGAACACATCCAATTCTCCTTATAGAAATGAAGAAACTGCCGGGCACGGTGGCTCAAGCCTGTAATCCCAGGACTTTGGGAGGCCGAGGCGGGCGGATCACAGGGTCAGGAGATCGAGACCATCCTGGCTAACATGGTGAAACCCCGTCTCTATTAAAAATACAAAAAATTAGCCTGGCGTGGTGGCGGGCACCTGTAGTCCCAGCTACTCAGGAGGCTGAGGCAGGAGAATGGCATGAACCCGGGAGGCGGAGCTTGCAGTGAGCCAAGATTGCGCCACTGCACTCCAGCCTGGGTGACAGAGCGAGACTCTGTCTGAAAAAAAGAAAGAAAGAAAGAAAGAAAGAAATGGAGAAACTGAGGCCCAGGGAGTCAGAGGGGCCTGCCTAGACCAGCGGTGGCCAGCAGGTGAGCTGGGACTAGACCTGGAAGAATGTCTATTAGCATTCCCCTCTGCCTATCCTGTGTATCTTGGAAGCCGGTAAGGACTCCCAGAGTTGAGCCCAGATGCCATTCCTAGGTGCTTATAGACATACCAGCAGGGGGTGAGGGAGCAGTGCTGACCTGTGGGAAGTCAGCTCTGGGACCGGTGTGGTGGCCAGCCCTTGTCTGGGGCTCTCTGCTCCAACAGGCATGGACATTCTTATCATTCCAAGGCCCTTTCTTCACTCCAACCTGTCTGGGCTGTGTCTGGGGTGAGATGGAGCTGGGGCTGCGGGTGGGAAGAGCGAGGGGAATGGCAGGGATAAGCCCCATAGCCCACAAAGCATGCGGTCACACTCACTTATGCTCAGACTCTGCATGCCCCATACAAATCCCACCTCCCTTCTTCTGCAACTCGCCCTCCATCCAGTGCTTGGGCTCTGACATCAGACTGTCTTGTGTTAGAATCAAGGGTCAGCCCTCAATTACTGTCATTTAACTTGGTTTCAATTGTTTATTTGCAGGAGGATAATAGTATTTACCTTATAAGGTTGTTGAGAGGATTAAATGAAATACTAGGAAATTGCTTAGCACTATGCCTGGCATAGTTTTTTGTTTGTTTGTTTGTTTGTTTGTTTTTGAGATGAGTTTCGTTCTTGTTGCCCAGGCTGGAGTGCAATGGCACAATCTCGGCTCATTGCAACCTCCGCCTCCCGGGTTCAAGCGATTCTCCTGCCTCAGCCTCCTGAGTAGCTGGGATTACAGGCGCATACCACCATGCCCGGCTAATTCTTTTTTGTATTTTTAGTAGAGACGGGGTTTTGGCATGTTGGCCAGGCTGGTCTGGAACTCCTGACCTCAGGTGATCCACCCACCTTGGCCTCCCAAAGTGTTGGGATTACAGGCGTGAGCCATCACATCCAGCCAAACTATAGTTGTTACTGTTACTTTTACCTAATGCTCCCCTATAGCTCACTGGGATATTCTCATTCTCTCTCTCTGTCTGTCTCTGTCTCTCTCTCTTTCTCTCTCTCTCTCTCTCTCTCTCTCTCACACACACACACACACACACACACACACACACACACACACACACCCAAGGCTAACCTCCAGGCTGCCCTCAGTCACTGACCTACGTGGCCATCCTGTCACCCTCTGACCCCTCTATCCAGGCAGGCTGGGACTGGGTCATGTGTCCAGCATTCCTTCTGCCAAGAATGCCTCCCCCCAACCTCATCACAGTCCCAGCACCCCTTTCCTTCAAGTCCCAGCTCTAGTTTTACTCCGCCAGGACCCCGCCTGACTGATTCCAGCCTTTCTGCTCTGTGTGGAGACCTCTGGGTGACTCACTGCCCCTCAGCACTGCCTTGGAATTCGTGACTCTGTCAATGAGAAAGCCTCTTCCTTCTTCCTCCTCAGTCTCTTAAAGTTGAAAAAAAAAAGCATTTTTCAGGCAGACCTGGGGCTCCTGAAATCGACCTGAGATTCCTGTGCCCCCCCTCACCCCAGCACCTGTAGTCACTCATCCCACCTCTCCCCAGGGCTGGGAACAGGCAGGACTGAGAGACCAGGATGTAGGGGCCAGTCACCCAGATGGAAAGAAAAGGTAATCTACCAATCGGGAGAGGCTGGCAGGACCCCTGCACTACTGGGGTCCCAGGAACAGCTTTGCTGAGGGATGGGGAAGCAGAGAGGCCTGCCAGGAGCTGAGAGTCCTGGTGTGGGTCCCTGAAGCCCACCTGCAGAGACTGGTGTCAAGGGAGGGCCTGTAGCCTGTAGGACAGTGGCTCGGGTAAGGGGAGAGGCAGGACCCAGCACTCTTGCCTTTGCTGGGAAGGAAGACTCAGGCTTGTCCTGTGAGCCCCCACAGGTGGTGTGGGAACCCACTGAGAGCATGGGAGAAGCTGAGGGAAGCAGGCACCACCCAGCATCGGGAAACTCTCCCTAACCATTCAAAACACCCAGTGGCCTTGTCAGGGGGGAGTTCTCTACCCAGCAAAGGAGAGGGGTAGGCAGAGGCTGGACCACCGCTGCTTACGGTGGGCTAGGAGGATCCCTGCCTTGGGTGGGCAAGGGACCAGGATTCTTCTCAAGTTCTTCCAGGCTGTGAGAGTTAGTGCTAAAATTCAGTCAGCGATGTCATGATCTAGAAATCTGGTTCTAAAATTCTGTCACATTAAAATTCTGAAATGCCACAATTTTTTCCTGATTCTGAGATTTTAAATATGATTCTAATTTTCT
This sequence comes from Homo sapiens, assembly GCF_000001405.40. Taxonomy (NCBI): domain Eukaryota; kingdom Metazoa; phylum Chordata; class Mammalia; order Primates; family Hominidae; genus Homo; species Homo sapiens. Next base: position 150,472,238 of record NC_000005.10, on the reverse strand, counting down.
TTTTTCTTTTTTTTTTTTTTTGAGACAGAGTCTTGCTCTGTCGCCCAGGCTGGAGAGCAGTGGCGTGATCTCGGCTCACTCCGAGCTCTGCCTCCCGGGTTCACACCATTCTCCTGCCTCAGCCTCCCGAGTAGCTCGGACTACAGGCGCCCGCCACCACGCCCGGCTAATTTTTTGTATTTTTAGCAGAGACGGGGTTTCACCATGTTTGCCAGGATGGTCTCGATCTCCTGACCTTGTGATCCGCCTGCCTCGGCCTCCCAAAGTGCTGGGATTACAGGCTTGAGCCACCACACCTGGCCTAATTTTCTAAAACTGCTTAATTCGTTAGAAATGTTGGCTGGGCACAGTGGCTCACGCCTGTAATCCCAGCACTTTGGGAGGCCGAGGCGGGTGGATCACGAGGTCAGGAGTTCAAGACCAGCCTGGCCAACATGGCCAACATGGCAAAACCCTGTCTCTACTAAAAATATAAAAATTAGCCGAGTGTGGTGGTGGGCGCCTGTAATCCCAGCTACTTGGGAGGCTGAGGCAGGAGAATCACTTGAACCCTTGAGGTAGAGGTTGCAGTGAGCCAAGATCGTACCACTGCACTCCAGCCTGGGCGACAGAGCAAGACTCCGTCTCAAGAAAAAAAAAAAGAAATATAATGCAAGCCACATATGAACAGTCACATTTTCTAGTAACCACATTTTAAAAAGTAAAAAGAAACAAGTGAAATTAAATTTAGACATATATTTTGGCTGGGCAAGGTGGCCTACATCTGTAATCCCAGCACTTTGGGAAGCCGAGGTGAGAAGGTTGCTTGAGTCCAGGTGTTTGAGACCAACCTGGGCAACATAGCAAGACACTGTCTCTACAAAAAATTAATTAAAAAAAATTAGCCCAGCATGGTGTGAGCATTTGTAGTTCCAGTTATTCAGAGCCTGAGGCAGAAGGATCGCATGAGCCCAGGGGTTTGAGGCTGCAGTGAGCTGTGATTGTGTCATTGCATTTCAACCTGGGTGACAGATCAAAACCCTGTCTCTAAAAAAAATAAATACACAAAAAACAAGGGCTGGGTACCTTGGCCCATGCCTGTAATTTCAGCACTTTGGGAGGCCAAGGCAGAAGGATCACTTGAGCCCAGGAGTTTGAAACCAGTCTGGGCAACATAGTGAGGTTATATGTTGATATATAGCCTCATTATTTTAAATAATGACTCCTCTCATTATTTCAAAAAGTAAAGACCAGGTGTGGTGGCTCATGCCTGTAATTCCAGCACTTTGGGAGGCCGAGGCAGGTGGATCACCTGAGGTGATCTGAGGTGGCTGAGTCTGAGACCAGCCTGGTCAACATGATGAAACCCCATCTCTACTAAAAATACAAAAATTAGCCGGGCTTGGTAGCCCTCGCCTGTAATCCAAGCTACTCGGGAGGCTGAGGCAGGAGAATTGCTTGAAACCAGGAGGCGGGGATTGCAGTGAGCCGAGATCACGCCATTGCACTCCAGCCTGGGTGACAAGAGCGAAACTCTGTCTCAAAAATAAATAAAATAAAATAAAAGCCAGCCATGGTGGCTCACGCCTGTAACCCCAGCACTTTGGGAGGCCGAGGCAAGCAGATCACGAGGTCAGGAGTTCAAGACCAGCCTGGCCAACATGGTGAAACCCCGTCTCTACTAAAAATACAAAAAATTAGCCGGGCGTGGTGGCATGCGCCTATAGTCAGGGGGCTGAGGCAGGAGAATGGCTTGAACCCAGGAAGCAGAGGTTGCAGTGAGCTGAGATCACCCCCACTGCACTCAGCCTGGGTGACAGAGCAAGACTCCATCTCAAAAATAAATAGATAAGAAATATATTTTATTTGGTTGGGCACAGTGGGTGGCTAATGCCTATAATCCCAGCACTTTGGGAGGCCAAGGCAGGAGGACCACTTGAGCCCAGGAGTTTGAGACCAGGCTGGGCAACATAGTGAGACATTGTCTCCACAAAAAATAAATAAAATTAGTGGGGTGTGGTGGTGTGTGCTTGCGGTCTCAGCTACTCAGGAGACTGAGGTGGGAGGATTGCTTGAGAACCAGAGGTCAAGGCTACAATAAGCCAAGATTGTGCCACTGCATTCCTGGGCGACAGAGCGAGATCCCATCTCAATAAATAAATACATACATACATACATACATAAAATTTTAAAAATAAGAAATATATTGTATTAAACCAACATACCCAAAATATCATTTTGACATGTAATTAATATAACGAAATGATTAATGAGATGTTTAAATTCTTTCTTTTGTGCTGAGTCTTCCAAATCCACTGTGTATTCTACTTAAAGCACATCTCAACTTGGACTAGTCACATTCTCAGTGCTCTATGACCACATGTGGCTAGCGGCTGCAGTGCTGGACAGCATAGTTTAGAAACCTTAAATCCTATGACTCACTTTTGTAAAATTCTAGGATGCTATGCCTCTGAGATTCTCGAATTCCACAGCATACCAAGGTTCTGAAATGCTATAACTGTGCTTCCACCAGATTAAAATGTTTCATGAACCACATTGTCTTTATTCAGTCTATCGGCGTTGGGCATTTGGGTTGGTTCCATGTCTTTGTTATTGTGAATAGTGCTGCAATAAACATACATGTGCATGTATCTTTAAAATAGAACGATTAAAAGAATTTTTTTTTTTTTTGAGATGGAGTTTCTGTCACCCAGGCTGGAGTGCAATGGTGCTATCTCGGCTCACTGCAACATCCGCTTCCTGGGTTCAAGTGATTCTTCTTCCTCAGCCTCCCGAGTAGCTGAGATTACAGGTGCACACCACCAGGCCTGGCTAATTTTTGTATTTTCATTAGAGACAGGGTTTCACCATGTTGATCAGGCCAGTCTTAAACTCCTGACCTCAGGTGATCCGCCTGCCTCGGCCTCCCAAAGTGCTGGGATTACAGGTGTGAGCCATCGCGCCTGGCCTATAATAGAATCATTTATATTCCTTTGGGTATATGCCCAGTAATGGGATTGCTGGGTCAAACGGTATTTCTGGTTCTAGATCCTTGAGGATGATTCCTGTCTTCCACAATGGTTGAACTAATTTACATTCCCACCAACAGTGTAAAAGCGTTATGAGATCATGTCCTTTGCAGGAACATGGATGAAGCTGGAAGCCATCATCCTCAGCAAACTAATACAGGAACAGAAAACCAAACACCACATGTTCTCACTCATAAGTGCGAGTTGAACAATGAGAATACATGGACCCAGAGAGGGGAAAAACACACACTGGGACCTGTAGGTGGGGTTTGGGAGGTCGGGGGAGGGAGAGCATCAGGACAAATTGCTAATGCATGTGGGGCTTAAAACCTAGGTGACAGGTTGATAGGTGCAGCAAACCACCATGGCACACGTATACCTATGTAACAAAGCAGGTTACATAGGTATACATGTTCTACACATGTATCCCAGAACTTAAAGTAAAAATAAACAAAAAAATTTAAAAATAATAAAATGTTTCATGAGCCCCAAATCTGCATTTGAAGGCTTCTACCCACACATGTTTTGTATGGAAAGAAATCCAGATCCCTGTACAGCCTGAGGGGTGGGGCGGGAGCAAGGAGCCCTCCTTGGCTGCCCCCACCATCTGGCCGGCCTGTGGCATAGGGGATGGGCATGCTCCTTGCAGAACTACCTCTCCTACCATCCCTCCAGCATGGCACCTCTCCATCCATGTGTGCCTGGAAGTGAGGGTCCTGCCTTCCAGTCCTCCTGGGAAGGGGGTGTGCCCCTGCCTCCTTCCCTTGGTTTCTGTCCACTCTGGGGCATCTGGGGGCAGCAGTGGCAGATGGAGCAGGGGAGTCAAAATCCCAGATGGAATCTCCTGAGGATGGAACTGATCTCCATTTGCTGAAGGCTGGATCCCTCAGGAGCCTGGGGAGGGCAGAAGTCAGAGGCCCGCGGTCTGGGGCTTGGAGAGCCAGAAGGGCTCTCTGAGGGCGTGTGATGGCGCCTTTCACAGTGCAGATGGGGAAACTGAGACCCAAGAACAGAAGGGGTTTCCCAAATTAGGCACAAGGTGAATGTCATGCTCTGCCAGAAGGAATGTCCCCTGGGTAGCCACAGGCTTCTCTTCCTACTCCCAAACTCCCTCTCCCATCACCACTTGTGAGGAAGTCGAGGCACAAACCCAGCATGGTGGACGTCAGGGAGGCTGCAGGAGGGCCCCCCCATAGCTATTGTGTCCAGGTGGGTGACTTTTCAGCTTTGGGATATGTCTTCGTGTCTTATGGTTTGGGCTGCTATAACAAAATAGACTGGGTGGTTTTTAAACAACATAAATTATTTCTCACCATTCTATTTTTTTTCTTTTCTTCTGCTTTTGAGACAGAGTCTTGCTCTGTCGCCCAGGCTGGAGTGCAGTGGTGCAATCTCGGCTCACTACAACCTCCACCTCCTGGGTTCAAGCGATTCTTGTGCCTCAGCCTCCCGAGTAGCTGGGATTAAAGGTGTGCATTACCACACCTAGCTAAATTTTTTTTTTTTTTTTTTTTTTTTGAGACGGAGTCTTGATCTGTGGCCCAGGCTGGAATGCAATGGCATGATCTTGGCTCGCTGCAACTTCTGCCTCCCGGGTTCACGCGATTCTCCTGTCTCAGCCTCCTGAGTAGCTGGGATTACAGGCACCCGCCACCATGCCTGGCTAATTTTTGTATTTTTAGTAGAGATGGGGTTTCACCATGTTGGTCAGGCTGGTCTCGAACTCCTGACCTCAAGTGATCTGCCCGCCTCAGCCTCCCAAAGTGCTGGGATTACAAGTGTAAGCCACTGCACCCAGCCTGTTTCTCACCATTCTAAAGGCTGGGAAGTCTGAGATCAAGGCTATGGCAGATTCAGTGTCTGGTGAGGGCTGGCTTCCCCATTTGTAGATGGCACCCTCTCACTGCATCCTCACATGGTGGAAGGGGTGAATGAGTTCCCTTGGGCCTATTCTATACGAGCACTAATCCCACTTATGAGGGCTCTGCCCTTGTGACCTAATCACCTCCCAAAGACCTCACCTTTTAGTATCATCACCTTGGGAGTTAGGATTTTAACATGGATTTAGGAGGCACACAAACATTCACACCATAGCAGGATGCTCATGTCAGGCTCAGAAACCTCCTGGTTAGAACCTTGCCCCAGGCTCACCCTTGACCCGGAACCATGGGTCCTGCAGAGGGTCTGGGGAATGGGTACTTGGCCACAGGCAGCAGCCTGGGTGAGATGTGATGAAGGCGGAGCTAAGTGCTGAGGGTCTCAATCAAAAATAATCAGCTTCCTTCTACATCTGCTCTGCTCTCCAGCTCTGGATTCCACTCCAAAGCCCTTTTGTAGCCACAGTCCCATTTGAACCTCACAAGCACCCAGGAGGAAAAGAAGGCAGGAGGACTTGACATCAGCACGTAAACTCCCAGCCAGAGGGCCAGTGTGAGAACTTCGCTACTGTTCCTCAACTCCATGCCATGCCTCTTCCTTTTTTTCTTTTTTTTTAGACACGGTCTTACTCTGCCACCTAGACTGGAGTACAGTGGTGCCATCATAGCTCACTGCAGCCTCGACCTCCTGCGCTCAAGCAATCCTCCCACCTCAGCCTCCCAAGTAATTGAGACTATAGACATAAGCCACCATACCCAGCAATTTTTGAAAATTTTTGTAGAGACAGGGTCTCACTATGTTGCCCAGGCTGGTCTTGAACTCCTGGGCTTCAGCAATGCTCCTATCTCAGCCTTCCAAAGTGTTGGGATTATAGACATGAACCACCATGCCTGGCCTATTCCCATTTTTACAGATGGGGAAACTGAGGCCCAGAGAGGGGCTATGACTTGTCCCAGGCTACAGAGCCAGAGGGAGGCCAAGTCTAAACTCCTGAGAGTCATAGGCATCACCTATTGAGGAAGCCCCCCACCTTGCTGCACTCCCAGGCACCCAGACCCTCGGCAGCCGAAGAGACAAACATCAGAGGTCACTGACAGCCACATTTTCCACGGGATGCTTCCAGGCTGGGTTTCCCCTCGGAGGAAGGCCCCAAGGTTGTTCCGCATGGTTAGGAGAACTGGGAAGGAAATGACAGAGATCCTGCCACAGTGGGCAACAGAAAACAACCTGGCCTTTGGCCTCTAGGGATCTGGCTCCGCCAAAGTCTGGTTTGGGGAGGGAGATGGGAGGCACAGCAGGAAGGCAGGCCTGGAATCTAGATTTGAAAAAGCACAAGCTTTGGAGTGAGATGGCCTGGATTCAAGTCTCTAGGGCTGCTACTGAGTGGCTATGTGGCCCCGTGTCCGTGGCTCCACCTGGGCTCCCTCCTCTACCTGGGCAATGCCCATTTCTGGTAAGAATCTGAGTGTGTATAAGCTAAGCCTATTGTTGCTGAATAAATGCTAGTTCTCACTCAAATGCCCCTCTGGGAAGCAATCAGGCCCTAGGGCCCCCCATCTGCCACTCTTTGCTGCCATAAATATGCTCCATAAATATTTATTGAATAAACAAATGAATAAATGAATGCTGCCTGCCCAAAATATAAGGGAAGGCTTTGAACCCATCTATCAGGAGACACAGCAGACTCTGACAGAACTTGCTGGGTGGCCTCATTTTTACAAGAATATATAATAATAACTAACCTTTCTAAAGCACTCACTACCTATCAGGCTTTGCTGGGAACTGCAGAGCACTCGGTTTTCCCAGCAGCACTATCAGGAGCTATGACTATTATCCCCGGGCTCCAGATTAGGAACACTGAGGCATGGAGAGGCCACAGAACCCTGAGGTCACACTGCTAGTTGGTGGCAGAGCCTAGACTTGGACTCAAGCAGCCTGACCCCAGAGCCCCTGTTCCTTGCTCTGGGATGGCTCCTGGGGCTTTTATTTTATTTTTATTTTTATTCTATTTAAGATGGAGTCTTGCCCTGTTGCCAAGGCTGGAGTGCAGTGGCATGATCTCGGCTCACTGCAACCTCCGCCTCCTGGGTTCAAGCGATTCTCCTGCCTCAGCCCCCCGAGTAGCTTGGATTACAGGCACCCATCACCACGGCTGGCTAATTTTTGTAATTTTTAGTAAAGACAGGGTTTCACCATGTTGGCCAGGCTGGTCTTGAACTCTTGACCTCAAGAGATTCACCAGCCTTGGCCTCCCAAAGTGCCGGGATTACAGGCGTGAGCCACCGCACCCAGCTCTGGGGGTTTTTAGCCTCCCCTTCCCGGCTTCCCGCTTTCTCGGCCAAGGACTCCTATGGGGTGAGACTCCCTTTCTCAGGTTGGTGCTGCTTAGGGCTTCCCAGCGGTCTTAGAGGCTCCTGCAAATCAGCCTTGGGGAGCGTATGTGGGAGATGAAGTGGGGGCTCTGCCCAGCCCGAGACTGTTGCTCAGGTCCTTTTTCAGAGACTAATTCTCTGCAGCTTTCTGGTTGCTTCCTGCCTCAGAGTGAGGCAGGAAGCAAGGCCAACAGGGATTTTGGCTCCAGCTCCTTTGTCCTCACTCAGCTCATCCTCCCCCTCCCCTACTCCAACTTCTGGATCAGCCTCTTTTTTGCCTAACCAGGGACCTTGAACTTAATGTTCACTCCCAGGCCGACTTCCCAGTGTGAGAGCAGCAACTCAGGGCTGGGAATCCAGAGACTGCCAAGAACTGAAGGGTGCTTTTCCTTCCGGGCGGGCAGATTTGGAGAAAGCCTGCCCTGAGATGGGAGAGATAGGGGTGGGTCTGGAATGTGCAAGCGGCCCACACCTGCACATCAATTTACAAAGAAGCTCCACGGTGATCCAGTGATCCTGTTGGTTCATCCCCAACCACCCCGGTTAGAGATGGGTTAGCTTGTTATCATCCCAATTGAACAGAAGAGGAAACAGGCTCAGGGGGATTTAGTGACCTGTTCATGACTATGTAGACATTTAGGGGCAAAAGCAAATGTTTACCCAATTCTGCAAAGATTGTATAATAATACTTTTTTTTTTTGTGGAGTCTTGCACTATTGCCCAGGCTGGAGTGCAGTGGCGCGATCTCGACTAATCCTGCCGCCACGCCTGGCTAATTTTTGTATTTTTAGTAGAGACGGGGTTTCATCATGTTGGCCAGGCTGGTCTCGAACTCCTGACCTCAGGTGATTCACCCGCCTCGGCCTCCCAAAGTGCTGGGATTACAAGTGTGAGCCACTGTGCCCAGCCATAATACTATTATTATTGCAAATATTTTCTAAGTTCTGACTGTGCCAAAAGCTTTCCTCTTATTACCTCGTTTAATCCTCTCAACAACTCTAAGAAGTAGTGATCCCTATTTTACAGATGAGGGAACTAACTGAGGCTCAGAGAAGCAAATCACCTGCATAAAGTACACTTAGTCACATCCACTAATCAGAATGTGAAAGCCAGATTTGAACTCAAGTTTGTCTGGCTCTAAAGTCTGAGGCTTCACAGGCAAGATTCTACCTCGGGTGGAGGAGTTATTGTTTGCCAATGCAGGGGGTGGGGTAAGCCTGACTTTACCCACCTTTTCATGATGCTGCTTCAGACCTGGTGCACACAGCCCTGGGAACCCTGCAGGCAGTGGGCCCGGAAGAATCTAACAGATACTGCAGAATTTGGGGGCACTCTGGGGCCATGTCTGAATGTGACCCCTCTCTGCACAGCAGCAGCCCCTGGTCTAGGCAAAGGTGGCCCTCTGACAGCCTCACAGATGAACTCTGCAAAAGCAGATTCATTCATTCACTCAACACCAGCCAAGAAGCCTTCACATCTCTACTCACAGACACCCAGTTATTTTGCCAACCTCCCAACCACGGCGAGCTACATAATTTGCAGGGCCCAAGTGCAAAATAAAAATGCAGAAGCCTTTGTTCAACCACTATTAAGAATTTCAGGGCCTGGTGCAGTGGCTCACACCTGTAATCCCAGCACTTTGGGAGGCCAAGGCAGGCAGATCACCTGAGGTCTGGAGTTCAAGACCAGCCTGGCCAACATACTGAAACTCCATCTCTACTAAAAATACAAAACTTAGCTGGGCATGGTGGTATGGGCCTGCAGTCCCAGCTACTCAGAAGCCTGAAGCAGGAGAATCGCTCAAACCTGGGAGGCGGAGGTTGCAGTGAGCAGAGAAAACGCCACTGCACTCACCAGCCTGGGAGACACAGCGAGACTCCGTCTCAAAAAAAAAAAAAAAAAAAAAAAAAAGAATTTCAGGACAGCAACCACAGTGCATTAACCAAGCATGGGCCCTGTGCAACTGTAGAGGTCACAGGCTCGTGGTGCCAGCCCTGTCCCCACCTCATCTCCCTTCTCCCTCTGGTTCTCCTCCTTACTCCTGGCCACTTTATCCTCCTTTCACATCCTCATGCTAAGCTCAGGGCTTTTGCAAAGACTGTTCTTCCTGTCAGGAACCCTTTCCCAATCTTCCCTCATAACTTAGTCCTTATGATTCAGGTCTCTGCTGAAATGTCACCTCCCTGGTGCCCCAGCCTAAAGTAGCCACCCACATAGCTCTCCATCCTGTCTGCAATTTATTCCCTTTATAGTCTGCACCACACTCTGTGACCTTATGTCTATCTGTTAGTTTACTGTTTACTGTCCATCTTCCCTGCTAGGATGTTGACTTGGGCAGGCATGGCCCACATCTGTCCTATTCAGCGCCGAATCCTCAGCGCCCAACCCAGTGCTTGGCTCACAGTATGTGTTCAATAATTATTTGTGGCCAGGTGTGGTGGCTCACACCTGTAATCCTAGCACTTTGGGAGGCCGAGGTGGGTGGATCATTTGAGGTCAGGAGTTCGAGACCAGCCTGGCCAACATGGTGAAACCCCGCCTCTAATAAAAATACAAAAATTAGCCAGTAGTGGCAGGCGCCTGCAGTCCCAGCTACTCGGGAGGCTGAAGCAGGAGAATCGCTTGAACCTGGGAGTTGGAGGTTGCAGTGAGCCAAGATTGCACCACTGGACTCCAGCCTAGGGGGTAGAGAGAGACTCTGTCTCAAAAAAATAAATAAAATAATAATAATTATTATTTATAAAACAATGAATGACTGAATGAATGAATGAATGGACACCAACATCCTAACAACATTCTCTCACCCTTATGTCTCTCCCTCAGCAACCCAGATGAACACAGGTGTTCCCCGAATGTCCTGGTACCTAAGACACCCCAATAGACAGCAAGGGAACCGAGAGAGGCAGGCAGATCCCAAGGCCTTGAAACAAGGACAGATGGAAGTGGCAAGGCCTAGAGAAGAGGAGAAAAGAAAGAAGGGTCGGGCCCAGTGGCTCACGCCTGTAATCCCAGCACTTTGGGAAGCTGAGGCAGGAGGATTGCTTGAGCCCAGGAGTTCAAGATCAGCCTGGGCAACATGGTGAAACCACATCTCTACAAATTAAAAAAGAGAAAAATAAAAAAGGAGGAGGGAGAGAGGAAGGAAAAAGGAGCCCACAGGAAGGAGAGAAGAGGTAGACAAAGAGGGGAGAACTTGTTGAGCGTGGTGATAATCCCATTTCTTCTCCTTATTAGTGAAACTAATAATTACTATTAATACCTGGCCCCTCCCTGGCCCTTTCATCCAGGTGGGTGGGGAGGTTTTGAAGATGAAAGTCTGGGGGGCCTCTCTAGATGCAGGTTTCGGGGATTCACAACTACTAATTAAGCTTGGCAGCCCCTCTAGTTCCCTCCCCCACCCCCGGGGATGCTGCACCAGCAGACTCAATGCCTTTCCAGGTGGGACACAGCAGGGAGCTGCTCCCTGGGCTGGGCCTCCTCCTGAGAGGTGTTGAGTAGCTGCAGTTGTGGGGGATGGGGCTGTCAGGCAAGACAGTCATGAGGAGGTGCCGGAAAGAGGAACCTCACACCAGGTGGCTGAGACTCAGGAGCCCTGCCCCCAGCTGAAATTACAGCCCCATCCCTGAGGCTGCCCCTCATCCCACCCCAGGGTCTGTGTGTCTCTGGACCCTGCCAGATGGTAGTGGGGGAATGGTGCCAAAGGGAGAGGAGGCTCCAACCAGACAAAGAGACAGAGCCAGCATATCCAGCTCCTCCGTGTGGCCCCAGGGGCACCGAGTCCTGCTATCTGGCATCCTCAGGGTCTATTTTGTTCCACCTCCCCTCAAAGAGGCCTCCTCTCTCTAGTGGCATCAGCCAGCCTGTCCTGCACACCTCCGGTGATGAGGCCTTCACTACCTGCCAGACTGTGGGCTGTGTGAAGGGATCTCATCCAATCCCTTGACATAAAATACAACCTAGAGGCTCCTGAGGTTACATCAGCAGTCCTGAACTTTCCAATAAGCTCCAACTGCTTGCCCCATCCTTCTACTAGGATATCACACAGAAGGCTCCAAAAATAGCAGGGCCTGAGCCTGATTCCAGCCTCCACCCAAGTTGTGACCTCCCCCTGGCTCTCCCCACCTTGGTTAATAGCCCCATCATCCACCCGTTGCTCAAGCCTAGAACCTACAATCATCCTCACCCCTCCATCCAATTCATCTGAAAATTCTACAGATTCTGCTTCCAAAGTATCTCTCAGATCTGACCATTGTTCTCCATCTTCACAGCTGCCATCGCGGTCTGAGCCCCCGTCACCTCTCACCAGCGTGACCGTCTCCACCTCCTCCTGCTCCCTCTCTTGCTCACCTTCAGCCAATTCTCCAAAGCCAGAGTAGACTTTCGTTTATTTTTTAAATTTATTTTATTTTTATTTTATTTATTTTATTTTTATTTTTTGTAAAGACAAGGTCTTGCTTGCTAAGTTGCCCAGTCTGGACTCAAACTCTTGGGCTCAAGCGATCCTCCCGCCTCAGCCTTCCAAAGTGCTGGGATTACAGGTGCAAGCCATCACTCCTGGCCCAGAGTGGACTTCTAAAGACAAATCAGAACATGTGGCTCCCTGCTTAAAGCTCTTCACTGCCTTCCCATGCAATCAGAATATAATCTACAGTTGGCCGGGCGCAGTGGCTCACGCCTGTAATCCTAACAGTTTGGGAGCCCGGAGCGGGTGGATCATTTGAGGTCAGGAGTTTGAGACCAGCCTGGCCAACATGGTGAAACCCTGTCTCTACTAAAAATACAAAAATTAGCCGGGCGTGGTGGCACGTGCCTGTAATCCCAGCTACCTGGGAGGCAGAGGTTGCAGAGAGCCGAGATCGCGCCACTGCACTCCAGCCTGGGCGACTGAGCAGAACTGTTTCAAAATAATAATAATAATAATAATAATAATAATAATAATAACAACAACAACAACAACAACAACAACAACGATAATAATAAATCTACACTCCTTGACAAGGCAGGGCCTAGCAGGCCCAGAGGATCTGGCCCCTGCCCTCAGGGACAGCCCTAACACTCTTCTCTCTCCTGGCCCCAGCCCCGCCTCCTTGCAGTTCCTCGGGCTCCTCCCAATTTTGGCAGCCTGTGCACTGCTGTCCTCTCTGCCCCTAAGGCTGCTCCTCCAGCCCTCCTCATGGCTGCACCTCGCACGCTTCAGGTCTCAGCTTCCATATCTCCTCCTGAGCCCTCCCTGTGCCTGAGCCCTGCCCACCTCGAGAGTGAGCCTACCTTGGAATCTTCTCAGGTGTGCGTATTTCCTTCATAGCCCTTACCACAATCTCTAATAATAAAGTTGTTGGCAGGCTTATCTGTATAACGCCTGGCTGTCTCCCCATTAGGTTGTCCCTTCCGTGGGGAAGGAGACCCATGTCTGTGTTATCCGTTGCTTTATCGCTCACCAGTGCCTGGCACACAGTAGGTGCTCAATAAACCCGCTGAATGAATAAACGACTCGGGATCCATGCCCTGGCACTGCCAGCCATTGGGCTGCCCTGGCACTGCCCTTCCCTTTGGATGGACTGAGCGCAGGCCCTCTGCGAGCTGGCCTGCGGCAGGCAGGGCACACAGAGGCCGGGTGCCATCTTTGTCCACTTCACCACCCTGAACCAGCTGAGTGACCTGGGCGCAGCCCTGACCTCATCCTACTTAAAGCTTCCCGCTGAGTAAAATGAGAATAATAATCTGAGCTCCTGGGGTGTGATGGGACACAAAGGGAGAATGTACATCAAGGCCGTCGTCACATCACAACCACATCCTAGGACGTCCCAACCATCTTCTGGGCTTAGACACCTCACCCTGCGCCTTCCGCCCACCCTCCACCCTCCACCCTCCACCCTCCACCCTCCACCCTCCACCCTCCACCCTCCACGTGTACCTGCCCCGCCGAGGCGGGTCCTTCCCCTGCAGCACGGAGATCTGGCGCCATCTAGCGGGCACTTCGGGAAGAGCGGGCGTTCCCCGCCCCTGTATTCCACGCACCGTGGGTGGGGCCGCACCCCGGGACCCCGCCCCGACATTCCTCACTGAGCAGAGTTGGGCCCAGGATCAAACCGAGGATCTGCCTCCGTTGGGTCAGAGCGAGGGAGACCTCTCACCCACCGCCCCCAAGGCCCAGGCCCCAACCTTTGATCTTACCTCCCACCCACCCCCTCCCCTCAGCACAGAGACTTCTCCCGAATCCCTGAATGATCCCAGGTCCCCTTTGATTCAAGACCTTTCCACGTGCTGTTTCGTGAGCTGGGAGTTTTCTTTTTCTTTTCTTTTTTTTTTTTTTTTTTTTTTTTTTGAGACAGAGTCTTGCTCTGTCGCCCAGGCTGGAGTGCAGTGGCACGATCTCGGCTCACTGCAAGCTCCGCCTCCCGGGTTGACGCCGTTCTCCTGCCTCAGCCTCCTGAGTAGCTGGGACTACAGGCGTCCGCCACCACGCCTGGCTAATTTTTTTATTTTTTTAGTAGAGACGGGGTTTCACCATGTTAGCCAGGATGGTCTCGATCTCCTGACCTCGTGATCCACCCGCCTTGGCCTCCCAAAGTGCTGGGATTACAGGCGTGAGCCACCGCGCCCGGCCTGAGCTGGGAGTTTTCTCCCACCCTCTTCTTCCTGTCCTGGCTGTCTCCTACTCCCATTTTGGGCCCTCCAGCAAGGCCCCTGAGCAAGCCAGAGCCCTCCGTATCCCCCGTTCCTTACTTTGTCCTTGTTTCTTGCCCATATTCCCTGCTAGACAAAGCCCCTTGGCAGCAGGCCGTGACACGGTCACTGTGTGGCGAGTGCTGAGATGACAGGTCCTGGGGCACACAGGGGCTCCCATCAGTTGCTCGCAGACCGCGTGTGAGTCCTGTGAGCACGGGGAGCAGGTGAATTACAGCCCTGGAGGACGAAGCCTGCCGGTCTCTAGAGGGGCATTGCTACAGAGGGAGCCATCTCCAGGCCTTTTGTAGCCCCTCCTCCCCTGGACCCTGGAGGGTGTGCACCTGGCCTAATCCCCAACACACACACCGCCGCTCTCCCTTGTGTGCCACACTTACACACGCAGACTAGCGCTCATGTGTGTTCTGGGGCTCAGACCAGCAATAGACCCATGACTCCACGACAGCTTCACAGCAGCCAACACTTTTGAGAAGGTCCTCCCTCCAAGTCCCAGGACCACCTGGGCCACAGTTGGTGTCTGATTCCTGGCTGTGTGTCCTGGTGAGCAAACTCACCCTCTCTGAGCCACAGCTTCTTCCCACCCTTCCTCTGTTGCATTTGCAAACTACCCTTCAAGGGGAGGAGGGGATAGAGCTCCTGGACAAATGACAGTATGAGCTGCTGCCGAGAATGGGGAGCACGGGGCCTTCCAGGTTGAGCTTGAGGACCCAGGAAAGGGCTTGGCTTCTGCTGCTGCAGGCTAATTCCTTGCTCTTCCTTCATCCAATCAACAGATATTTACAAAACACCTGTACCTGAGGTTACACGAATTGGGCTCTGGAGTCAGACTGCTTGGGCCCAGATCCTGGTGCCCCACTTAGAGCTGTTGACCTTTTCCTTGTGTCCTCAGTTATAACGGGGGGGATTAAACATTTTCTACCTCCTGTGGTTGTTGAGAGGAAGCTGCTTGCTTTCCACTTCCGGAATGAGAACTTTCTCCAGCTCCTGCTGCCACATTTGCCCCCACCGTCTTCCTTCCTCATTAGCACCTGAGGTGAGCTGTCCACATTCCTGCCTAAAGCCGATGCCTCCACATGCGCAGCAGAGGCCTTTACCTATTGCCTGCTCAATGTCAGGGCTCCAGCATGTTTTTCCTTCACTTCTAGACTATTCCCAGCAGTGTTAAAATATCTGTTATTGATGCAACCTTAAAAAAGGAAAAAAAAGAACCTCTTGATCTCACATTCCCATTCTCCATCTGCCCCCTGGCACACCTCTGCAGAAAAACTCAAGAGCTGTCTATGAAGGAACTGGGCATGGTGGCTCACACCTGTAATCCCAGCATTTTGGAAGGCCGAGGTGGGAGGACCACTTGAGCCCAGGAGGTCAAGACCAACCTGGGCAACTTAGGGAGACTCAGTATTTAAAGAAAAATGAGGGCCAGGCACGGTGGCTCATGCCTGTAATCCTAGCACTTTGGGAGGCCGAGGCGGGCGAATCACTTGAGGTCAGGAATTCGAGACCAGCCTGGCCAACATGGTGAAACCTCATCTCTACTAAAAATACAAAAATTAGCCAGGTGTGTGGTGCAAACCTCTAATCCCAGCTATACGGAGGCTGAGGCATGAAAATCGCTTGAACCTGGGAGGCAGAGGTTGCACTCAAGCCTGGGCAACAGAGTGAGACTCTGTCTCAAAAATAACAAAATTTTAAAAATTAAAAAAATAATAATAATTGGGCCAGGCATGCTGGCTCACACCTGTAATCCCAGCACTTTGGGAGGCCAAGGTGGGCAGATCATGAGGTCAAGAAATTGAGACCATCCTGGCCAACATGGTGAAACCCCTTCTCTACTAAAAATACAAAAATTAGCTGGGTGTGGTGGCGTGTGCCTGTAATCCCAGCTACTCAGGAGGCTGAGGCACGGGAATTACTTGAACCCAGGAGGTGGAGATTGCAGTGAGCTGAGATCACACCACTGCACTCCAGCCTGGTAACAGAGAGGGACTCTATCTTAAAATAAATAAATAAATAAATAAATAAATAAATAAATATTGGAAAGAGCTGTCCAAGAGGTGTGGACCTCCCTCTCTTACTCCATTCACACTTTTGCACTCCCCCCACCCAGCCCCCCAATCAAGCTGCTGTTGTCAAAGTCCCCAGTATTTCATGTTGCTACATCCAACGGTCATCCTTAGCCCTTGTTATCCTTGACCTCTAAGCGCGATGGCACAGGTGCACACTCCCTTCTGCTTGATTGCATTTCTCCAGTTGCCTTCTGGATGTGCCCTCTCCTGGTCTCCTTTCATTTCTGTTCATGGCTTATTTTCTTGGCTCTCTCCTTCTCTTATCCCCATGCTCTCAACGCTCAGTCCTTAGCCTCTTCTTTATCTACACTCAGCCCCTTGGCGGGACTCGTGATTAAAATCAGTCTTGTGATTTTAAATACCATCTGTATGCTGGAGACTCCCAAATTTACACCTCCAGCCCTGATCCACTTCTCAATTCCAGATTCATCTATCTCAGCTGTCATTCTGACAGCTCCACTCGGGTATGTAATAAACAGCTCAAACTCAGGCCTACGAGTGGGCATCTGATCTTCCCCTAAAAACCTCCTCCACCCTCTGCCTTCCCTACCCCAGCTGAGGGCAACTCCATCCTTCTGGTTCCTCCAGCCATAAATGCTAGAATCATCTTTGACAACACTCTTTTCCCATGCCCCATGTCTAGTTTAATCTATCAGTAAATCCTGTTGGATCCATTTTCTCATTTTCTTTTCTTTTTCTTTTTTTTTTTTTTTTTTTTTGAGACAGAGTCTCACTCTGTCACCCAGGCTGGAGTGCAGTGGTACGATTTCAATCTCTGCCTCCTGGGTTCCAGCGATTCTCATGCCTCAGCCTCCCGAGTAGCTGGGAGTATGGGTGCGCGCTACCATGCCCAGATAATTTTTGTATTTTTTGTAGAGATGGGGTTTTGCCATGTTAGCTAGGCTGATCTCGAACTCCTGACCTCAATTGATCCACCCACCTTGGCCTCCCAAAGTGCTGGGATTATAGGCGTGAGCCACTGCACTCGGCCACCATTTTCACTTGATCTTAGCCAAAAGGCCGAGAAGCTATCGGACCCCATTTTCAAAATAAAACCAAATATTAGCGACTTCTTTCTACCTCTACTGATGCCTCCTCCGTCTTAGCTACCAATGTCTTTCACTTGCTTTATTGCAAAAGCCTCCTAACCGTCATCCCTGCTTCTACTTTTGCCCCTCACCCCACCCCACAGAGCACCCAGAGTGCACCTATTAAAACAGAAGTCAGTTCTGTCACCCTCTGCTTAAAACCTTCCAGTGGCTCCACTCAGTAAAAGCCAATGAACTCTAAGGCCTACATGGTCTACACAATCTCTCTCCACCCCCAGTGACCTCTCGTCACATCTCCTCACCTGCCTGCCCTGGCTCACCCCATACCAGCCACCCTGGCCTCCTTGCTGTTGCTAGAACATGCCAGTCATACTCCCGCCTCTAGGCTTTGCACATACTGCTCCCTCTGCCCATAACCATCTTCCCTTAGATACCTGCAAGGCTGGCTCCCTCTCCCACCTTGTGGGGAAAAGAGAGATCAGACCATTACTGTGTCTGTGTAGAAAGAAGTAGACATAAGAGACTCCATTTTGTTCTGTACTAAGAAAAATTTTTCTGCCTTGAGATGCTATTAATCTGTAACCCTACCCCCAACCCTGTGCTCGCAGAAACATGTGCTGTGTCGACTCAAGGTTTAATGGATTTAGGGCTATGCAGGATGTGCTTTGTTAAACAAATGCTTGAAGGCAGCATGCTTCTTGAAAGTCATCATCAATCCCTAATCTCAAGTACCCAGGGACACAAAACACTGCGGAAGGCTGCAGGGACCTCTGCCTAGGAAAGCCAGATATTGTCCAAGTTCTCCCCATGTGATAGTCTGAAATATGGCCTTGTGGGAAGGGAAAGACCTGACCGTCCCCCAGCCTGATACCCGTAAAGGGTCTGTGCTGAGGAGGATTAGTAAAAGAGGAAGGCCTCTTTGCAGTTGAGGTAAGAGGAAGGCATCTGTTTCCTGCTCGTCCCTGGGCAATGGAATGTCTCGTTGTAAAACGCAATTGTATATTTCATCTACTGAGATAGGAGAAAACCGCCTTAGGGCTGGAGGTGAGACATGCTGGCGGCAATACTGCTCTTTAATGCACCGAGATGTTTATGTATGTGCACATCAAAGCACAGCACCTTTTTCTTAACCTTGTTTATGACACAGAGACATTTGTTCACACGTTTTCCTGCTGACCCTCTCCCCACTATTACCCTATTGTCCTGCCACATCCCTCTCTCCAAGATGGTAGAGATAATGATCAATAAATACTGAAGGAACTCAGAGACCGGTGTCATCGTGGGCCCTCCATATGCTGAGCGCCAGTCCCCTGGCACTCTTTCTCTATACTTTGTCTCTGTGTCTCTTTCTTTTCTCAGTCTCTCATCCCACCTGACGAGAAACACCCACAGGTGTGGAGGGGCAGGCCACCCCTTCACCACCTCACAGCTCTGCTCAAATCACTCCTCAGCAAGGCTGCCTGGCCCTCTCTGTTTAATTCAGCCACCCACCCCACCCCTTTCCTCAGACCTTCAGTACCCTTCGCCCAGCCTGACTTTTTCTTTCTTCTTCTTCTTCTTTTTTTTTCTTTGAGATGGAGTTTCACTCTTGTCGCCCAGGCTGGAGTGCAACAGCGCGGTCTCAGCTCACTGCAACCTCTGCCTCCCAGGTTCAAGCTATTCTCGTGCTTCAGCCTCCCAAGTAGCTGGGATTACAGGCACCTGCCACCACCCCCAGCTAATTTTTGTATGTTTAGTAGCGACGGGGTTTCACCATGTTGGCCAGGTTGGTCTCAAACTCCTGACCTCAGGTGATCTGCCCACCTGAGCCATGCAAGGTGCTGGGATTACAGGTGTGAGCCACCACACCTGGCCAACTTTTTCTTCTTTCCACAGGACTGACCACTTTCTAACAAAATAGGAAGCTTACATAGACATTATGTCTGCTCTTCCTTCCAGAATGTAGACTTTGAGAGGGTAGGGACCATTGTTTTTGTCACTGATGTATCCCAAGTATTTACAATGTCAGACACATCCTAGGTGCTCAGTGAGTGCTCCCTGAGTGAGTGTGTGAGCTCTGAGAGGGGAGGGTAAGTACACCCCTGTGCTGGCAGTGTTGACAGCGCAGGGGTGCGGTGGGGTGGGGAACGCAGACATGGCAACAGTGAGGTGAGGCCCCACGGAAAGTGGCTGTGCTGCCCCTCCAGCCTCAGCCCCCATTCCTCTTCCCTTATTCACAACACCCCAGTACTACTGGCCATTTTTTAATTCCTTGAGTTCTCCAAACACCTACCCACTTCAGGGCCTTTGCATATTCTATTCTCCCTGCCCAGACCATTCTTCACACCTTCACGTAGCTAATTCCTACTCTACTTTCAAGTCTCAGTTCAAATGCCATGATTGTATCTCAGTGCCTGACAAAGAGTAAGCGTCCAATAAAGGTACAGGTTTTTGGCTGGGTGCGGTGGCTCATGCCTGTAATCCTAGCACTTTGGGAGGCCGAGGCTGGTGGATCACCTGAGGTCAGGAGTTCAAGATCAGCCTGGACAACATGGTGAAACCCCGTCTCTACTAAAAATACAAAAAATTAGCCAGGTGTGGTGAAGGGCGCCTGTAATCCCAACTACTTGGGAGGCTGAGGCAGGAGAATTGCTCGAACCCGGGAGGAGGAGGTTGTGGTGAGCTGAGATCGTGCGACTGCACTCCAGCCTGGGCGACAGAGTGAGACTCTGTCTCAAAACACAAAAGATACAGGTTTTCATTACACATTTTAAAAATATATATATTGGGTCTCACTATCGCCCAGGCTGGAGTGCAGTGGTGTGATCACAGCTCACTGCAGCCTTCACCTCCCAGGATCAGGTGATCCTCCCAAGTAGCTGGGATTATAGGTGCAGGTCACCATACCTGGTTAATTTTTCTATTTGTTGTAGAGAAGGTGTTTCACCATGTTGCCCAGACTGGTCTCCAACTCCTGAGCTCAAGTGATCCTCCTGCCTCAGTCTCCCACAGTGTTGGAATTATAGGCGTGAGCCACTGAGCCCTGAAGTTTTCAACATACATTTAAAAATGTACTATTATCGGCCAGGCGCGGTGGCTCACATCTGTAATCTCAGCACTTTGGAAGACCGCGGGGGCTGGATCACCTGAGGTCAGGAGTTCGAAATCAGCCTGGGCCAACATGGTGAAACCCCGTCTCTACTAAAAATACAAAAAAAAAAAAAAAAAACTACCCGGGTGTGGTGGTGTGTGCCTGTAGTCCCAGCTACTAGGGAGGCTGAGGCAGGGGAAGGCAACAGTGAGACTCTGTCTCAAAAAAAAAAAAAAAAATGAATAAAAATAAAAATATGCTATTATCATCCCATTTCACAGATGAGAAAACTGAAGCCCAGAGAGGTTACAATTTTTGCCCAAAGAACCATAGCTAATAACTGCAGAAACAATAAATATGTTGATTAAATAAAGTGGAGTTTGAAAGCAGTGACTTTGATGGTTTCTGGGATAAAGATAGGCTTCCCTGTGGAAAAATTTGTCCTGAGGTGATTGTGTGGGCTGCCTTCAGCCATAAGATCAAGGCTTGCTCCCTCCATGAAGCCACATGAGGTTTGGAGGTCTGTTTAATACAACTCTTAATCAAAGCGGAACTCACTCCACAATACTCCAGTCTCTGCTAACATACTGGGAAGCTCATTAAAACAAAAAAGCCCTCTCCTTCAAAAAATACAGACATTTCACAGAAGAGATGCAAATGGTTAAAACAATCCGTAAAGAGATGTCTGACGTCACTCATCATCGAAGAAATGCAATGCAACGAGAAGGTATGTTGAGGCTGGGTGCATTGGCTCACGCCTATAATGCCAGCCCTTTGGGAGACCGAGGCGGGTGGATCACCTGAGGCAGGAGTTCGAGACCAGCCTGGACAACATGGTGAAACCCCGTCTCTACTAAAAATACAAAAATTAGCCGGGTGTGGTGGCGCACACCTGTAATCCCAGCTACTCGGGAGATGAGGCAGGAGAATCACTTGAACCCAGGAGGCGGAGCTTGCAGTGAGCCAAGATGGCGTCACTGCACTCCAGCCTGGGCAACAAGAGCCAGACTCCGTCTCAAAAAAAAAAAGAAGGTATGTTGAGTTTTTCAGTTTAGCAGAATAAATTTTTTTTTTTTTTGAGACAGGGTCTCGCTGTGTCACCCAGGCTGGAGCCACGGGATATATTTATATATTTAAAATATATTTATAATATTTATATAGTATGTAATACAAAAATACTATATATATTCCATATAAATATTACATATAGTACATAGATAAAATGTATCTACCGCTTGCCTAGCTCTGTGAGGTACACTTCTTGGCCCTTCCCCACAGCTCCGACATATTCTCCCAAGCCTTCAAGGTCCTTCAATATTGTTATTAGAGGCTGGGCACGGTGGCTCACGCCTGTAATCCCAGCACTTTGGGAGGCCGAGGCAGGTGGATCACGAGGTCAGAAAATCCAGACCACCCTAGTCAACACGGTAAAACCCCGTCTCTACTAATACACACACACAAAAAATTTGTCGGGCGTGGTGGCACGCGCCTGTAGTCCCAGCTACTTGGGAGGCTGAGGCAGAATAGCTTGAACCTGGGAGGCAGAGGTTGCGGTCAGCCGAGATTGCGCCACTGCACTCCAGCCTTGGCTACAGAACAAGATTCGGTCGAAATATATACATGTATATTGTTATTAGAGGGCTATGTGGAAGTAGCTATTAAACACGAGGGCTTTGAAGCTAGAATTCCAAACCCTTCTGCAAAGGTGTGCTCTCAGTTAACATCCTTTATCTGTAAGAGGGAAATCAAAATTATTTGATAATGTCTTGAGGAGTAAATGAAGCAATGCATATAAACTGTTTAGCCCAGACCGGTCTGAAAATACATATTGAATAATTTATTCTTATTTTGCCCATTATATAATATGCCAAAGTAAGTGATTACGGTGTGTTTTCCCCGACTATGTTGCCTAGGCTGGCCTCGAACTACTTGGACGAAGCGATCCTCAGCCTCCTGAGTAACTGGGACCACAGGCCGGCGCCACCCTAGCTTTAATTAAGGCCGTTTTGTTGTTGTTATTCCCCTGCTCCACACAAGGGGCGCTGCCGCTCCAAGGCTGCCAGGGCGGGAGTCAGGATGGCGGAAGTCTGTCTAGCCACGACCACCGCCATCATGGAATACAGGCCCACCTCACCCCGCGGGTGTAGCCGCTTCGTACTGTCGCTTAGGCCGACCCGCTCGCAGCGACAACCAGCCCTCTACCTCTTTTCGCTCTCCCTTAAGTAATAAACCGTCTTTCCTTATGACGAGTCTTAAACTCTTTGGGAGGAATAATGCCGGCGTCTTCCGGAACCCGACCTCGCCCCGTGACCTCAGAGGTATACTTCCGGGACACGGAAGTGACCCCCGTCGCTCCGCCCCCTCCCACTCTCTCTTTCCGGTGTGGAGTCTGGAGACGACGTGCAGGTAGGAGGCCCGGGCGCGACAATCGGGGGGCATCCTGCGGCGAGGGGACCCTGTGGGGCTTGGGACGAGAGACGGGGGTCTTTCCGTGGGAACCGAGCTAGGTGCCGGGCAAGAGACGCGCGGCTGGCCCACCTGGATCCTGGCCAACTCGGGATTGAGTTCGTTCCTGGTCTCAGAAGGCCCGTTTTGCTTTCAGGGAGGAGCTTGTGAAGTAAGGGTGAGTGCGGGTCCAGCCTTTTAAGGCCTCGGCCCCGCAATACGGCCACGGCCACGGCCGCGTTTGAGCTGCACAGCGTAGTTGAGGGAACCCGGGACAGACGTGGGCTCCCGCCTCTACCTCGCCAAACTTTTTTCTTGGTGATCGCAGGCCCACGCCTAATCTCGTTTGTTTCCTCGTTTGCAAAATAGGAATAACAATAGCACCGATCCCATGGGTTTGTAGTGATCATTCAAAGAAGGAAAGCAGGGAAAACTCTCGCACTATGTTGGATGCTTCTAAATCTGGGCGATTCTTTCCGTTGCTGAGTCGGGCACGTTGCAAGTTCTGGGCGCTCAGGGCCCAGCACCAATGTTTGCTGTGCGCTTGCCCTGCGTTTATATACTCCTGATGACCACTCTGCTCGTTACTTTAGGGGATGTTAGGAACGGAGAAACTGCAAATTGGCATTTACTGAATGGCCATCATGCCGAAACATACTCATGCTTACGTATTTGAGATATGCTGGAGCCTTTCTATGCTTCTCGAGGCAGAACTTTGGGCTTCTCTCCTGTGGCGCGTTCCTTACAATAGTTAACGCACTGGGTCGTGCTCATTGGTCTGATTTGAAGATAGGAACATTTAACTTCGTACACCCAAGACTTACACTTGAAGTACTTACTGTGGTCACACACTTAACTAAAGTTTATATAGGGAAGGCAGAGGAGAGATCTAGGAACACCTGAGACAGACTAGGGTAGTTATTTGTGGTGTAGAGGCATCTTGGCAGGAGGCAGAGAGTGCTGGGCTGGGAGTCAGGACACGTTGTTTCTATGTTTGGTTTTGCCACTGTCTTTACTGTGACCATAGGCTGAGACACTCTCTATCTTCACCATCTGCAGGATATCGATTAGTGTTAGTGTCTTCTGAAAATGTTAAATTGTTCTGAACACCAGGAGGTTCAGAAGGCCTGGGGCTTTAGGCCGGAAGCAGTCTTATCCTAGCCTTCCACTTTCTCATTCATTCTCACCCGCCTTCCTCCTGTCAGTTTCTCTCTCCCTTAGATCTTGTGACAGTATGATTGCAATTATTATGAAGGTCATAATAGGTTAGAGTTATTTAGTCTCAGGACCCATCAGATTTCTGAGATGGGTCTTTTCCATTAGCCTGCCTTTTGGATATATTTTAGTGCCTTTGATATTTGATGTTGGTGACAAAGATTTAGTTCTAAATAGTTGTGGGAGTCAAATCAGTTGCATTTTTGAACATTTTGAAGGGATCAGGTGGAGCACAGGAAAACAGGAGATGAGAGGCTTGAGGGCTGTGTTGGTAAGGGTCCCTTGAATTCTAAGCTGAGGAGTTCATGCAGGAATCAAGCAGCTCCCTCGCCCCATGAAGGGTGTTAGGAATGGTACCAGTACATGGGTAGCTGTTGGTCTTGGGTTTCTTCTTGCCTTTTGGGGTGCAGCCTTCAGGCATCTGCTGCTAGATCCCTAGGCTTCTATCTTGTAGGTGCTGTGAGCTGAGCTGTTGGTAGTTTCTGGGGAAAGGATACTTCTCATGGTACTTTGCCATGTGGCCACAGTTGATACCCCCCCAAGTGCAAGGAGAAAGAAGTTTTAGTGAGGCAGAAATGAGAGAATACAGTAGAGTATTGGATGGAAGAAGACAGGGACATGAAGCAGGACTAGGGTTTCATTTAATAGCCAGGGGAAAGGGATTCTGGAAATGTTTTGTCTGTTAACCTTGAGTTTCTTTTCCTTCCACTCAGAAATGGCACCTCGAAAGGGGAAGGAAAAGAAGGAAGAACAGGTCATCAGCCTCGGACCTCAGGTGGCTGAAGGAGAGAATGTATTTGGTGTCTGCCATATCTTTGCATCCTTCAATGACACTTTTGTCCATGTCACTGATCTTTCTGGCAAGTGAGTACCTGGGTGGAGAGGCATCCAGCTGGCAAAAGGCTGAGGAAGGCAATGGCTGGGACGGGCTAGCAGTTCAGGGGATTCTCTCTAAAGAAATGCTGTTTTGTCCAGGTAAGAAAATGTGCTTGTCCATTTAGCCCACAAATATTGTGATTTCCCAGGGGTTACAAGAGAGGAGACACATTCTTCGTCCTTACAGCGTGATGGTCATTGAATCCTTGGTTTCTTGGGAATTATCTTCTTTCCCTAGTTCCCTTTGCAGGAGCAGCAGTGGACTGCAAGTGGGCTCTGGGTGCGGGTTCGACGGCCATTTAGCAAGTTGTGACTTGTGTGAAATCACTCAGATTCTGAGTTTTGGTTTCCTCATATGTAAAATTAGGACAGTAATGTCTACCTTGTGGAGTAATGGTAAGGATTAAATGCAAAAGTAGATATATAAAATGTTAATACTGAGTATAGCTATATTGGGCCATTCAACCCCACTGGACTGAACTCCATGAGGGCAGAGCCCATGACCATCATCCTCCACCATGACTGAGCTGTGTTGCTCTTCACTCATTAGGATATCGTAAGCACTCCTTGTTGGACGAGGAAGAAATGACCCTGTGCTTTTGTCCCCAGGGAAACCATCTGCCGTGTGACTGGTGGGATGAAGGTAAAGGCAGACCGAGATGAATCCTCACCATATGCTGCTATGTTGGCTGCCCAGGATGTGGCCCAGAGGTGCAAGGAGCTGGGTATCACCGCCCTACACATCAAACTCCGGGCCACAGGAGGAAATAGGTACGAGTCGCAGAGGGGATGGCTGGGTGGTAGAAAACCTGCTGGGCTTGGGTGCTGGAGCACCTGGATTTGAGGTTTGGGTTTTTTGTTGTGACCTTGAACAAGATATTTTAGGCATATACATACTTAATAATTGGCTCCTGTGTACACCCCCCAGCAGCTCAGTGTTGAGCACCCACTGTATACTAGGAGCTGTGTTTCAGGTACTAGAAGAGAGTGATGGGGAAACAGACATGGTCTCTACCCTCCTTGTGTGGGACCGAGGCTGGTGGGAGAGTCAGACTTTAAACAACAGAGCACCAGGGAGTATGTGGTTTTCATTTGTGACAAATGCCAGGAAGCACAAGTAAGGAGTTGGTGATAAAGTGTAATTTAAACTAGGGTCTAAATGATAAGTCCGGAGTCCTTCCAGTGAAATAAGGACAGGAGGAGGGTATTCCAGCTAGAGACAACTGCAGGGAAAGGTCTTGAGGTGGGGGTGAACCTGGGCACCTGTGAAGGAAAGAGTGGCATGAGGTGCAGTCAGAGGGGAAGAGGTGGAGTCCTGTAGGAGAGGGGAAGGACCTGGATTTGAGTGATGGGGGCATGAAAGCTGAAATAGATGACTGTTGCGTGAACAAGCCAGACAGTGGTCAGAACATAACAACAAACCATAGTGGCCCCCTCAGCCTAAAATATTTACTGTCTGGCTTTTTTTTTTTTCCTCTTTTTTGAGACAGGGTCTCACTCTCACCCAGGCTGGAGTGCAGTGGCGCTATCTCAGCTTACTGCAGTCTCTGGCTTTCAGGCTCTAGCAGTCCTCCCACCTCAGCCTCCCGAGTAGCTGGGACTGCTAGTAGTAGTGCCACCACGCCTGGCTAAATTGTGTATTTTTGTAGAGATGGGGTTTCACCATGTTGCTCAGGCTGGTCTTGAACTCCTGAGCTGAAGCAGTCCGCCCTGCCTTAGCCTCCCAAGGTGCTGAGATTATGGGTGTGAACCACTGTGTACAGCCCTGTCTGGCTCTTTACAGAAAGTTTGCAGACCTCTGAACTAGCGGGGTGTTGGGATCTTAGAAAGGAGATCTTCCATTGACTTGGCCAAAGGCTCTTCTTAACTTAAACCTTCATTTTCTAGGACCAAGACCCCTGGACCTGGGGCCCAGTCGGCCCTCAGAGCCCTTGCCCGCTCGGGTATGAAGATCGGGCGGATTGGTAAGTGCCCCCCTCTAGCTAATGCTTGGGTTTATTTTGAAGCATTGGCCCCAAAAAGCACGTGCTGTGCCCAGTGGATGTGCAGCGGCTGGTCTGGTCACTTTTGGCAGTTAAGTTTGTTAAGGGAGGCTGCAAGAGGCACCTTGTGACTTAAAAATCTCTCCCTGAATATCTCTGTCACCTTGATATGAATGTCCTGTTTCATTTGTGAATCTCTGTCCTACACTGCCTGGTGCAGGTAAAACTGACAAGAGATGAATTGTCCTTTCCTCCATTCTTGAGGTCATTGCTATTAGCATTTTGTGTGTACCATCTCCTGCATTGTAGGATGTTCAGCATTTTTGGTTTCCGCCTACTAAATATCAGTTGGGCATGCCAGTCGTGTGACAGCCAAAAATGAAGTGGGGGGTACCAGCTTCTGTTATTAATACCCTCAGGCCTGTGATCTCCTGGCTCCTTACAGCTCTTAGGAAGGGAACAGTAGTCTTTCCCTGCACATTGTTCTGTGCAGTTAGTAGCGACATACACTGACGCCCCAGGCCAAAGTTCCTACTGTGTCCTACTTGAAGGATGATTTTGTTTTCTTGAGACAGGGTCTGGCTCTGTTGCGTGGGCTGGAATTCAGTGGCACAATCTCAGCTCACTGTAAATTTCGCCTCGTGGGCGGATCTGTCCAAAGGATCCTCCCACCTGCATCTACTGAGTAGCTGGGACAACAGTGTGTGCCACACCGGGCTTTTTTTTTTTGTAGCGGGGAGTTTCACCATGTTGCCCAGGTTGGTCCCAAACTCCTGGCCTCAGGCGTTCCACCAGCCTCAGTCTCCCAAAGCCCAAAGTGCTAGGATTACAGGCATGAGCCACCGCGCCCAGCCTTAAAAGATTTTTTCAGACTTTTTTTCAGTGTCTTTTTACTTAATGAAAACGAGACAGTTGCAGTTACCCTGTCTAAAAGGGTTTTTTCCTCTAGAGAAGACGGTGGGCTAGATGTCAGAACCTGGATTTGTCCTGTGCCTCTGACATCTTGCGCACAGCTCAGCCTGTTTCCCTTTCTGGAAAGTGAGTTAAGACCACGTCAGGAAATTCGAGGAACTGGCAGATGGGGCCACTTCATGTTCACATCCATCTGTTAGGTACTGGGGAGTCATTTGGGGAGCAGCAGGATCTGTTGCTGATTGGTTAGGCCATTGGTCTAGGGAGTCCTGGGGGCCCTTCCCATCCAGCTCCAGGCAATGACGCTTTCTCTTCCTCCCCACAGAGGATGTCACCCCCATCCCCTCTGACAGCACTCGCAGGAAGGGGGGTCGCCGTGGTCGCCGTCTGTGAACAAGATTCCTCAAAATATTTTCTGTTAATAAATTGCCTTCATGTAAACTGTTTCAACTCCAGCCTTCTCTCCTTCATCAGGGGCTACTCAGGCATTTGATTTCTTCCTCCTATTTGGCTTCTTGGGAGAAAGGAGCCTGAGGAGAGCTGAGATCCTGGTGCTGCATTTGGGGTCTTTTCCATGCTACTTGCGGCATTAAGTTGCCTTGGTCATCTAAAGCAGACCAAGGCGTTGGAGACCTCGTTTTGAGTGGAGATGCTGGTTCTAAATATGGACCAATTCTTAAAGAGCCAGAGTGGGAACTGTTGATCCAAGTGTAGCCTGAAGCGAAAGAGGAGCCTTCCAGACCCATGCCATATATAAACACACGTGGGTGTGCATTCTCCCCCCACACCTTCTGTGCAAAGCTGGGAGCTCACTCCACTGCGTCTTGCTTTTTTTCACTTGGCAGATCTTGGAGATTGTTCCACATCAGTACATAAAGTACATAAAGATTGTCACCCCACAAATACACACCAAGTCCTATTTTCATCAGCGATAAAAAAGAAAAGTTCTTGCTTTCCGGAAGCTTGCATGCGGCTCTGAGTACCCAGTGACACCAGATGGTACTCAGCGTTTTGCAAGGGATTACCACAAGGCCCCGTGATGGTGCCTGCCATGGTTAGGACAGGCTGGTGGCTGGGTAGGGTTAGTGAGACCCAGTGGAGAGGATGCTGTGTGTCACAGGCTGGAGAGGTGAGACCATTGAGGTAGTCAGTTGTAGAGGAAAGAAACCAGCAAGAGGGGAAAATCTGTTGGGATGCTGCTTTTAGCCTTTGATGGCGTGTTCCAGGCAGAGGGAATAAGCAAATAAATGGGTCCTGAGACAAGGGGTTACTGTGATGAGGCGGCGTTGGTTACATGCCAAACCTTGCTAGGGATTTTAATAACAACATTGAATCTTAACCTGATGAAATAACAGTACTCCTGGGGAGGCGGGAGGGATAGCATTAGGAGATATACCTAATGCTAAATGACGAGTTAATGGGTGCAGCACACCAACATGGCACATGTATACATATGTAACAAACCTGCACGTTGTGCACATGTACCCTAAAACTTAAAGTATAATAAAAAAAAAAAGCTTGCAAAAAAAATATAACAGTACTCCTTAAATTGTTAAAAGTCATGAAAGTCAAGGACAGGAGATTAAGGAGGCGTGAAAACTAAATGCCCATTGTGGTATCCTGGATTGGATTCTGGAACCAGAATAGGGTATTAGTATAAAAACTAGTGAAATAGGATAAAGGCAGGGCACAGTGGTTCACGCCTATAATCCCAACACTTTGGGAAGCCGAGACAGGAGGACGGATTGAGCCCAGGAGTTTGAGACCAGCCTGGGCAACACAGGGAGACCCCGTCTCTACAAAAAATAAAAAATTAGCTGGGCATGGTGGCACACGTCTGTACTGCCAGCTACTTGGGAGGCTGAGGTGGGAGAATTGCCTGAGCCTGGGAAGTGGAGGCCGCAGTGAGCTGTGATTGCATCACTACATTCAGCCTGGGTCACAGAGCAAGATCCTATCTCAAAAACTAAATAAGTAAATAATAAATTAAAAAATATGAATAAAGTCTGGAGTTAAAGTCTGGAATAAAGCTAGTAGTAATGTACCAGTGGTTTCCTACTTTTGGCAAATGTATCATGGCGATGTAAGATGGTAACAGGTGAAACCGGGTGAGTGGCACACAGAAACTGTATCTTTGCAACTTTTTGGTAAACTTAAAATTATTCCAAAGTCAAATTATTAGGGAAAAAAAATGAGGGGTGCTTTTATACTGTCAGTCTGGCAGTCTAAGGCAGGATGTGGTGCACAGACCCTCAGGAGGCAGACACACCTGGAGGAAAATCCTATTCCACAGCTTCAGACCGTTCAACCTTAGGCAAAGTACTTAACCTCTCAGCCGTTTAGTGGAAACTCCTGTGATGATGGCTGCCTCAAATGGAATCACACAAGATCAAAGTGTTTAGCGCAGTGCCTGGCACTGAAGAAGCTGCTGCTATTCTTACACTGGTGCAGGTCTTGTGCCAAGCAGCATAAAGGACAGCTGGCTGGAATCGTGGTAGAAAAATGCTGCCAGTCGCCGGAGCATTCTTTTTATTTCCTGTGGTGAGACTGTAACTTGTCCTGCTCTTTCCTGGTAACCAGGGATGCAATCAGCCGGGTCTTTGAAAGCAGTTCCTTTCGGGGGTTTTGCCTGAAAGGAGAGCCAAGTTGTGGTGTGGCTCAGGTGGGAACGTAGCAGCCTATTGACCGCAGAGGCGGCTGGGCTGCTGCCCACCTGAGACTGCAGCCTGCAGCAGAGGCGCCTGAAGCTGCGACTGCAGCCCCAACCAGACCTCTAGAGACAGTCGCTGCCCCTCTCCCCTGCTCCCCTTCTGGCCGCCTTCCCATGCCAAGGTTTCCTTCCTAGCGTTTCCCAGTCTTCCCTCTGGCCTCTGCCTATCTCTAGACCACATTGCAACATGCCATCTAAAACTAACTGGATTCTGTCACTCCCTGCTGTTTTCTTTGAGACGGAGTTTCGCTCTGTCACCCAGGGTGGAGTGCAATGGCATGATCTCAGGCTCACTGCAATCTCTGCCTCCTGGGTTGGAGAGATTCTCCTGCCTCAGCCTCCCAAGTGGCTGGGATTACAGGTGCCCGCCACCATGCCTGGCTCATTTTTGTAGAGTTTCACCATATTGGCCAGGCAGGTCTCAAACTCCTAACCTCAGGTGATCCGCCTGCCTCGGCTTCCCAAAGTGCTGGGGTTACAGGCATGAGCCGCCACGCCTGGCCCTCCCCTGCTGTTTTATCACTGCCCTCCCTGTTGTCTTTAGAATAGGATCCAATCTCCTCAGTGAATCTCCTGTGTTTTAGCTGGCCCCACCCCATCCTCCGCCCTCCTCTCACTCTGCCCAAGCCAAGCCTGTTTCCCTCAGTTCTCCCCTCCTCCATGCCTTCTCATGCTTTCAGCCTCTCCTCTGTGTCTTCCTTCCCAGCTTGGCTCATGGAGCATCTACTCTCCCCAACTTGGCCTCACTATCATCTGCTTACCTGTTAGAATCTGTTTTGTTTTTTTTTGTTGTTGTTTTTGAGACTGGGTCTCACTCTGTTGCCCAGGCTGGAGTGCAGTGGCACAATCACGGCTCACTGCAGCCTTGACCTCCTGGGTTCAAGTGATCCTCCTCCGCCTCAGCCTCCTGAGTAGCTGGGACTACAAGTGTGCATCACCACACCCACCTATTTTTAAATTTTTTGTAGAGACTGGGTCTCCCTGTGCCGCCCAGGCTGGTCTCGAACTCCTGGACTCAAGTGACCCTCCTGCCTTGGCCTCCCAAAGTGCTGGGATTTACAGGCATGAGCCACCGTGCCTGGCCTGGAATCAATTTTTCATCACTGTCTCAAAAGTATCTTCCTGGAGGCTAGGCGCAGTGGCTGACACCTGTAATTCCAGCACTTTGGGAGGCCGAGGCGGGTGGATCACCTGACGTCAGAAGTTTGAGATCAAAAGGTATCTTCCTGGATGCCTTCAAGGTACCTCTCCACTGAATTCTCATAACACCTCTATTCCCCCATGGTACCACTGGTCACCCTCTATCACAACAGCCTACTCACCCCCGCACCGCCAAAGTCTATGAGCCCTGAGAGGGAAGGGAGTATGTCTTGTTCAATGTCTGCCACATCAGCACCCAGCCTGCTGAGGCAGAAGAATCGCTTGAACCCGGGAGGCGGAGGTTGCAGTGAGCCGAGATCATGCCATTGCACTCCAGCCTGGGCAAACGAGCAAAACTCCATCTAAAAAAAAAAAAAGAAGAAGAAAGGAAAAAAGAAAAAACCGAATGGAAAGCTGCAGGCGAAGAATGGTGGAGAATCCTGGAGAGCGGCTGGGAGGTTATACCTAGGTTCTATCACTCCCCATCCCCAACCCCAAACAAAGTGAGGGAGCTGAACTTGACATTCACATTAAGCCCTAAATACTCTGATTTCTGGGCTAGCACGAGCCCAGGTAGGAGTGTCCTTGAGCTCTTCGCAGAAGTTAAAGCACATCCTCTCTGAGTAAAGCCCTTGACAACGGAATCCCTCCAGTTTCCCACACATTAGGTAAAACCAAATATGGGCCCACTCCCTGCCCTCTCAGAGCTCATAGAAAAAAATCAACACACACGCAAATAAACCACCAGAATGAGAGGCAGCAGAAACAACAAACAGATTTAGATACCCAAAAGACTTCTGATGATATTAGAATTAGAATATAACTACATATGAAATGTTGAAAGAAATATGCAATGGAACAAAAAGAGTGGACAAAACCTATTAAAAAAATCATGTATATTCAAAATGGAACCAGAGAAAACCCTCAGAAAGAAAAACACGTATGATCAATGAAATGAAATGCTCAGTGGATAGGTTAAATGGCAGATTAGAGCCAGCTGCAAGAAGAGTTACTGGCCAGGTGAAGTGGCTCACGCCTGTAATCTCAGCACTTTGGGAGGCCGAGGGGGGCGGATCACGAGGTCAGGAGTTTGAGACCAGCCTAACCAACATGGTGAAACCCCATCTCTGCTAAAAATACAAAAATTAGCTGGGCCTGGTGGCGCGTGCCTATAGTCCCAGCTACTCAGGAGGCTGAGGTAGGAGAATCGCTCAAACCCGGGAGGTGGAGGTTGCAGTGAGCCAAGATCGTGCTATTGCACTCCAGCCTGGGTGACAGAGCAAGACTCTGTCTCAAAAAAAAAAAAAAAAAGTTACTGAACTGCAAAATAAATCTGAAGAAATTACAAAACAGAGAAGATTCCAAGAGGATTTGGAACTGAAGACAATTCTGCCTGAGGGAGCACCGGCCTTGCCAGCCCCTCTGGTGCCCAGTGAGCCTCCATTCACCTGGGGGACCTTGCAGTGACCCCTGTTGTCCAGAGAGGGCACTAGCAAGGCCATCCTCAATCTCTTGGTGCAGGATCAGGAAAACCTTTCCCAAGATGTGGCTGCAAAGGAGGGTTATTTACTTTAAATGGGCCAAAAAGGAAAACGTATAAGGGATTTCAAATAGGTAAAGTTCTGTCTCAGGGAAGAGGCAGCAGTGTCGTTATGTGTGGTCCTACGATGGTAGAAGTTGGCTAGGGAAGGAGTTGTAGAGAGGTAGACTTGACATCAAATAAACAGGGGTCTCCTTCCTTCCTTCCTTCCTTCCTTCCTTCCTTCCTTCCTTTCTTCCTTCCTTCTTTTCTTTTTCTTTCTTCCCTTCTTTATTTATGTTTATTTTTTTTGAAGACAAGACCTCTGCCCAGACTGGAGTGCAGTAGTGTGATTGTAGCTCACTGCAGCCTCCACCTCCCAGGGTCAAGCAGTCCTCCCACCTCAGCCTGCTGAGTAGCTGGGACTACAGGTGTGCATCACCATTCCCAACTAATTTTTTCCCCACTTTTTGTAGAGATAGGGTCTCACAATGTTGCCCAGGCTGGTCTCGAACTCCTGGGGTCAAGCAATCATCCCACTTTGGCTTCCCAAAGTACTGGGATTACAGTTGTGAGCCACTATCCCTGGCCTAAAGAGGAGTTTTTTATTTTTATTTTTATTTTTTTGAGACAGAGTCTTGCTCTTGTTGCCCAGGTTGGAGTGCAATGGCACCATCTCTGCTCACTGCAACCTCCGCCTCCCAGGTTCAAGCAATTCTCCTGCCGCAGCCTCCTGAGTAGCTGGGATTAACAGGCACCTGACACCACACCCGACTAATTTTTGTATTTTTAGTAGAGATGAGGTTTCATTATATTGGCCAGGCTGGTCTCGAATTCCTGACCTCAGGTGATCTGCCTGCCTCGGCCTTCCAAAGTGCTGGGATTACAGGCGTGAGCCCTGCGCCTGGCCTAAAAAGGAGTTTTCTAAAAGAGCTGCTCAGAGATTTAAACTGCTTCATGAGATAGTGATCTCTCCATCACTGGAGGCATACACGTGTAAAAGACTTCCAAAGGCTAGTTATATCAGAAACACATAAAAGAGAAAGGTGCAAGCAGTGAAATTCAAATGCTCCCAAACCAAACATACCATCTCTCTTCTCCCTTACTGAAAACAACAATAAAACCCACTAGAATTAGCACCAAAGAAATACAACGTAAGCCACAAAAGTGAACCACATATGTAATTTCAAATTTTCTAGTAGCCATATTAATAAAGTACCAAAAAGTGACATTAATTTTAATAATATATTTCATTTAACCCAATATGTCCAAAATATTTTCACTTCAACATATAATCAAAATAAAAATTATTAATAAGATGTTTTACTGTTTTTTTGTGGTAAGTTTGAGATTCATTGTACATTTACACTTATAGCACACTTCCATTTGGACTTGCCACATTTCAAGGACTCAACCACCATGTGGCAGAGATAATTGTGTCCCAGTATGCTTTCTCTTCATCTTCTATTGGAAATAGGAATCTCAATTTTTAGCTGCGTGTATGGCTGATCAGAATGAAGATGACATTTTATGGAGGATGGTCTGAGCAATATTAAAATAGAAAAAAAAGAAGAAACATAGAATTAAGAGAAACAAGGAATAAACAGTACAGTTTCCAGCCCCCTCCCAGGCAGCTAAGTGTCACTCACACAACTAAGTTGTGGCCAGTGAGAAGTAAGCAGAGTCATGAATGCAGTCTACAGTCTACAGGGAGAGTCTTGAAGAGGAGATGGCATGACCTTCTTCTCTTTCCTCTAGATACTCACTTTTAGATCTCTGCTGGAAACTGTCGCCTTATCAGACAAACTTCCCTGACATCACAGATCCATTAGCATCCCTCACCTCTGCCCATCATTCTCAAGCTATTTATCCATGTATGCGGCCAAATGTGTAGATCTTAGCCCAACTTGGTATTAACATCTATATCACCAAGTCAGTGGTTCTCAAACAAGTATGCATCAGATTCAGATTGCTGGGCTCCCACCCCGAGTTTCTGATTCAGTAGATCTGGGATGGAGGCCTGAATATCTGCCTGCCTGCCTGCCTGCCTGCCTGCCTGCCTTCCCTTCCTCCCTGCCTTCTTCCTTCTTTTCTTTCTTTCCTTTCTTTCTCTTTTCTTTCTTTCTTTTTCTTTCTTTCTTTCCTTTTTCTTTTTCTTTCCTTCTTTCTTTCTCCTTCCTTCCTTCCCTCCCTGCCTGCCTCTTTCCTTCCCTCCCTCCTTCCTTCCTTTCTTTTCTTTCTTTTTCTTTCTTTCTTTCTTTCTTTCTTTCTTTCTTTCTTTCTTTCTTTCTTTCTTTTTTCTCTTTCTTTCTTTCTTTCTCTTCCTTCCTTCCTTCCTTCCTTCCTTCCTTCCTTCCTTCCTTCCTTCCATCTTTCTTTCTTTTTCTTTATTTAGAGGTGGGGTCTTGCTATGTTGCCCTCACTGGTCTTGAACTCCAGGGCTCAATTGATTACCCAACCCAGCCTCCAAAATGCCGGGATTATAGGCATGAGCCACCGCACCCGGTCTGAAGATTTGTATTTCTAAGTTCCCAAGTAGTGCTGATGTTGATGGTTCAGAGACCACATTTTGAGAACCACTGGGCTTGGTGACTACTGGACTTTTCCGTTCAGGTCACTGCTGTCCCAGCACCTGAGACAATGCGTACCTGGTATCATATAAATATTTATGACTCATATTACAAGTATTACCTCATTCAGTCGCTTTGAGGTAAGTACTGTTATTATCAAAATTTAACATGTGAGGAAACTGAGGGTCAGAGAGGTTAAGTGACTCGTCCAGGGGCACACAGCTGGAAAGGGGCAGGAGCAAGGATTCAAACTTACATACGCTTGTCTATAACCACAGACCGTGCCCTTAATCGCCACACTCTTTCACTTCTAGCAGGCTGGGGCTCAGTGCAATCAGGCTACCAAGGAAGTCGAGGAGGAGGAGGACCCGCCCTGTCTCAGCATCTCTTCAGAGGGCTGGGAAGTACACGGTAGCAGAGTCCTGCCCCTGAAGGGAGCCCCGTTGCCGTGGGAGCTTACATCAGTCATATATAGGTGGCCACCAGGTGGCAGCATTGTTCTGACAGGAAGCCGCGTGCTGCCTTGCTGTCTTAGTTCTGATCTGGGTTCTGCCACCCCTGGTTCAGTGGCCCTCAGCCTATCCATTTCTTATGTGCCTCCGTTTCCTCATCTTTACAAAAAGGAGATTGCATCTCTGTGATCTCTGAAGAGCCCTTGCACCTCAGATGCCATGTAAAAGAGAAAGGTGCAGCCAGTGGAATTCAAATGCTCCCAAACCAAACCAGATCTCCTCCCCCCCACTGAAAACAACAATAAAACCCACTAGAATTAGCACCAAAGAAATATGATGCAAGCCACAGAAGTGAGCCACAGGTGTAATTTCAAATTTTCCAGTAGCCACACTGATAAAGTATCACAAAATGACATTAATTTTAATAATATATTTCATGTAACCCAATATGTTCAAAATATTTTCATTCCAACATATAATCAATATAAAAATTATTAAGATGTTTTACTTTTTTTGTGTGAAGTTTGAGATCCATTGTACTTTTTTTTTTTGAGACGGAGTCTCTCTGTCACTCAGGCTGGAGTGCAGTGGCACAATCTTGTCTCACTGCAACCTCTACCTCCCGGGTTCAAGCAATTCTCCTGTCTCAGCCTCCCAAGTAGCTGGGATTACAGGCACCCACCACCACACCTGGCTAATTTTTGTATTTTTAGTAGAGACAGGGTTTCACCATGTTGGTCAGGCTGGTCTTGAACTCCTGAACTCAGGTGATCCACCCGCCTCAGCCTCTCAAAGTGCTGGGATTACAGGCCTGAGCCACTGAGCCCGGCTGGTCCCTTATATATTTCCACTTATAGCACACTTCCATTTGGACTAGCCACATTTCAAGGGCTCAACCACCATGTGTAGCTAGTGGCTGCCATGTTAGACAGCACAGCCTTAGATATTAATGCCAAACATTTATTGAGGTAGGTACTATGCCGAGTGTTTTACATGCATTCTCTTTTTTTTTTTTTTTTTTTCCGAGACAGAGTTTCGCTCTGTCACCCAGGCTGGAGTGCAATGGCACTATCTTGGTTCACTGCAACCTTCGCCTCCCGGGTTCAAGCGAGATTCTCCCCTTCAGCCTCCCGAGTAGCGAGGAGTACAGGCACCTGCTATCATGCTGGCTAGTTTTTTGCATTTTTAGTAGAGACGGGGTTTCACCATATTGGCCAGGCTGGTCTCGAACTCCTGACCTCATGATCCACCTGCCTCGGCCTCCCAAAGTGCTGGGATTACAGGTGTGAGCCACTGCGCCTGGCTGCATTCTCTTAATCAATCTTCACAACATGCTATGAAGCAGGCAAGATTATTATTATTATTAGTCCTGTTTTGCAGATGAGAAAACTGAGGCTTGCTTAGGGAGACTAAGTGCCTCAGCCAAGATCACACAGCAAGTAAGTGGAGGAGTCTGGATTTGAACTTAGCTCTGCCTGGCTCCGGAGTCCGGGCCCTTCATCATGACATCATCCTGCCCTGATGGCAGATGCTTAGGGTATGCTGTCAGAGAGGCCTACCGACAGGGATTCCAAATCCAAGTAATGCAAATTCCTGGGAGTAAACAATCAGGCCTGTCAGGGCAGGAGGGGAGGCCCTGAAGCTACATTCTCCCACCCGCCGCAGTTGTGTGTCTGGCAAAGTTGAGCTTGCCTGGCAAACAACCAATGACTCTGACAAGAAGAAACCATGATCTTGGGGAAATTATGTTTGCATGATGAAAAATGGAACTTGCAAAAAGAAAATCTGGCATCAAGTGGCCGGGTGCAGTGGCTCAAGCCTGTAATCCCAGCACTTTGGGTGGCCAAGGCAGGCGGATCACTTGAGGTCATGAGTTCAAGACCAGCCTGGCCAACATGGTGAAGCCCTGTCTCTACTAAAAAAAAAAAAAAAAAAAAAAAAATTAGCCAGGTGTGGTGGCAGTCATCTGTAATCCCAGCTACTTAGGAGGTTGAGGCAGGAGAATTGCTTAAAGCCAGGAGGTGGAGATTACAGTGAGCCGAGATCATGACACTGCACTCTAGCCTGGGCGACAGAGGGAGACTCCATCTCAAAAAAAAAAAACAAAATAAAACCAAAAACTCTGGCATCAGGAGAAAATTAAAATTGAGAAATGGACTAGGGTGGCTCACGCCTGTAGTCCCAACACTTTGGAAGGCCAAGGTGGGCGGATCACTTGAGCCTAGGAGTTCGAGGCCAGCCATGGGGAGACTCTGTCTCTACAAAAATACCAAAATTACCCAGGCATTGTGGTGTGAACCTGTTGTTCCAACTACTCAAGAGGCTGAGGTGGGAGGATGGCTTGAGTCCAGGAGGCAGAGGTTGCAGTAAGCTGAGATGGAATCACTACACTCCAGCCTGGGTGATGGAGCAAGACTCTGTCTCAAAAAAGAAAAAGAAAAATTGAGAAATGCAGAACAATAGGAATAACCTGCAGGTGAGTGCGAAAGAGGGTAGAATTCCAAGGGACAGAGCTAGACCTAAAGTATGGAAGTTACAGGGAGGCAAGCTGTGGTGCGACATTAGGGAAAATAGCACTAACTAGACTGACGATGTTATACAGCTGAAATTTATTAAGCACTTATCAAGCAACTTAAATGTAGCAGCTTATTGGCTGGGTGCGGTGACTCACGCCTGTTATCCCAGCACTTTGGGAGGCTGAGGCGGCTGGATCACCTGAGGTCAGGAGTTTGAGACCAGCCTGGCCAACATGGTGAATCCCAGTCTCTACTAAAAATACAAAAGTTAGCCAGGCATGGTGGTGCACACCTGTAGTGCTAGCTACTCAGGAGGCTGAGGCAGGAGAATCACAAGAACCCAGGAGGCGGAGGTTGCAGTGAGCCAAGATGCCGTTGCACTCCAGCCTGGGTGACAGAGTGAGACTGTCTCAAAAAAAAAAAAAAAAGTAGCAGCTTATTTAATTCTCATACTCACAGTAGGAAGTAGCATGCAAGTAGACCATCAGAGGTGTAAGGAAGTAGATACTGCTATTATTACCCTTTTTGTTTTTGTTTTTTTAGAGACAGGGTCTTGCTCTGTTGCCCAGGCTGGAGTGCAATGGTGTGATCACAGCTCACTGCAGCCTCAAACTCCTGAGACTATCAGAGATGTGAGGAATTAGGTATTGCTATTATTACCTTTTTCTATTTTTTTTTGAGATGGAGTTTTGCTCTTGTTGCCCAAGCTGGAGTGCATTGGCACCATCTCAGCTTACAGCAACCTCCACCTCCCAGGTTCAAGCAATTCTCCTGCCTCAGCCTCCCAAGTAGCTGGTATTTACAGGCGTCTGCCACCTTGCCCAGCTAATTTTTATATTTTTAATAGAGACAGGGTTTCACCATGTTGGCCAGGCTGGTCTCGAACTCCTGACCTCAAGCGATCCGCTCACCTCAGCCTCCCAAAGTGGTGGGATTACAGGCGTGAGCCACCACACCTGGCCTGCCTCTTTTGGTTTTGTTTTTTCAGAGATAGGGTCTTGTTCTGTTGCCCAGGCTGGAGTGCAGTGGTGCGATCATGGCTCACTGCAGCCTCGAACTCCCAGGTTCAAGTGATCCTCCTGCCTTAGCTTTCAGAGTAGCTAGAACTATAGGCATACACCACCATG
This sequence comes from Homo sapiens, assembly GCF_000001405.40. Classification (NCBI taxonomy): domain Eukaryota; kingdom Metazoa; phylum Chordata; class Mammalia; order Primates; family Hominidae; genus Homo; species Homo sapiens. Next base: position 150,432,644 of record NC_000005.10, on the reverse strand, counting down.
CCTGGCTAATCAAAAAAAAATTTTTTTTGAGATGGAGTCTGGAGTGCAGTGGCGCAATCTTGGCTCACTGCAAGCTCCGCCTCCCAGGTTCACGCCATTCTCCTGCCTCAGGCTCCTGGGATTACAGGCGCCCGCCACCACGCCCGGCTAATTTTTTTGTATTTTTAGTAGAGACGGGGTTTCACCGTGGTCTCGATCTCCTGACCTTGTGATCTGCCCGCCTCGGCCTCCCAAAGTGCTGGGATTACAGGCGTGAGCCACTGCACCTGGCCTAATTTTTTTGTTTTTAAGAGATGGGCGTCACCCTATGTTGTCCAGGCTAGTCTTGAACTCCTGGGCTCAAGGCAATCCTCCTTCCTTGACCTCCCAAATTGTTGGGATTAGAGGGATGGACCACTGTGCCAGGCTGTTATTACCATTTTACAGGTGAGGAAACTGAAGCACAGGATGCTAGTAGGCAGCAGAACTGAGATTCAGCCAAAGCAACTTAAGAGCATAGACTCTAAGCTGTCATGCAAAGCCTACTGCCTAGAATGGGTTACTCATGGAGATAGTGAGCTTTCTGTCTCTGGCGGCATGTAAGTAGACCGTCAGGCATGTGAGGAAACGCTCAAAAAGCATCATTCCTGGGTAGGAAGGAAGCCTGGAGGACTGATATTAAGTTTGTCTCGAAAGTACTAGAGGTAGGAATTGCCCATAAGAAACAATGATTGGGAAGGAATCCCATCTGCCTGCCTAATCCATCCCCTTGGGAACAGAGATTGCAGGTGACCTGATCCTAAGACTGCTCGAAGTAAGAAGCCTGCGGGAAGCAGTATGACATGGGGATTGAGAGGAAGTGCTCTGGAGACAGCTCAGACCTGGCTTCAAATCGTGGCTTTGCCACTTACTAGCACTCAGCTGGTGCTTATGCAGCTCATTTAATCCCCTGAAACTCACAGGGCTTGTTGTGACAATAAAATGAGAAGCCAAGTGGGAATAATTTACACTCAATCAAAGAGGTGAGGCTCAGGAGCCAGGGCCTTTGTGGGATTTGGAAGTTTCACTTTCCCTTCAAACCCAGCGGATGGGAACTGTGGTGGCAGCATTAATCAGAGAGCCTGGGCTGTGCAGGACCACTCACTGATTGACTGATTGACACAGGGTTTCCCTATGTTACCTAGGCTGGTCTCGAACTCCTGGGCTCCAGTGATTCTCCTGCCTCGGCCTCCCATAGTGCTGGCATTACAAGCATGAGCCACCGTACCCGGCCTGGACCCCTCCTTTGCTGCCTCCCCTCGTCAGCATCATTGGCTCTCCCTCCCCACGGAGTCACTCCCTCTGCGGACAAGCATGCTCGCACCCGGGGCTGCATCTTGTCCAGCCACTGCCTCACCTCCTGCCGCTGCTCCCAGTGCTGCTCCACCCATCCTCAAGCAGTTCACAAGCCTGCTCTTGTCAGCTTCGCCGGCGACCTCACGTGCCCAAGTCCACCGGGCTTTCCTCTGCGCTTGTCTGACTGGTCCTCTCAGCGGTATCCGACACAGCTGACCACACCGTCCTTCAAGTCTTTCCTGGGACTATGGTGGCCCCTCTCCCAGGTTTCCTTCCACCTCCCTGCCCCTCCTCCTCACTGATCAGAGCTGCTCCTCCATCCACACTCTTTTTTTTTTTTTTTTTTTTTTTGAGACGGAGTCTGGCTCTGTTGCCCAGGCTGGAGTGCAGTGGTGCGATCTCGGCTCACTGTAAGCTCCGCCTCCCGGGTTCACGCCATTCTCCTGCCTCAGCCTCCCGACTAGCTGGGACTACAGGCTCGTGCCGCCATGCCTGGCTAATTTTTTGTATTTTTTAGTAAAGACGGGGTTTCACCATGTTAGCCAGGATGGTCTCCATCTCCTGACCTCGTGATCCACCCGCCACGGCCTCCCAAAGTGCTGGGATTACAGGCGTGAGCCACCACGCCCGGCCCCACACTCTTAAGTATGGGGGCACGTTGATAACCCACAAAGGTACATGTTCGTTTCTCTCTTTAGGAAGTTTCAGTGTGCATCCTCAGCCACCTACTTGGTGGCTACAGATGAGTGCCACAGCAGAAGACAGCCAGAACAAAACTGGTTTCTACCTACTCCAGAAGGTGTTCTCCATCTCCCCATCTCAGTGGAGGCCAGCACCATGCCTTGCGCAGCCCCAAGCCTGGGCACTACCTTCACCTCCTTCTCCCTTCCTCCCACGGCAAATCCTGACACTTCTGCCTTCAAGACAGCTATGGAATCTGCCCCCTTCTTCTTCTCCACCACCACTCAAAGTCACCACCATCTCTAAACTACTTTGGCCCGTCACTGGTCTCCTGGTCCCATTCCTGCCCCCCAGCCACCCTCCCTGCTTTTTTTTTTTGAGAGGGAGTCTTGCTCTTGTCACCCAGCCTGGAGTGCAATGGCGTGGTCTCTGCTCACCGCAACCTCCGCCTCATGGGTTCAAGCAATTCTCCTGCGTCAGCCTCCCAAGTAGCTGGGATTACAGATGTGCACCACCATGCCGGGCTAATTTTTGTATTTTTAGTAGAGATGGGGTTTCACCATGTTGGCCAGGCTGGTCTCGAACTCCCGACCTCATGATCTGCCCTCCTCCGCCTCCCAAAGTGCTGGGATTACAGGCGTGAGCCACCATGCCTGGCCTCCGGCCCCCTTAAATCTGTGTGCTACGCATAATTTTCAAAGACAAACCAGACCCAGAACCTCCTGCCTGGCCCTCTGAGGGCTTCCCATTGTTCTTGGAATAATTCCCCAAGAGACTACCAGGCTACATGACCTGGTCCCAGCCTGTCTCTTCATCTGAAACGCCTCTCCCCGCTCATCAGATGCACTGCACTCTTTCTGTTCCTCAAATGAACTAATGCCTTCCTGCTTTTATGAATGACATCATCTTCTTTGCCACCTAAACGTAAAAGCTCAGTGGCACCTTGGTCCCACCCCTACCATACACAGTCTGGCCCGTGGTGTGTGGCCTTCTCCTGACCTCCACAGCCCCCAGCAGGCCTTGCCTCTCCAGCTTGACTTTCCACAGCCTCTTGACTGGGCTGCCTGACTCCAGCTGTGACCTGACCCCAGCCCCAGATGGACTCTTGACCCTAAGTCCAACACCAGCCTTCAGTAGTGTGGCCTCTAACACTTGACTCCTGCACAGACCGACTGAGCCCCACCAGAGACCAACTCCTCCAGAGATCAACCCCACCAGAGACCAACCCCACCAGAGACCAGCCCCACCAGAGACCAAACCCCACCAGAGACCAACCCCACCAGAGACAGACCAACCCCACCAGAGACCAGCCCTACCAGAGACCAACCCCACCAGAGCCCAACCCCACCAGAGACCAACCCCACTAGAGACCAACCCCACCAGAGACCAAACCCCACCAAAGACAGACCAACCGCACTAGAGACAGACCAACCGCACCAGAGACCAGCGCCAGCAGAGCCCAACCCCACCAGAGCCCAACCCCACCAGAGACCAGCCCCGAGACAGACCAACCCCACCAGAGACCAAACCCCACCAGAGACCAACCCCACCAGAGACAGACCAACCCCACCAGAGACAGACCAACCCCACCAGAGACCAACCACACCAGAGACCAGCCCCACCAGAGACCAAACCCCACCAGACGAGACCAACCCCACCAGAGACAGACCAAACCCACCAGAGACAGACCAACCCCACCAGAGACCAGCCCCACCAGAAACCAGCCCCACCAGAGACCAGGACTTAGCCCTTGCCAGGTGTCTCCCAATATCTCTAGGTCCCAGCTTCTAGTCCAGATCAGTGCCTGGCCCATAACCGGCACTTAACAAATATTTGTGGAGTGAATGGATTTTCAAGGGAGGACTCAGTCCCCGTCAGCCGCACTACAGCCATCACAGGTCCAAAGGCTGCACTACTTAGCCACCTGCCAGATGGTATTTGCCCTGGGAGAAGAGTGGGAAGTCCCCGATCTTGAATTGGTTGTAGAACATATGACCCTGGGCAAATTATAACCCTCTCCTGAGCTCCACTGACCCTTCAATAAGACGGTTGTGAGCAGAGCCACTCAGCTCTCTCTCCTGGAAGCCCTGTAACCACAGTCAGGGCCTTTTGTTTCTAAGCATTTCCTTGTCCAGTGTCCCCCCGTGACCTTCACAGCAGCCCATGAGGCACGGGGATGATCTGCCCATCTTGTACAGATCCCCCACGCAGCAGCCCTAGCCACCCTTTCACAGCAAGAGTCAGGAGGCGACTCCTCTGCTCAGAGCCTTCCCACGGCTCCCGGCTTCACTCGGCATAAAGCCAAAGTCCAGTGGGTGGCTGCAGGATCTGGCTGCACACCTCGTGACCTCCCGTCTGTCCCTCCCTCTCCCTTTTCCTCTCAGTCGCTCCACCCCAGCAATGCTGGCCTCCTTGTGGTTCGTCAACCAGGCCGGACACATTCCCACCATGGGACCTCTGCTCTGGCTGTGATTTCTGCCCGGTTGTGGGCTTGGTGAACTTCCTCCCCTCCTTCAGGCCTATGCTCAAATCTCACCTTGTCAATGAGGCCCATCCCAACACCCTATCAAAGACTACAACCTGCCCCCAACCCTGCATCTCCAGAAACAACTTTCCTTTCCTCCATAGCACTTACCACTCTCTAACAAAAGTATAATTTACTGACCTGTCTCCTGCCCCTGGAATGTAAACTCCATACGGATGGGGATACTTGTCTGCCTTGTTCATCCATGTATCCCAAGCTCCTAGAACAGTGCCTGGCATAAAGTATTCAATAAATAACTGCTGAACAAGTGAGAGAAGGGATGATGTATACTTGCCTGGGGCACATATGGAAGGTATAGGACTAGAGCCCAGGCCTGCTCCCTCCACACAAACAGCCCCCTTTCCAGCCCCTTATTCGTGGCCAAGGTGTACTGGGGTCCAAGAGGCCCCACACAAGATGGGTGGGCTGGGCCATGTGGGCTGGTGGGCAGGGCTGGGTGCACACTGCCTGCCTGCTTCTTGAGGCAGCTCATCAGGGACTCAGGGACCAAGAAGGAGAATGGGGAAGGGGAGGTCTCAGGAGACTCCACCTGCCCGGCTCACCCAGGGTGAACTGGTAGGAACTCACACCTCTGGGGCCTGGAGTGTCCAGACCAAAAGAGGGCAGGCATCTTAGAGAGTCACTCAGACTAGCTCAGGGGTGACACCAGGGATGAGACTCCCGAGATGAGACCCCCAGGAAAGTCCAGAGAGGGAGGATGAGGCTCCCTCTGGCTCTGTTGAGCAGCTCCAAATCTCTGAACATGCACAGGGTCCCAGATTCAGAATGAACAGGTTTATGGAAAAGAACATATTGCTGAACTCTCTGACATGTATTGCACGCTGTCTCTATGCCAGCCATGTGTGTATTACTTCACTCAATCCTTTCGCAACCCAATGAGATGGGTTCTATTAGCATGCCCATTTTACAGGTGAGGAAACTGAGGCACAAAGGATTTAAGTAACTTGCTAAAAATCATACATCTGGTAAGTGGTTTGACTTAGAATTTTTTTCCTATGAAAATAGAAAACTGGCAGAGTCTCATGTCTGTAATCCCAGCACTTTGGGAGGCTGAGGTGGGCGGATCACTTGAGGTCAAGAGTTCAAGACCAGCCTGGCCAACATGGTGAAACTCCATCTCTATGGAAAAAAAAAAATTATCCAGGCATGGTGGTGGGCACCTATAATCCCAGATACTTGGGAGGCTGAGGCAATAGAATCACTTGAACCCGGGAGGCGGAGGTTGCAGTGAGCCAAGATCACGCCACTGCACTCCAGCCTGGGTGACAGAGCAAGACTCCATAAAACAAAACAAAAACAAAACAAAACAAAACAAAAAAACACAAAACTGAAAAACAAAATAGAAAACTTCTCATAAAGTACTGAGACATTTTGATGAGGATTAAAACACACATTATGGGCCAGGCATGGGGGACCATAATGTAATCCCAGCATGTTGGGAGGCTGAGATGGGCAGATCACCTGAGGTCAGGAGTTCAAGACCAGCCTGACCAACATGGAGAAACCCATCTCTACTAAAAATACAAAATTAGCTGGGCGGGGGCGGCGCATGCCTGTAATCCCAGCTACAGGCTGGGAGGCTGAGGCAGGAGAATCGCTTGAACCCAGGAGGCAGAGGTTGCGGCGAGCCGAGATCGCGCCATTGCACTCCAGCCTGGGCAACAAGAGCGAAACTCTCTCTCAAAAAAAAAAAACCACACACACATTATGTGCCTATGCTGTAAAAGAGCCCATTGTCCCCCAGTTGTCAATATAACCACAATGGGAATGAACAATGTCTTCTTGGCAGTGAGGACAATTCCTGTACAAAGGAAACTGAGTTTGTACATAATTGACTTAAAATTTTTTCTAACCATTTATTAAGAAAAAATTTAACATACAGAAAAATTGATCAGATACCCACCACTTAGCTTCAACTACTATCAATTTCACTTCTCTCTCTGTGTTTTATTTTATTATTTTGTTTTATTTTTTTTTTTGGAGACAGGGTCTTCTCCTGTCACCAAGGCTGAATGAAATGCAGTGGCACAACACAGCTCACTGCAGCCTCAATCTCCTGGGCTAAGTGATCCTCCCACCTCAGCCTCCCAAGTAGCTGGGACCACAGGTACATGCCACCATGCCCGGTGAATTTTTTATTTTCATTTTTTCTTTTTTCTTTCTTTTTTTTTTTTTTTTTTTAACATTTTTTGTAGAGATGGGGTCTTTCCATGTTGCCCAGGCTTGTCTTGAACTCCTAGGCTCAAGGGATCCTCCCATCTTAGCCTTCCAAAGGGTTGTAACTACAGATGTGAGCCACTGTGTCTGACCTCTTACTTTTAATTTTATTTATTATTATTTTTTGAGACACGGTCTCACTTTGTCACCCAGGCTGGAGTGCAGTGGCATGATCTTGGCTCACTGCAGCCTTGACTTCCTGGGATCAAGCAATTCTTCTGCCTCAGTTCCCCAAGGAGCTGGGACTACAGGCACGTGCTACCACATCTGGCTTATTTTTTGTAGAGATGATGTTTCACCATGTGGCGCAGGCTGGTCTCAAGCTCCTGAGCTCAAGTGATCTGCCTGCCTTGATCTCCCAAAGTGCTAGAATTACAGCATGAACCACCATGCCTAGGTCTTTATTTTTAGTTTTTTGAAACAGGGTCTCTGTTACCCAGGCTGGAGTGCAGTAGTGTGATCACGGCTCACTGCAGCCTCCATCTCCTGGGCTCAAGCCATCCTCCCATCTCAGCCTCTTGAGTAGCTGGGACTACAGTTGTTTGCCACCAGGCCTAGATAATAAAAAAAAAATTTTGTGGAGATGGAGTCTCACTATGTTGCCCAGGCTGGTCTTGAACTCCTAGGCTCAAGCAATCCTTCTGCCTTGGGCTCCCCATGTGCTGGGATTACAAATGTGAGCCACTGCATCTGGCCTTTATTTCTATTTTTGAGAGAGAGTTTTGCTCTGTCACCCAGGCTGGAGTGCCATGGCATGAACACAGCTCACTGCAACCTCGAACTCCTGGGCTCCAGCGATCCTCCTGCCTCAGCCTCCTGAGTAGCTAGGACTACAGGCACGCACTACTATGCCTGGCTAATTAAAAAAAAAAATTTAAGAGGCAAGGTCTCTCTATATTGCCTAGACTAGTCTTAAACTCCTGGCCTCAAGCTGCCTTCCCAAGCAATCCTCCCACCTCAGCTTCCGAAAGTGTTGAAATTACAGGTATGAGCCACCACACCCGGCCACTCTCTCTCTCTTCTCTAAACAATGTGAAAATAAGTTCAAACATCATGTCATGTTACCTCCAAGTACTTCAGCCTCATCTCCTAAAAAAATTCTCCTACCAGACTAAAACTTCATTATCATACCTAAGAAGATCAATAACAATTTCCAAATGTCCATCTGATATTCAAATTTCCCTGCTTTTAAAAAAATCTTTACGGCCGGGCGCGGCGGCTCAAGCCTGTAGTCCCAGCACTTTGGGAGGCCGAGGCGGGCGGATCATGAGGTCAGGAGATCGAGACCATCCTGGCTAACACGGTGAAACCCTGTGTCTACTAAAAATACAAAAATTAGCCGGGCGTAGTGGCGGGCGCCTGTAGTCCCAGCTGCTCGGGAGGCTGAGGCAGGAGAATGGCGTGAACCTGGGAGGCGGAGCTTGCAGTGAGCTGAGATTGCGCCACTGCACTCCAGCCTGGGCGACAGAGCCAGACTCCGTCTCAAAAAAAAAAAAAAAATCTTTTATACTTGTTTTTTTCAAATCGTACATCTTACAAAGATTTACAAATTGCATTTGGTTTATTGTTTTTTAAATCCTTTAAAATACAGATCCCCATGTATCTACACACATACACCTTTTTTTGTGACATTGATTCTTTGGAGAATGCAGGTGTTATCTTTTTTTTTTGGAGACGGAGTCTCGCTCTGTCACCGAGGCTGGAGTGCAGTGGCGCGATCTCGGCTCACTGCAACCTCACCTCTCGGGTTCAAGCAACTCTCCTGCCTCAGTCTCCTGAGTAGCTGGGACTACAGGTGCACACTGCCATGCCCGGCTAATTTTTTGTATTTTAGTAGGGACGGGGTTTCACTGTGTTGCCCAGGCTGGTCTCGAACTCCTGAGCTCAGGCAATCCGCCCACCTCGGCCTCCCAAAGTGCTAGGATTACAGGCGTGAGCCGCCGTGCCTGGCAGCAGGTGTTATCTTATAGGCTGTCCCTGGATATATCTGATTGTTTCTTCATGGTGTTATTTAACTTGTTCTTCTACCCCCTGTATTGACTCTAAACTGGAGTTTAGGTCCAAAGCCAGATTCAGGCTGGGCGTTGTGGCTCACGTCGGCAATCCCAGAACTTTGGGAGGTCAAGGTGGTAGGATCATGAGGTCAACAGTTTGAGACCAGCCCGGGCAACATGGCGAGACCCTGTCTCTATTAAAAATACCCACCACCCCCCCAAAAAAAAAGCCAGGTGTGGCTCTGCATGCCTGTGCTCCCAGCTACTTGGGAGGCTGAGGTGGGAGGATTGCTTGAGCCAGGGAGGCAAGGAGGTTGCAGTAAGCCAAGATTACCCCACTGCACTTCAGCCTGGGTGACAGAGTGAGACTCTGTCTCAGAAAAAAAAAAAAAAGGCAGATTCAGGTTAACAATCTTTAGTAAAGATACTGCCCAGCTCATGCTGAGTATTATTATTATTATATCCCATCCAGAGACACATGTCAGATTGTTCCACTATTGATGATGCTAAATTTGATCACTTGTCTGAGGTGGTGACAGCAAGACTGCACCATTTTTTACTACTGTAAAACACCTCTCCCCTTTGGCAACCAGCAAGAGGCTTCAGGTGGACTCTTTGGCATGTGACTGTTCTGTCCTCCCCCAGCCTTTCATCCCAGGGTTCTGACTCCCTGGATAATCCTGTCAATTATTATACGATCAATTATTGATCAATTATTTTACGAAGGGTTACAACAAGATGATTTTCTATTTCTGTCTTTTCTTCTGCAGAAATGCAAGAAGCTTGCACTCTTCTGTAAAGAAGAGTTTTTTTCTCATCAACTGGGATTGAACTACAGCTCCTTCTAAAGAGGCAGGACAAATTATTATTACTATTATTATTATTATTTTGAGATAGGGTCTCTTGCTCGGTTGCCTAGTCTGGAGTGTGATGATGCAATCACAGCTCACTGCAGCCTCAACCTCCTGGGCTCAAGCCATCCTCCCACCTTAACCTCCCAAGTAGCTGGCACTACATGTGTACACCACCACGCTTTTGCTAATTTTTAAATTTTTTGTAGAGACAGGGTTCTTATGTTGCCCAGGCTGGTCTTGAACTCCTGGGCTCAAGCAATCCTCTCGCCTCAGCCTCCTGAAGTGCTGGAATTACAGGTATGAACCACCAGGCCTGGCCAAATTATTCTTATTGAGGCTGGCATTGTTCCGTATCTGGCTGGCGGTGCCCCTTCAAGTTGGCTCCTGGGTCCTTCTTTCAAGCCCCAGGAGTCTTTGAGAACTTCTTGGCTTTCTGGAAAGAAAAAAACAGAGATGTCTCAGCATCACCTGCATTCCCCCATCTCCAGCCCTGAAACCAGCCATTTGGAAGCTGGGATGTGGCCCCAGGCAGTCTGCCTCAAGTTCTTTTGTTTTTCACACTCATGCAAACTGCAGAACAGTTCCAGTTCTGGGGACCTTGCTGTGTGACCTTGGGCCAGTTCCTTTCCCCTCTCTAAGTCATACTTTCTCTGTATGAAACTCTGTGGAGCTGGGTTCCACCTTACTCCATCTCCCCATCAGGGTGTGGCATCCAAGCTCCACTGCTTCCTGTTACTCTGTCTCCCTCCTCCTGTGGTCAGGGGTAGGTGGGACAAGGCTCCTTCCCTGGGCGGTGGAGCCTGTGTGACAAGTGAGAAACTGGGACTTCTTACCCTGTAAGGAAAGATGCAGGGAGCCATTGTCCACGCCCTCTGGGAAACTCAGTCTTGGGACCCTCCCTCTTGGCTGGCATCAGTCTCTAACCTCCAAGGGCACGGGCAGGATGACCGTGGGATTTCCCTCAGCTGTGTCCTGAAACTGCTGCACAGAGAAAAGAGTTCGGACTGCCATTCTATCACCATTGGTTTAGAATCTAGTGACTGTGATGCATTATTCCCTTTATTTTAAATTTAGGCTGGGCGCGGTGGCTCACGCCTATAATCGCAGCACTTTGAGAGGCCGAGGTGGGCAGGTCATTTGAGGTCAGGAGTTGGAGACCAGCCTGACCAACATCGTGAAACCCCGTCTCTATGAAAATACAAAAATTAGCCGGGCATGGTGGTAGGCACCTGTAATCCCACCTACTCAGGAGGCTGAGGCAAGAGAATCGCTTGAACTCAGGAGGCAGAGGTTGCAGGGAGCTGAGATCACGCCACTGCACTCCAGCCTGGTGACACAGTGAGACTCCGTCACACACACACACACACACACACACACACACACACACCCCAAAACAAAAAAAACTATAAATTTAGTTTTACCTTGTATTGAAGTTGTAAATTCACATAGTCTAAAGAATCAGGCCGGGTGCAGTAGCTCACGCCTGTAATCCCAGCACATTGGGAGGCTGAGGCGGGCAGATCACCTGAGGTCAGGAGTTCAAGACCAGCCTGGTCAACATGGTGAAACCCTGTCTCTATTATAAACACAAAAAAATTAGCCTGGCATGGTAGCACGAGCCTGTAGTCCCAGCTACTAAGGAGGCTGAGGCAGGAGAATCACTTCAACCCAGGAGGCAGAGGCTGCAGTGAGCCGAGATCGCTCCACTGCACTCCAGCCTGCGCTATAGAGTGAGACTCCGCCTCAAACAAGCAAACAAGAATCAAATAGTTCTACAAGATTTGCTGTAAAATGAGTAGCAGATCTTCACCATCCTCTTTACATCAGTTTCAAACTTAAAAAAAATTTTTTTTTCCATCTCCGTCCCCAAACCGCCTACCCAATTTAAAACTTTTTCAGCTGGGCATGGTTGCTCACGCCTGTAATCCCAGCACTTTGGGAGGCCAAGGCAGGTGGATCATCTGAAGTCAGGAGTTTGAGACCAGCCTGGCCAACATTGTGAAACCCCATCTCTACTAAAAAAAAAAATACAAAACTTCGCCAGTGGTGGTGGTGGGTGCCTGTAATCCCAGCTACTTGGGAGGCTGAGGCAGGAGAATCACCTGAACATGGGAGGCAGAGGTTGCAGTGAGCTGAGATTGCGCCACTGTATTCCAGCCTTGGGTACAGAGCAAGACTCCATCTCAAAAAAAGAAAGAAAGAGAGAGAGAAAAAAAGAAAGAACTCTAAAGTCATTCTGATTCCTAATCTTCTGATTCCTAATCCTTTGTATCTGTCTTGATTTTTCCTTTCTGGAAATTTGCAGAATCTTCTCTTTGTTCTTATTTTGCTGAAACTTCACAACAGCATCCCTTGCTGTGAAATTGCTTTCACACCTTGTCCTCAGTGCTCACTGGGCCTCTTCAGTTTGGAAATTTATGTCCTTGAGTTCTGGAAAATGTATTGACTTATTTCACTGATGATTTCTTCCCCTCTATATTTTCTGTTCTCTATTTCTGGAACTTGGTATTTGGCTGTTGGGCCTCCTGGACTGGTGTTTAATTCTCTTATCTTTTCTGTCTGATTTTTAAATTTATCTTTGTGGTCCACACTTTGGGAGATTTTAAAAAAACACTTTATCTTCCATCTATTGACTGTTTAATATCTGCCCTCATATTTTAAATCTTCAAGAGCTATGCTTTGTTCTTCTATACTACTTATACTTTTATAGCATCCTATTCTTGTTTCATGGGTGCAGTATCCTCCTTTTTCTCCCTAGGGCTATTAATGACAGTTCATTTCCTCCATAGTGCTTTTTTTTTTTTTTCTGTGTGGTTGTTTTGTTCACTCTCTTTTATGTTAAAGGCTTTCTTTAGATGTCCCAGGATTCTGGATTATCTAAAAAACCTGATTGTCTAAGACAGCTGTGACCCATGAGTAGGACTTATCCACCAAGGGCTTCCTATAGGGTATTCTGGTTGAGTTGTTTCATCAGGAAATTCCCAGTGTCAGAGTCCTGAGGCCTTTTTTTCCTGGGATGGTCATGCTCCACAGAGAAGCTTCCTCCAGGCTGTGGCTTGGGTGAAGGCCTGGCTTTCACACTGTGGGTAGGGGAGAACACTGGGCCTCTCAGCTTCAGTACCAGGCTCACGTTCTTTATTTGTCTGGGAAAGACACTTGCAATTGTCCCTCAAGGAGGGGGACGGGTGGCCCTCGGGGAGGGAGAGGGCGTGGGTATCTCACTGCCTCAGAAACAGACTTCCAAACTACCTTCCTCTTTTTAGTCCCACCTCTACTCACCACCCAGGTACCCGACACACCAGTTCCTGAGTCTGTTCTGCCACCTAACTACGTGGCTTCTCAGCTTTTCTAGCCGCAGGTTTAGGATGCAGTTTTTTTGGGGTCTACTAAGGGACTTAACACTTGCTCACCTGCTTTCCTGCTTCTCAAATTCTATTGTTTTCTCATCTCCTGTTCTCTTTGTTCTTGTAGATTTACACTTAAAACAACCTATGGTCATTTTAGTGACAAAAGCAAAGTGAGAGAGGAAGCAAAAGTAAATGTGTGCTCTATCCATCATTACAATCTTCAAAAAATAAGACCTAATTCATGTACCATAACATTCACCCTTTAAAAACTGTATAAAATTCAATGGTTTTTTGTACATCCACAAAGTTGTGCAACCATCATATCTATTCTAGAATATTTTCATTACCCAAAAGGGAGCCCCATACCTGTTAGCAACCACTCCCCCTCCTTTCTTCCCCACAGCCCCCCAGCAACCCCTAATCTATATTTTGTCTCTGTGGATTTGCCTATTTTGGGCACTTCTCATAAATGGAATCATACAATGTATGGCCTTTTGTGTCTGGCTTTTTTCACTTAGCATAATGTTTTCAAGGGTCATCTATGTCGTGGTATGAATCAGTACTTCATTATTTTTTAAAGTAACAGTTTTATTGAGTATTCATTCCTCTTTATGACAGAGTACTATTTCATTGTATGGATACACCACATTTTGTTTACCTATTCATCAGTTGAATATTTGGGTTGTTTCTACTTTTTTGATATTATGAATAATGGCCCTATGAACATTCATTTGTGGGCAAATTTTTGTGTGGATATAGGATACCATTTGTCTTGACTACACAGAAAATAGCTTAATAAATATTTGAGCTGGGCACAGTGGCTCACGCCTGTAATCCCAGCACTTTGGGAGGCCAAGGCGGGTGGATCACTTGAGGTCAGGAGTTCGAGACCAGCCTGGCCAATGTGGTGAAACCCCATCTCTACTAAAAATACAAAAAAATTAGCCAGGCATGGTGGCGCACAGCTGTAGTCCCAGCTACTCAGGAGGCTTAAGCATGAGAATCGCTCGAACCTGGGAGGTGGAGGCTGCAGTGAGCCGAGATCACATCACTGCACTCCAGCCTGGGTGACAGAGCAAGACTCTGTCTTAATTAAATAAATAAATAAATAAATATTTGAACAGTACAGTTTCACTTTTTTTTTTTTTGGTGGGGGTAATATCCATCATCTCAAACTTTTATCATTTCTTTGTGTTGGGAACATTCAATATCCTTTTTCCAGCTGTTATTGAACCTAGCGAGGTTCTGCTCACATGGCATCATAAGGCCAAATATTTATATCGAGGTTTGTAGTGGAATAAAAGAGGGTATTTATTTGTAGACGACCAAGTAAAAGAATTGGGCATCTCATGCTTAAGAGCTGACCTTGGTTGGGTGCAACAGCTCATGCCTATAATCCCAGCACACTGTGGGGCCAAGGCAGGAGGATCACTTGAGTCCAGGAGTTTGAGACCAGCCTGGGCAATATAGTGAGACACATGGTCTCTACAGAAAAATTAGCTGAGTGTGGTGGTGTGTACCTGTATCCCCAGCTACTCGGAGGCTGAGGTGGGAGGATCCCTTGAGCCTGGGAAGTTCAGGCTGCAGTGAGCCATGATTGCATCACTGCACTTCTTCAAGGGGGACAGAGTGAGACCCTGTCTCAAAAAACAAAACGAAACAAAGAAACCCATCTCCAATGAGTGGCTTATAAGCAAGGATTTTTTTTTTTTTTTTTTTTTTTTTGAGACAGAGTCTCGCTCTGTCACCCAGGCTGGAGTGCAGTGGCGTGATCTTGGCTCACTGCAAGCTCCGCCTCCCGGGTTCACGCCATTCTCCTGCCTCAGCCTCCAGAGTATCTGGGACTACAGGCGCCTACCACCACGCCCGGTTAATTTTTTGTATTTTTTTAGTAGAGATGGGGTTTTGCCGTGTTAGCCAGGATGGTCTCGATCTCCTGACCTCGTGATCCGCCCGCCTCGGCCTCCCAAAGTGCTGGGATTACAGGCGTGAGCCACTGCCCCCAGCCATAAGCTAGGATTTTAAAGGCAGGGGTAAATCTGAGGAAAGCAGAAGTTATAGGCAAAATTCTAAATCAATACATGAAGGTTATATATTGGTTTGACCTAAAAAGGTGGGACATCTTGAAGTGGGGGTCCACAGGTCATGGGTGGATTTAAAGATTTTCTCATTTGTCATTGGTTAAGGACACGAACGTTTGTCTAAAAATCTGGGGTCAGAAAAAAGGAATGTTAGCTCTGGCCTGTGGGCATGACCTCCTCCAGGCCCCTCAGAAAGAAATTTATTTATTTTTAATGTTTAAAATGTATTATTTATTGAGACAGGGGCTCGCTCTGTCACCCAGACTGGAGTTTAGTGGGACAATCAGTGCTCACTGTAGCCTCAAACTCCTGGGCTCAAGTGATCCTTCTGCCTCAGCCTCCCATCTAGCTGGGACTACAGATATGTGCTGCCACACCTGGCTAATTAAATTTTGTTTTGTTTTGTTTTGTTTTTGTAGAAATGGGGGGGTCTTGCTTTGTTGCCCAGGCTGGTCTTGAACTTCTGGCCTCAAGCAGTCCTTCCACCTTGGCGTCCCAAAGTGCTGAGATTACAGGTGTGAAAGGAAGAAATTTAGAGCAAAGATTGGTGGTTAGAGTTTAGTCCTCTGCTCCCCCTTGTCTGAGATCTATGAGCCAGTGGATCTGTTTGGTGGGGGTCTGGGTTTATGAAAAGCAATGCAGGGACATAAGTTAAGATGTTATCTTTAGTTTTTATAGGGAGCCAAATACCCCATGATTCTAACTTTTTTGGCTATTGTCTTAAGTTATTACTATATTTTTGTTTATCAGCTTGCTCATTTACTTCTCAAGGCTAGCTAGGTGCCTGAAATACTTTTGAAGAAACGTAAGTTTCTTTTTCTTTTCTTTTCTTTTTTCTCTTTAGAGATGGTCTTACTCTGTCACCCAAGCTGCAGTACAGTGGCATCATCACAGCTCACTGCAGCCTGGACACTCAAGCCTCCGGGGATCCTCCTGCCTCAGCCTCCTGAGTAGCTGGGACTACAGGCACGTGCCACCACGCCTGGCTAATTTTAGAAAAATTTTTGTGGAGACGGGGGTCTCACTGTGTTGCCCAGGCTGGTCTCGAACTCCTGGCCTCAAGCGATCCTCCCACCTTGGACCTGCTAAAGTGTTGGAATTACAGGTGTGAGCCACCATTTCTGGCCTAGATTTTTCTCTCTTTTTATGTTGGTGGGGTGCTCAGCTGGCCCCTAAGAAGGGTCCCTGCTCTGTCTCACAGCTATTTGAAACTGTATGTTATTGTTAACTATAGTCATCCCACAGGGGTATAGAAAATGAGAACTTAGTCCTATCTAGGTGCAATTTTGTATCCTTTTGCATCCCCGTCCCTCCCTTCCCCCTACCCTTCCCAGCCTCTAGTATCCTCTGTTCTACTTTTCACTTCTATGAGTTGAACTTTTTTTAGCTTCCACATATGAGTTAGAACATTCTGTGTTTAACTTTCTGTTCCTGGCTTATTTCACTTACAAAATGTCTCCAGTTCCATCCAGTTTCATATCTTCAGCATCTTCTATGGTGCGAGGCTCTGGCTAAATGCTTATTTAGTCTAACAGCTCTGCAAGGCTAGTATTACCATCCCTGCATTACAAAGCAGAAAGCAAAATCAGAAAGGTTGAGGGGCCAGGCGTGGTGGCTCACGCCTGTAATCCCAGCACTTTGGGAGGCCAAGGCAGGCGGATCACGAGGTCAGGAGATCGAGACCATCCTGGCTAACACAGTGAAACACCATCTCTACTAAAAAAATACAAAAAATTAGCTGGGTGTGGTGGCGGGCACCTGTAGTCCCAGCTACTTGGGAGGCTGAGGCAGGAGAATGGCATGAACCCGGGAGGCGGAGCTTGCAGTGAGCCGAGATCGTGCCACTGCACTCCAGCCTGGGCAACAGAGCAAGACTCTGTCTCAAAAAAAAAAAAAAAAAGTAAAGAAAGGTTGAGGGACTGGTTCAGGGACTCACATGCCTAGGATGTTTCTGACTTGGGATTTGAACTCAGGTCTGGCCACATCAAAGGCCATGTCTGCTCTTCGCTCTCCTCCCAAAATACATGTACTATCTCATTTGACTCTTGAAATCCAAAACTCATTGAACCTTCGAACCACAAGTCTAAATTTATTAAAAAAAATTTATTAATGCAAATTGTAAAGCACACACAATACATAAAGATTAATAAAACAAATATGGTATATAAAAGGAAACTTGTTTTTTTACACTCACAGCACTTCTGACACCAAATGTGTGGATTTTTTCTACACCAACAACAAATGTTCTAACTCTCTGGACACCAACTGGGCATCCTACAATTCAATTCTGTTCAGACACTATCTACCTGGGGTTAGCATCTGAACCCATAGGTTGAGGGCTCAGTCAGACAAGACTCATCCACTTCAGATGCCAATCCTAAGTCCCGGGACTCCAGTACTTCTGATGAGTTGGCTACAAATTGGGAGTTCCCACGACTCCCTCTTCATACTTGACAAATAGCTACAATGGCCCACAGAACTGAGAAGCACTTTACTTACTATTACCAGTTTATTATAAAGGATACAGATGAGCAGCTGATGAAGAGGTCTATAGCGTACGGCATGTGGGAGGGGTCCTGAACACAGCAGCCTCTGTCCCTGTCCTTGTGGAGTTGGGGTGCACCACCCTCCTGGCACATGGATGTGTTCGTCTACTCGAAAGCTCTCCAAACCTAGTTGTTTGGGATTTTTATGCAAGTTCCATTATGTAGACATGGTTGGTTAAATCACTGATTGAACTCAACCTCCAACCCCTCTCTCCTCTCTGGAAGTCGGGGTGGGGCGGGTGGGGGTGAGGTCTGAAAGTCCCGACCCTCTCCTCACATGGCACCCAGCCTCCATCTGAAGCTCTCTAGGGGCTTTCAGCCACCAGCATTTCCTGAATATATAAAAAAAGACATTCTTCTCACTCTGGAGATACTTTTTTTTTTGAGATGGAGTCTCACTCTGTTGCCCAGGCTGAAGTGCAGTGGTGCGATCTCGCACCTCCGCCTCCAGGGTTCAAGCGATTTTCCTGCCTCAGCCTCTCGAGTAGCTGCGATTACAGGCACACGTCAACATGTCCGGCTAATTTTTGTGTTTTTAGTAGCGGGGTTTCACTATGTTGGTCAGGCTTGTCTCAAACTCCTGACCTCATGATACACCCACCTCGACCTCCCAAAGTGCTGGGATTACAAGCGTGAGCCACCGTGCCTGGTCTTTTTTTCTTTTTTTTCTTGTTTTTTTTTTTTTAGACAGAGTCTTGCTCTGTCACCCAGGCTGGAGTGCAGTGGTGCGTTCTTGGCTCACTGCAGCCTCTGCCTCCTGGGTTCAAGCAATTCCCCTGCCTCAGACTCCCAAGTAGCTGGGATTACAAGTGTGTGCCACCATGCCTGGCTAATTTTTAAATTTTTTGTAGAGACAGGGTTTCACCATGTTGGCCAGGCAAGTCTCGAACTCCTGACCTCAACTGATCCTCCCGCCTCAGCCTCCCAAAGTGCTGGAATTACAGGTCTGAGCCACCACACCCAGGCTTACTCTGGAGACTCTTTGGTTCTTAGTGGTCCTTGTGTCAGGAACCAGGGACAGAGACCAGAGACGTTTTTCACTATGTCACAGCACAGGAGCCTTGCCAACACAGTCCCATCCTCCCAGGCACCCTTTCCCAGGCTGTCCTCTTCCCTCCCAGCACAGGCCCCCATTCTCCTGGATCTGAACCACACAAGGAGGCAGAGGGGTGGAGTGGTTAAAAATGCAGGCGCTACTACTTTCTGGAGGTGTGATCCTGGACAAGAGCCCCTGTGTCCCTATCTGTAAATGGAGATGATAAAACACTCCTCAAAGGGCCTCCGTAAAGATCACAGGAAACAAAGCATGGACAACGTGCCTGGCACGAAGGAGAGCTTGGTAAGTGGAGGCAAGTCTGAGTGCCAGAGCCTTAAAACCATGGACTCTTAGGTTTGAAGGAAATCAAAATATTCCTCTCTAAAAACCTGCGGATTTTAGTTAAAGGTAAAAGGTTAAAACCCAGGGGCACCCTCTGCCCCTTCTCTCTGTCTTGATCAGCTCAGAAGCAGAGCTCAGAGGATCCTGGATCAGACTTGACTGTTCCCATACATTCACCTTCCCACATTTCCAGCCCTTTGGAACCCTGAAGATATCCTCTTCTCTGTCCTGTCACTCTATGGGACTTACGGCTCTTTGTTAAAATACTATTTAAGCAAGGCCCCTAAGCCACTGCCTTGAGAGAGAAATACTTCTCAACTGAGGCCTCTACTGCATAATGGGTACAGCATGTGTTAATCAACTTTGGCTGATTTTTCTTTTGTTAAGTTGACTTTTGTTTCCAGGGGAGCGTGTCAACTAAGAACCTAAACAGGGAAAGAAAAGAAATGTTTTCACCCCTGCACGTCGTCCAAACTTCCTCCTGCGTGTTTGAGACGACATAACGGAGGCCAGAGAAGAGGACTTGTCTGAGCTCACCAAGGGTGCACAGCCCCTTTCTGCACCCACTCATCTGTGGATGAGAAGGGGAGACAAACAAAGGTGTCTTCTGTTTCAAAGTGCTTTCCTGTCTAGGGAGTGGACATTTGCCTGTTTCTTGAAACATTCAAAGAGCCTTATGAATCCAAAGGCCTGCCCAGAAACAAGTGATGAGGGCCCTGGGCAGCCAATGGGATCGTGCTGGCCTTTCTACCTGCCTGGGGAGCCCCCCCGCCCCACATCCTGCCCCGCAAAAGGCAGCTTCACCAAAGTGGGGTATTTCCAGCCTTTGTAGCTTTCACTTCCACATCTACCAAGTGGGCGGAGTGGCCTTCTGTGGACGAATCAGATTCCTCTCCAGCACCGACTTTAAGAGGCGAGCCGGGGGGTCAGGGTCCCAGATGCACAGGAGGAGAAGCAGGAGCTGTCGGGAAGATCAGAAGCCAGTCATGGATGACCAGCGCGACCTTATCTCCAACAATGAGCAACTGCCCATGCTGGGCCGGCGCCCTGGGGCCCCGGAGAGGTATGTGTGAGCACCAGGAAAGGGCACACCGATCCTGGACTGCAGAGCCGTGCGCATGTGCTGGGAAGAAGCACCGGCCAGGAGTCACAGGAAAGAGGGATTCAGGCTCTGACTCTAACATTGACTTTTTGGGTGATTTTGAGCAAGTCTTTGGCCTGCTCTGGGCTCCGGCTCCCTCTCTTGTCAAATGAGGGGGTTCCTTTAAGAGCAGGAGTTTGTAACTTTCCTTGCATCACACCGCCTCCTTCTGAAAAGCAGAAGAGAGCATGGGTTCTCTCCCTAGAGTTTCACATGCTATGCAGGGGCTTTGAGATCCCACTAAAGCTGGGCTGTGAATGCTAGGTTAAAGGCCTTGGAACAGGCTGTGCCTGGTGGCTCCCGCCTGTAATCCCAGCACTTTGGGAGGCTGAGGCGGGCAGATCAGCTGAGGCCAGGAGTTCGAGACCAGCCTGGCCAACATGTTGAAACCCCATCTCTACTAAAAATACAAAAATTAGCCAGATGTGGTGGTGTACACCTGTAATCCCACCTACTTGGGAGGTTGAGACATGAGAATCACTTCAACCTGGGAGGCAGAGGTTGCAGTGAGCCAAGATTGTGCAACTGTACCCCACCCTGGGTGACACAGTGACACTCTGTCTCAAAAAAAATAAATAAATAAATAAAGACCTTGCACCAGATTTTGAAAATGTTCAAGATCCCAGTGGAGAAAGAGTTTCTAAAAGAGGATGGTAGAAGCAGTTCTTCACAGAGGAGTTCCCTCCTAATTACCACGGATCAAGGGAATGATAGTTGCAGGTGTCTGTAGAGTAGATGGAGACATCTGCCATCACAGGAGGGATTGTGAGATGTTGGGGGCAGGCAAGAAAGGAGGGACAGGCTCTGGTTAAATTTCTGGAGGGGGCTCAGGGTTGACGGGGGTCATGTCCTTGCCTGTGCCCCTCTCCCTTGCAGCCAGAGGCCAGCACAGCCATCCAGGGGACACCAGGCCCCCACTTCCCAGCCCCAAAATAGCCTCACCCATGTGTTTCCCTCAAAAAGGGCTAGAAGGCTATTACCCCAATGCCCCTGCTACCCCCAGTCTCCAAAAAGTAATTTGCGATCTACAGGGACTTACAGCTAGGTGTGATGTCAGCTGTTGCCAGGCAGAAAGGGGTTTGGGAGAACCCTGCAGAGATGTTATGACAAGCTATGTTCTGGGGAACAAGGTAACCTGCTGCAGACCATTAGAGCTGTGGCCTGTGAAAACCCCAGGGAATCCCATGGCAAGGAGGGAGACTGTTTTGTGAGGAATGGATTCAGGTCTAGGCCACGCGTGACCTTGGATAAATCACTGCCTCTCCCTGAGTCTCAGTAATAATATAATAGCCATAATAGTTCTCATCCACTGTGTACCTGTCACCAGGCCTCAGCCACTGTTAGTTAGTACTGTGATTATTTACATACGTAAAGGCTAAACTCAATTTTAATTCTTACAGTCACCCTATGAATCAGGTACTTTTGTTGTCCCTTTTTACAGAAGAGGAAATTGAGGTCATATTGGTAAGTGACTTACCCAAGTAATCATAGCTAGTGAGTGGTTGGAGGCAGAATTTGAACCAGGACTAGTCTGACATCAAAGTGTTAGCTCACTCCACCATTTGGCCCCCTTTCAGAGGTGCATTTTGTGGGAAGGGGAGGTGAGACCCCTCTGAGCTCAGACCACTCAGTGATTTACAGACCCAGGTGGGCTCAGTGTTCAGAGTGCATGTCCCCTTGTCTAATCCTTGTCTAGTTTTCCCTTTATTCAGTTACTGCTTCTAAAGCTGGCTATGTGTGCTTAGGCCATTCCAGACTGGAGCCTGTTTTGGAGGCTTTTGTGAATGCTTCTGCCTGGCAACATCTGTGTCACGATTCCTGCTAGCTCTGGTTGGCTCCTGACTTTGGCTTTTTTTTTTTTTTTTTTAATTGCAGAAGAAGGTAGTGTAAATGAGGAAATAAAGAGGGGGGTGACAAGAGTTGGCACTCTACCAGAACCAGGGGACAGGCGTTCAAGATGCATAAAGAGGAAGAAAAGCAGATGCTAAACTTAACTACGAACTCCCCTGAGAATTGCACTGAGTGTAATTTATTTATAGAGTGCTAACAATGTGCTAGGTGTGGAGCCAAGAGCTTTACCCTCATCATCTTATTTAATGTAACAGCCCTTGGAGCAGATGTTTTACCCGATTTTACTCACACAGAGGGTTAATCAACTTAGATGGTCCCAGAACTAACCGACTCCAGAGCCAGGATTCCAATCCAGGTTATGTGGTCTCGTCTTCAGGGTGAATCTCTAGGTTCTTAGGCCTCCTGAGGAACTGTGGTGCAGAGAGGGGAAGGTACTGTCCCATGTCGTGTGTGGGAGGTAGAGCTGGGGCTAGAATTGGGTGTGGGGTTGCAGAAGCACTGAACAGGTGGAGGATGAGGCTGGAGAGCCTGAACACAGGCTAGGCCACCCGTGTTCCTTGAGAAGGCCAAGAAGTAGAATTTGTTTTCCCTTCCTGTCTGGTCTCCCCACTTCCCCCCCGCCCCCCGCCCACCGTCGGGTTTTTGCTGTTTCCTTCCCGAATAACTCTCCCTTGGGCTGGGCCTTATCCCAGAAAGCACAGACTGGCACGCAGCAAGCCAATGAGAATGAGCCAGTCTGTGATGTCATGAGTTACCAGGCACAAGGGACTCCTGGAGCGTCCTAAACCATCCTTGCTGGTTGCTGGAGTAGGCAGGGTGCAGCCTCATCCTTGCAGTTCCCAATGGGTCTGTTTTAGTCCGTTTTGTGCCGCTTTAACAGAATACCACAGACTGCGTAATATACAAACAAACAAACAAACAAACAAAAAACACCCAGAAATTTATTTCTCACAGTTCTGGAGGGGCTTTCTTGTTTTTTTTTTTTTTTTTTGTTATGTTTTTTGAGACAGAGTCTCACTCTATCCCCCAGGATGGAATGCAGTGGTGTGATCTTGGCTCACAGCAACCTCTGCCTCCCAGGTTCAAGTGATTCTCCTGCCTCAGCCTCCTGAGTAGCTGGGACTACAGGTGCCCACCACTACGCCCGGCTAATTTTTTCTTTTTTTTTTGAGATGGAGCCTCACTCTGTTGCCCAGGCTGGAGTGCAATGGCATGATCTCAGCTCACTGCAACCTCCACCTTCCAGGTTCAAGGGATTCTCCTGCCTCAGCCTCCCGAGTAGCTGGGATTACAGGTGCTCGCCACCACGTCCGGCTAATTTTTGCATTTTTAGTAGAGACAGGGTTTCACCACGTTGGCCAGGCTGGTCTCGAACTCCTGACCTCAGGTGATCTACCTGTCTTGGCTTCCTAAAGTGCTGGGATTACAGGTGTGAGCCACCGCGCCCGGCCTAGCTTGCTTTCTTTTTTTTTTCTGAGACAGTCTCCTTCTGTCACCCAGGCTGGAGTGCAGTGACGTGATCTCGGCTCACTGCAACCTCCGCCTCCCGGGTTCAAGTGATTCTCCCACCTCAGCCTCCCAAGTAGCTGGGACTAGAGGTGCACGCCACCATGCCTGGCTAAGTTTTTTGTATTTTTTTGTAGAGACGGGGTTTCGCCATGTTGGCCAGACTGGTCTCGAACTCCTGGCCTCAAGTGATCCACCTGCCTTGGCCTCCCAAAGTGCTGGGATTACAGGCGTGAGTCACCACACCCAGCCTGGTGAGGGGCTTCCTTGATGTGTCCTCATATGGTGGAAGGCAGAAGGGCAAGAGAGAACCAACTCCTTCCATCAAGCCGTCTTACAGGGCACCTAATCCCATTCGTGAGGGAGAAGGCCTTGTGGCCCGATCACCTCCCAACACCTTCACATTGGCAACACCTGGACTAGGGTCTTAGTAGTCCCACCCCTGGGGTCGTCAAAGAACAGATCAGAAACTCCTGGGGTGTAGGGGCAGGATCCTTACATCCCCTGTACTGTAACATATGCATGCACCCCCCAGTCGCATCCAAGTCCCACAGATACAAGGGCTTGCTGAGGTCCGAGGGTCTGGATGGTGAGTCCAGGGAGCATGAGAAATTCATCCAGGCCACACAGGCTCAGGCACCTATACTCCTGCCCACCCCCTGCAGGATGGATATTACCATTTGAAATACTTTGGCGCTTGCAGTGAGATCTTGCTTAAAAGAAGAAACCCACCAAATTCTAGAATCGCAGAGGTGGGGGCACCTATGTGACAAATGAGGGAACAGAGGCACAGAGATTGGCAGGGACATGCTCAAAGACATGGAGAGCCTGGGCAGAGGATGGCCCCAGAGTGGGTGGTGCCTGGCCCTGCTTCAGCCTGACATTGTCCAAGCCTCCCCCAGCCCACTCCTAAAATGGCCAGGCCCCACTTCTTCCCAGGTGGGCTACATTTTCTGCTGTCCCGGTCCCACTTCCTTACCTTTTCTCCTTAAATCTGATTTCACTGTGAGGGTGGGAGGTTGGGCAGAGGGGTGAAAACCCTCTTCCCCTTACTTGGTAAGCACATACAATTTTTTTTGGTTTTGTCAATTAAAAAAAATAACATACCTGGTTGATCCTGCCAGCAGAAAAAAAAAACAAAACAAAAGGCTGGGCGCGGTGACTCACGCTTGTAATCCCAGCACTTTGGGAGGCTGAGGTGGGTGGATCACGAGATCAGGAGATCGAGACCACGGTGAAACCCCGTCTCTATCAAAAATACAAAATAATTAGCCAGGCGTGGTGGCGGGTGCCTGTAGTCCCAGCTACTCGGAGAGGCTGAGGAAGGAGAATGGCATAAACCCAGGAGGTGGAGGTTGCAGTGAGCCGAGATCGCGCCACTGCACTCCAGCCTGGGCGACAGAGCAAGACTCCGTCTCAAAAAACAAAACAAAACAAAACAAAACAAAAACCAAACCTGTTCCCCTTGAGGGCAGCCCTGATCATCAGGAGATCCGCACGGCAAAGGGAGCCTGGGAAGACCCCCCCACCTCAACCCCTCATCGCACAGGCAGGACCCTAAGGTCCAGAGAGGACAAAGAGCATGCCTCTTTGCTCTTCTCTGTTCAACTCAGGCCCGTGGCAGCTGCAGGGTCTCTGCCAGGGAAGACTTCAGGCACATCGATGGTTGGAAGGAGGGGTGGGGTGAGGTCTTCAAGCTGTGTTTCCATAGCCAGCTTACTGTTTGTGCTTCAAATGCATTGTTTATTAGGGGTGGCTTAGGGGTCTAATGGAGATGGGGGTATACATTTCCCCATTCCTAGCCAGCCCTTGGGGCAGCCACCACTGTGGATCCTCCTCTGACCTATCCTCCCCACCTCCCACAGCAAGTGCAGCCGCGGAGCCCTGTACACAGGCTTTTCCATCCTGGTGACTCTGCTCCTCGCTGGCCAGGCCACCACCGCCTACTTCCTGTACCAGCAGCAGGGCCGGCTGGACAAACTGACAGTCACCTCCCAGAACCTGCAGCTGGAGAACCTGCGCATGAAGCTTCCCAAGCGTGCGTGCACCCCTACATCCTGATACCCCCCACCTCCCACCATCCCTCAACTCAGAGACCCGCATCCCTGCACCCAGCTGGGCCCACTGTCCTCTCCCTCCGGTTTGGAATTCCAGCCCTTCCTCATCTGGGTCTGATACCCTCCTCCCTGGGCACCGGGGCCACACTTACCCTCGTTCCTGTCCCCACAGCTCCCAAGCCTGTGAGCAAGATGCGCATGGCCACCCCGCTGCTGATGCAGGCGCTGCCCATGGGAGCCCTGCCCCAGGGGGTAAGGACAGCCCCAGGGTGGTGGGAGGGGCAAGGTTATCCCGCCTGGATGGAGGACAGTGCCAAGGGGAGGGGCAGGGAAGAGAGCCCACCTGGGGAGGGGTCCTGACTGCTGCGGGAGGGACAGTGCCTGCCTCAGGAAGAATCGGGCTCCCCAGGTGTGGAGGGCACAGGTGAAGAGTCTCTTGGTGCCATCCCTGGGAGGAAGGCTCAGCCCTCTACAGTTTACAAAGTGCTTCTCATTTCCTATAGCATCTCACTGTCCTCTCCCATTCTCAAAGACCTTGCTATCATGCATTGACAATATTTATATTCACAATACTGTGCTGTGGACAAAACCCTGGGCAGGAAAGCTTATGCCAGTTTGACCAATGAGGACATTGAGGCAGGAAGCTAAAGTGACTTGCTCGAGCTCTCATGTTTGGAGGTGGCAGAGATGGAACCATTGACCAAGTGCCTGCGATTCCAGTCTCTTACCTAGATCCCAGCAACCGGCTCCTGCTCCATACCCCCTGCTCCAGGGACCAGCTCTGGTAACCTTCTGTTACTTCCTCCCACAGCCCATGCAGAATGCCACCAAGTATGGCAACATGACAGAGGACCATGTGATGCACCTGCTCCAGGTGAGTGCAGGGAGCTAGCTGGGTGGTCCTGCCTGCCCACCCAGGACCCTGGCCGGGCCAAGCTCCAAGGCCTGTATACCTGGCTCATGGCAGACTTTCAACATGTGCTCTCTGGATTACTGAATACAAGGGTGACCCTTAAATGTTATATGTAGTCTGGCCTCTGCATTTTTGAGATAAACAGGCTCGGCTGGGTGCAGTGGCTCATGCCTGTAATCTCAGCACTTTGGGAGGCCTAGGCAGGCAGATCACCTGAGGCCAGGAGTTCGAGACCAGCCTGGCCAACATAGTGAAAGTCTCTACTAAAAATACAAAAATTAGCCGGATGTGGTGGCAGTCACCTGTAATCCCAGCTACTCATGAGGTTGAGGCAGGAGAATCGCTTTAACCCGGGAAGTGGAGGTTGCAGTGAGCCGAGATCATCACGCCACTGCACTCCAGCCTGGGTGACAGAGTGAGACTCCATTTCAAAAAATAAAATAAAATAAAAATAAAAAAAGAAACTGAGGCTCAAAGTTTGGAAGTGACTTGCTCAAGACACCCTTTTTTTCTCCCCAAATTTGTACTGCGTGTCTGTCCTATGCCAGCACTGTGCAAGGCTCTGGGCCCACAATGGGGAGCAATTGGACCCAGCTCCTGAAGCCATGGGGATCCCAGGCTAGTGTGGGAGACAGACAAGTGACCAGGTGATGACAGAAGTGCAGGGGGCTTTGTGAAGAAAGAGGCAGAGGACTCAACCTAGCTGGGGGCAGTCAAGGTTGGGTCCTCACCTGCTGGAGCAGGTAAGACCTGAAAGCTGAGCAGCCATCCACAGGGAGGACACTGGGGCTTGTTGGTAGAGCTGGCCTGGAATCTGGAACTCGACTCGCAACGCTGCAGTCTCGTAGCTGAACAGCTGGACTACCCTTACCCGTACCCTCCCCTCCCCTCCCATCATGGCTGAAGTCCAGGGTTTAGGCTTGGTGTAGCTCTGGTCCATTCCTCAGAATGGAAGACCAAGGGAACGTGGGCTACACATTTCACACTGCCTGCCAGGGAGCTCTTCTTGAACCATCCTTCCTGCCCTGCTACCCTGTAGAATGCTGACCCCCTGAAGGTGTACCCGCCACTGAAGGGGAGCTTCCCGGAGAACCTGAGACACCTTAAGAACACCATGGAGACCATAGACTGGAAGGTCAGCAGGTTTCCCTGCATGGGAACTCTCTCTTTCCTCTGGTGTCTAGGGCAGGGCTAGGAGAGGTGGGGTGAGGGTGGGCTGGGGAAGCCATTCTCAGGAAGCTGAAGGGGTTTACCAGCACTTCCAAAACCTGGATGCTGCAGAGTATGTGGGGTTCAGCCCCAGGGGTCTTTAAGAGGGAACCAGGCTGCAGCTGGACCCGGGTGTTGGGGCCCTATTTGGCCCTGCATGTTTCTGTCCCCAGGGGCAAAGCCAGGCAGTGTAGGGGCTTGGTGGTGGCCATCGAACCTGACCTCCACCTCTATCCGTATTAGGTCTTTGAGAGCTGGATGCACCATTGGCTCCTGTTTGAAATGAGCAGGCACTCCTTGGAGCAAAAGCCCACTGACGCTCCACCGAAAGGTACAGGGAGTGGGAGCTTTAGCGTGCCAGGGCTTCTGGACCCTCGGGGCTCTCCTGAAGCTGCTGAGGCCGGGGCCTCCAGCACTCCCTGGTCCCAGCACCGCGGAATCTCCCATCCTCTCAGCTCTCACTTCTTTCTCACTTCTCTCTCTCTCCTGTCTGTTCCTTCTTGGTTTGGCTGTCCCCCTCCCCTGACCCACCCCCATCTTGTCTAAGGGTTCCTAAGGGCCCACAGAGGCCTGTCACCACAGGGTACAGGTGACCTCTCTCATAGAGGATGGTACAGCACAGGGTGCCTGGGGTAGAACCTGCCCGAAACACTGCAGAAAGGAATCCTTGTAATGACCTTGCCCCAGTGCTGCCCGCAATCCAGTGAGGGCGCCAAGGTCACAGCTGCTGCCAAGAGAGCCTTGGGCGTTTCCCACCTCATGGACAATGCAGACTAGGATGTTTTTAGACCCAAAGACAGAGTGCTGTTTCTATCCCGGTGCTGTCTCTAATTTGCTATGTAACTTTGGACAAGTCCCCTTCCCTCTAGGATTCAGGGTCCTGAAGTAGAAGGTCAAAGGGCCACCCTGCCTGGGGCCTCAGTTTCTGCATCAGATTCATAGAAGGCACCTTACATGCTATCTCCAACTCCTAGCTGATGCTTAAACCCCTCTAAGACATCTCCAACAAACGGTAAACCCCATTTCTACTTGAGAACTCCCAGTAACAGGAAGCTTAGACTTACCAAGGTGCCCATTGCTTTTCTCTAGAATCAGAATCGCAAGTGCAATTCCAAACTGTAATGGTGTTTTTTTGTTTGATTGTTTGTTTTTGAGATAGAGTCTGGCTCTGTCGCCCAGGCTGGAGTGCAGTGGTGCGATCTCAGCTCACTGCAACCTCAGCCTCCCGGGTTCAAGCAATTCTCCTGCCTCGGCCTCCCGAGTAGCTGGGATTATAGGCATGTGCCACCACGCCCAGCTAATTTTTGTATTTTTAGTAGAGACAGGGTTTCACCATGTTGGCCAGGCTGGTCTTGAACTCCTGACCTCAAGTGATCCGCCCACCTCGGCCTCCCAAAGTGCTAAGATTACAGGCATGAGCCACTGTGCCTGGCCCAAAACTGTAATGGGCTTTGAGTGTCAGAAGAAACCATCAACTTCTGAGGTGAATTGGACACATGGCCATTCACTTCCTTTTTGATCTCAGACCTTGTTGGTCTAGGCCTCAGTTTTCCCATCCGTGTGATGGCTGGAGTGAGTAAAGCCACTTGGGAAGAAGGCATTAAGCCCACAGCAGTGGTGTGTGGGTCTTTAGCTCTGCTCAGACCCTGGTTCAGAGCTCACTCACTCACTGTGTCCTCATCATGCCTGTCGCTTCAGTACTGACCAAGTGCCAGGAAGAGGTCAGCCACATCCCTGCTGTCCACCCGGGTTCATTCAGGCCCAAGTGCGACGAGAACGGCAACTATCTGCCACTCCAGTGCTATGGGAGCATCGGCTACTGCTGGTGTGTCTTCCCCAACGGCACGGAGGTCCCCAACACCAGAAGCCGCGGGCACCATAACTGCAGTGGTAAGCAGTGGCACTGTGCCAGTGTCAGAGGACCAGGAAGGACTAGGAAGGTTGAGGGGCAAGAGGTCCCCTCTGAAGCACATGGGACCAGGACACCCAGGATGGCAGCTCCTGGGGGCAGTGACGTAGTCATGCGTCCAGCCCTTTATCCATCCACCCACCTGTGCATTCCTATTTGTCCATTTATCATCTCTCCTCTTACATGCACTCATATTTGTTCACTTATCCGTCAGTCCTTTCATCTGTGAATTTCATCCATCCACGCGCCATCCTCTAGCATCCAGGAGTCCTACAGACCCACCCATCTCATTTCATCACCCCCTTCTCACTCGAGCCCCCATTACACCTCTTTGTTGCTGCTTGCAGCTGTCCTTCCCTGGGTACCTGCTTTCCCAGGCACTAAGCCTGTGGCTAGGTGGGAAGCACTGCCCTCAGGCATCTTGGGTCAGGTAGGCTGCACTTCAAGTGACAAACGGACTTGCTGCTCCTTTGCAGAGTCACTGGAACTGGAGGACCCGTCTTCTGGGCTGGGTGTGACCAAGCAGGATCTGGGCCCAGGTAAGGGCCTTGCAGAGGGGCATCTGGTCACCAGCAGCTCATCCCCAGCAGGGCCAGCTCCTTTGTGGGCAGGTGAAGGAGTGTGACGCTGGGCCACTCTCCAACATTCCTGGGATGTCCATTTCACAGACGAAGGAACAGGGTTGGGGGGCTGTGGGGAGTTACACAAATCCATGATGGTCATTATTGGACCTGAGCAGGGGGCAGGGGAGGGTGGACAGTCCTTAACTGCTCTGCAGGTCCAGGATGTTAGAAAGGGGCAGGGACAACAAATGGGTGACCCCAACCTCAACCTGCTGCTTCTCTCTCCAGTCCCCATGTGAGAGCAGCAGAGGCGGTCTTCAACATCCTGCCAGCCCCACACAGCTACAGCTTTCTTGCTCCCTTCAGCCCCCAGCCCCTCCCCCATCTCCCACCCTGTACCTCATCCCATGAGACCCTGGTGCCTGGCTCTTTCGTCACCCTTGGACAAGACAAACCAAGTCGGAACAGCAGATAACAATGCAGCAAGGCCCTGCTGCCCAATCTCCATCTGTCAACAGGGGCGTGAGGTCCCAGGAAGTGGCCAAAAGCTAGACAGATCCCCGTTCCTGACATCACAGCAGCCTCCAACACAAGGCTCCAAGACCTAGGCTCATGGACGAGATGGGAAGGCACAGGGAGAAGGGATAACCCTACACCCAGACCCCAGGCTGGACATGCTGACTGTCCTCTCCCCTCCAGCCTTTGGCCTTGGCTTTTCTAGCCTATTTACCTGCAGGCTGAGCCACTCTCTTCCCTTTCCCCAGCATCACTCCCCAAGGAAGAGCCAATGTTTTCCACCCATAATCCTTTCTGCCGACCCCTAGTTCCCTCTGCTCAGCCAAGCTTGTTATCAGCTTTCAGGGCCATGGTTCACATTAGAATAAAAGGTAGTAATTAGAACACTCTGGCTCCTGGCTCTTCTGTTGAGATCCAGTTCATTTATCCTAAAGAGGTAACTAAAGACGCTAAATCCAGTCACTGAGGTGGGAGAACGCAGCCCAAGTAACCCACAGAGATGCCTGCGGGGCCAGGCAGGCCTGGGGGGGGGCTTGTAGTCTTTGGACACAGACATACTTGATTACATGTTTAACACACACGAACACTCTACTTCCAAAAAGAAATAGGCTCTTGCCTAGTTTAAGCACAAGCTCTTCTTGGTACAGCTTTCATTTTCCTATGTCCCCAATTTCATTTCTATACTAAGAACAGTGTGAATGTGATGACAGATGGCAACCGACATAGGGCCTCCGTGTCAGGATGGACAGGAAGTAGGGGACTGTGGAGAACTGGGTGCCCATGCCTTACCTAAGGGGCTGACTGCTACTCAGCTCTATCTGGTTGCTGCCAGGAGGAAGCACAGCCCCCGTTGCCAGATGTTATCTTTTTAAGAGGAGCCAGAAATCAAGAACTGCAGTGAAATCACCCCATTTTTAAGTTTAAAGTCTTGCTGTGGGTCAACAAGGCCCAATGAGGACACTACTCTGTAGTTCTGTTCTAGAGCAACATGCTTGAGAGGAGAGAGGCCAGATGGTGGAGGGTCTGGCCCCGGGCCCCGAGTCAAGGGTGCAGCTGGATGCCAACCTGGGTCTCCGACACCTCCAGCCATGCATTCCTTTTCTGCACTGCCTCTGGCTGTTTCCAGCATGAGGCTAAAAGCTCTGGAGACCATCTCCAGGACCCCTGGTGTTCCACATGGCTCTGGGCCCAGGGAAGTGGGCTTCTGCATTTCCAGGCTGGAGCAGCAGACCACCTCCTTTGCTATCCCTCCCCTCCCTCAGTCCACACCCAAGACATCATCCTGTCTTTCATGTTCATCCACTTCTTGCCCTCACCACCACAGAACCATGGTGAGCTCGATTTGAGGGGCAACTCACTTCCGATTTTCCTAGACCTGCTGTGCCTGCCACAGCTGTTCACCAGGCACCTCCAGGGAGCCTGCCCCTAGCTCGAGGCCTAACTCGAGGATTCTCAGCCCCTTCCATTTCTTGTCTTTGGGTATTTACATGACTTACTCTGGCAACAGGAAATCAACCATGACCATCCTTTAGTTCCATCCTTTAGTTTAGATGCCACCTCATCCAGGAAGCCTTCCCCACCAATTCGGCACTCAGGCACTTCACTGCTCACTGCCTGTCCCACTAACCACGGTCACCCATAGCCTCAACATGCAGGCAAGAGGGAATCCCGAGTGTCGGCGAGACAGTCCCTTCCAAGAAACATGTGCCCCAGATGCACTGGGAGCTTGCACCCTTCCTCCAAGTCTTTTATTTTTTTTTTGAGTTATTAAAAAAAAAACAAAAAACACAACCAAAAGAACTGACGAGAGGAAGACAAAGCCTCGGGATCAGCCAGAGACCGAGCGGCACGGGATGAGGCACAGGTCAGGCCTAGCTGGATCTGTGGAGCAAGGTGGTGGGAAGTCCCGAGGCCTTTGGGCATGTGGGGTCTGTGGAAGGAGAGGAGGTCACTTAAAAAAATACATATACTGTACACATCTATATGAAGCGTCCTGTGTTGGGGGAGTGGGGTGAGGTCATGGGAGCTGGTCCACTTTCTCCTTGGACCAGCCTCCCCGCAGGCTCACTGGCTTGGCCAGCACAGGGACCCCTGAAGCTGGCTGTCTTCTTCTGTGGAGCGAGGGAAGGTAACAGTTTAGTTCCAACCCATGGTGGGCAGAGGTCGGTGGAGGTCAGAGGCATGGGGATGGCCACTGCTCGGCTAGGAAATCCCTAGGGGAAGGAAACACATGCAGATGTCAAATTTCCTGACCCTTTTCCCCTGCAAGGAAAATGAAATCTGGCATCTCCAATGCAGGGGGGAGGCATTAACCACAGTGGACATTTTTTAGCACTTGGAATGTTCTGAGAACTGGGCTGAGTCCTTTAGTGTTTAGTTTAGCTTCACATAAGCCTCACCACTGGCCCAGGAGGCGGGCTCTGCATCACCCCCATTTACAGGAGGCTGGGTGACCACAGGGCCAGCAGAGCCAGGTGGAGCAGCTAACTGTCACCACCACTTGGCAGGGCCTGTCCTCCATAGGGAAGCATAGATCCATGGTGATAGCTCATCTTGAGTAAACCATCTTCCTTCCCAAAAGGAAATGCCCCCAAGTTACAGGATCATGAGGAAAATGAACCGCTCACAAGTGAAGGAGGAACCAAGCTGTATCCGACCTCACCTACAAACAGGCTCCATCCCAGGGCACACCCCCTAAAGCATGCACAACCCCTGCACCCAGGTGCACTCGGTGTCACCACTGCCATTACTGTTCTGGATCCTTCTGATGCTGCAGTGCCAGCTCCTGATGTCACCCCAGTGGCCCCATGGACCCTTGGCAACAGAACCTCTTTCCCCAGCCTCCTTTCCCCTTAGAGCCCACCTATCAGGTCTGCCTGGCTCTCTGGGACCACAGGGGACACCAGAGCTGTCCTCCCACCCTGAATGCTCAGGAATGATTGGGAAGCGTACCTGTGCCTGGTGCTGGTGCTCGTCATACAGTCTGCTCTGCTGTCTTCTTCTGTGAGGAGGGAAGTACGAGAGGCTCTCAGACCTGCAGCTTTTCCCCACCCACTGCTGCCCCCACCTCCTGAGGACTAGTGAATTCCCCTAGAATAGATACTGGGTCTGCAGCGACCTCCAAGGGCAGAGGCAAACAGATGTTCAGCTCTCCTAAATACAGCTGAGGCCCTGCTGGCCAAGGTGAGAACTTCATCTGTGTCTGAGGTGCTAAGGCCCCGCGCCGTGAGGACAGCTGTTGTTCAGGGCTAGCCTGCCAGCTGGGGCACACGCAGCCCAGGCAACGTTTCCTTTCACCTGGAAACCTGCCACAGTCTACCTGGTTTCCCTGTGCTGGGGGGAGTCTCTCCTTCCTTCCCCAACACCCTTCTACCTCCGGCAGGCCACTTCTACGGCTTCCATGTGCTCAGGGAACATGCCCTGCCAGCCTCTTCCCTGGTGTGTCACAACCCCTGACGCCCCCGACTGGGCCCCGAAAATGGGAAGGGGGCAGGAACCAGGTCTGGGTGTGTAGGAGGGGGCTTGGGTTTGGGTCTGTTTTCTGGCCTGAGACACCCCAGGAACTCTCTACCTTTTTCTTCTTTTTCTTCTGGGACGGTGACTCAGAATCTTTGGTTGAGGCCTTTTTTGCTTTCTTCTTCTTTTCTTTTTTTTCTTTGTCTTTTTTTCCTAAGGGAAGTAAAGTAAAGTTCCTGAACAACAGATGGTAATCCTAAGTGCTGGGGTCAATGTTGGGAGGTGCACAGG
Source organism: Homo sapiens (assembly GCF_000001405.40). Taxonomy (NCBI): domain Eukaryota; kingdom Metazoa; phylum Chordata; class Mammalia; order Primates; family Hominidae; genus Homo; species Homo sapiens. Next base: position 150,398,275 of record NC_000005.10, on the reverse strand, counting down.
GCAGGGCTCCCAGCTTTCCCCACACCACCAGAAGCCATCACAACAGGCCAGCAGGGCGGGGCGTGGAGGTTCATTCCTGCAATCCCAGCACTTTGGGAGGCTGAGGCGGGTGGATTGCTTAAGCCCAGGAGTTCAAGACCAGCTTGGGCAACATAGTGAGACCTGTCTCTACAAAAAATACAAAAATTAGCTGGGGATGGTGGTGCACGCCTGTGGTCCCAGCTATTTGGGGGGCTGAAGCAAGAGGATCGCTTGAGCTTGGGAGGCTGAGCCTGCAGTGAGCTGCGTTCCTGACACTGAACTCCAGCCTGGGTGACAGAGCAAGACCCTGTCTCAAAAAATAAAAATAAAACAGGCTGGCAGCTGTGGTGATCACCCAGCAGGGCCAGTTCACCTGCCCCCTGGAGGCCAGCTCATGATTTCTGTCCCATCCATGGACCACCTGGATGACTACCATTTTTCTTTAGCTCAACTCACTTTTTAAAACTCCCGCAAATTTATTTTAAATGGACACTATCTATCCCTACTGTAAATGGAAATCTAGCACAGTTCTGAGCACCAAGGGGCTGCAAGTCCTGCTCTGAGGGTGCCCGACTTTTGTTCCAGAACGAGCTGGCTCTTCGGGCGTCACTGGCAACCCACCGTCCAGGGCGATGCTCGAGAGTGCTGCCTAGGTTTGACTCTGGCTCCACCTAGCAAAACTCTGTGGCCCTGAACAGCATCTCTACTTCTCCGAGCCCGAGCCGCAGTTTTCTACCTGCTGAGTCTCATTTCTACCTAAATGAGGTCCTGCTGCATGCGGAGTCTAGAACAGCACTCAGTAAAGGGCCAGTGTTACTATGGAGGGAAAACTGAGGTCTAGAGACAAGATGGGGTTTGGGATGAGGATTCTGACAGTCTGGTTCCTGGTCCATTCTGCACCCAGGAGCTGGCTGGAGAAGCAGGTTCCTCCAAGATCTGCTGCACTGGGCTTGGGGAAAGAGGACATGACTCCTCGTCCTTCTGGAGCATTCCTGGCAGTGCTGACTCAAGTGCTCTGGAATCGAGTTCGGGCTTTGCCACAAGCTGCCCCTGTGACTCTGGACAAACCACTTCTCAGCCTTTTTTTTTTTTTTTTTTTTTGACAGTCTTGCTCTGTCACCCAGGCTGGAGTGCAATGCGTGATCTCGGCTCACTGCAAGCTCTGCCTCCCGGGTTCAAACAATTCTCCTGCCTCAGCCTCCCATGTAGCTGAGATTACAGGTGCCCGCCACCACATCCAGCTAATTTTTTGTATTTTTAGTAGAGACGGGGTTTTGCCATGTTGGCCAGGCTGGTCTCAGCCTCTCTTTTCTACATGGGAGGAATGAGACCAGGTGCTGGCTGAGGGTCCCTCCCGCCCCCGTGGGGTGCCCAGCAGCCCTTGGGGTGGGCTGGGAGAAGCGGTCACTCACTCTTGTCGGATTTCTTCTTCTCCTTCTTGCTCTTTGGGTTGCTTTGATCTCCACCTTCAACCGTCCCCATCCCCTTCTGAAGCTCCTCTTCTGGCTCGTCCTTGGCCCCTTGGGAGCCAAGAGACCCCTTCCCTTTCTTCTCCTTGACATCACCACTTGCTTTGTCTCTCTTTGCTTTCCCCTTGGAAGTCGTGGAGGTCTTTTCTGGGGAAACAGAGGCCTCCCCACCTTCCCCGGCCCCCAGCTTCTTCTTCTTCTTGCTCCTGGGGGTCCTGGCAGCTGGCTGGTCTCCCGATAGCTTCCGCTTGCGGCTCTCCCAGCCCTTCCTGCTGCTCTCCTTGGTGGTGTCCACCACCTTCTTTCTTTCCTGTTCCAGCAGCTCAGTCAGGACCTTCACCACTGAGGCCTGCACCTGGGCCTCATTCAGGGGCCAGGGTTGGCCCAGGAGGCACTGGGTGATGTTGCTTTGCAGCGCCAGGGTTGAGGCTTGGGGGTTCCCAGCCCCTTTCTTGGGCTTCCGGGACTTCTGAGGTGTGGTGCCTGAAGCAGCCTCTTTTCCACCTATGGAGAGAGAATGTGGGGTCACAGATCTGGGAGAGTTGGGGGACAGATCTTATGGTACCTAAGAGCGAAGAGGGTGCAGGGAGTGACTCCATCTTTTCTTACAATGGCACAGATGGGGAGAGCAAGGCTTGGCGGTCACTCTGCCCCAGCTGGTCTCCTAAGCTCACACCTTTCCACCAATTTCACACCCTGACTTCATTTCTAACTTACAGCTTTTCCCTGTCTCTTTATACTAAAAACTCCAGTTAGGGTGGGGGACAGAAAATGACTCCAGAATGTTAATGAAAGGGCCTGAAATCTATCAATGGAATGAAAATTCAGAAAGGAGGGAGATGGAGTCTGGAGCTGGGAGGAAGGAGACCTGGGTTCTAGGTCTGACTTTCCCACCCACTTTCAGTGTGATTCTGGCCAGGACCCATCTCCTCCCAGGGCCTTGGTTTCCCTGTCTATAACGTGAGGGGTGGATGAACAGTAAGGCTTCCTATGATACATTGTAGATTTATAATAAAAGTGGGGGCCATGCAGACATTCAACTGATGATTACCCACACTCGGCCCTTCCTGGTCAGGGGGTCCAGGCAAGGTGGGGAGCTCTGGGTGCAGTGTATATACACGTGGTGGCTGACTAAGCAGGTTTACTGCCTGCCAGAGAGACTTCTGGTGCAGCCTTTGTTTAGAATTTTCCACGCCTCTGCTTGCCTTTGATAATTGTGTGCTGACTACACGTGTAAAAAAAAAAAAACCTTCCACAGCCCCCTCTAAAATGTCTCCTTGTCGCACCGCCTCTCACAGAGAATGTTGGGGAAGAAAGTGAGCAGCAATTCCTCTTCCGACCCAGCCTGGGGCAAGCTGCAGCTGAAAGCCCCATGACTGGGTCTCCTCACCGGCTCTAACTTCCAAGTGACTTGGAGGTCTCTGCCCCATTCTGGGTCTCATGGGCACAACACTCCTGCATGCTGGGCTCTGAAAGGTGGCTTGGTGGTTTGGTCCTGGAGGTGTTTGCCTGGAGGAAGGCCCAGGTGGATACTCCATGTCACACTCTATGTGGTACTCATGTCACACTGAGGCTAGGGCTGCCCCCTGCAGCATGCAGTGAGCTTGGCCCCTCAGCCCCAACCAGGATTTCTGGCGACTTTTGGCTCTAGAGCTGCGGTGGGCTGGGGGAGGTGGACTGGGCAGGGCAGGCCAGGTTAGGCAGAGGGGCCCCCGGGACGGCTGGAGGCCCAATTCCATCCTCTGGGGATTCTTCAAGATGGCAGGAGCCAATGGAGAGGGAAGCTGGGGAGGGCAGTTAGCCCCGGAAACCTCTCTCCCCAGAGCCTACGTTTCTGCTGCTGCCTTTTTTTTTTTTTTTTTTTTTTTTGAGACAGAGTTTTGCTCTGTTGCCCAGGCTGGAGTGCGGTGGTGCAATCTCGGCTCACTGCAACCTCTACCTCCCAGGTTCAAGCGATTCTCCTGCCTCAGCCTCCTGAGTTGCTGGGAGTACAGGCGCCTGCCATCATGCTGGCTAGTTTTTTGTATTTTTAGTAGAGACAAGGTTTCACCATGTTGGCCAGGCTGGTCTTGAACTCCTGACCTCAAGTGAGCCACTCGCCCTGGCCTCCCAAAGTGCTGGGATTATAGGCACGAGCCACTGCGCCAGGCCCACTTTTCTGCTGCTTATCTGCAAACACCCAGAACACCAAGGCTGGGGAAGCCCTGGAGCTGTCCCAAGTGTGCCCAGCTGGTACATATTTGACCCTTAGCTCCAGTAGGGTCAGGGAGTGTGGATGCCCCAGGTTAGGTGAATTGAATAATCCAGTCTGCCCTCCAAATACAATGTGACTATTTTCTACATGTGCCATGCCTTGACACAGACTGGATACATCAACTGCTGTTTTGTATGGTTAAGACACAGAGGTCCAGAGTGGCCAGGGGATTTCCAAGGCTTTACAATGAGTCAGAACAGCCTGGGGCCAGTCTACTGCCTGGGGTCTCCTGCATGTGCTGAGTGTCCTCCAAACGTGACTGTCAGCCTATTGTCTAAGCTATCCTCTGAGGCCCAAGGCCCACACCGTGAGCCTATTTACAGGGAAGAAAAGTTGATGGTGATGGTTGGAGAGAGCCAACACTTGCTCCACAAGCCAAAAGACGCAGCTTCCTCTGAGGCAAGGGCTATCCTACCAGGTGCATCAGCACCACCCAGGGCTGGATACACCCCCACTTCCAGGCTGTCCAGGGCCATGGGAGCCAGACACCTGGGCGTGGGGCCCACCTGTACTTTTTTTTTGAGACAGGGTCTCACTGTACCACCCTGGCTGGAGTGTAGTGGCATGATCATGGCTCACTATAGCCTCAACCTCCTGGCTTCAAGTCATTCTTCTGCCTTGGCCTCTCAAGTAATTGGGACTACAAGCGTGCACCATCACACCGGCTAATTAAAATAAATTTTAGAGATGGGGTCTCTCTGTGTTGCCCAGGCTGGCCTTGAACTCCTGGGCTTGAGCAATCTGCCCACCTCGGCCTCCCAAAGTGCTGGGATTATGGGCATGAGCCACTGCACCTGGCCCCACCTGCACTTTGATGAGCATCTTCAGGTCCAATGCAAGGCCACAAGGTCTCACTTGGAGAGGCTCTGGGGGCAGACAGGACCATGTTGGGAGGACTGTTGCTACAGGAGGGCAAGAAGGGGCCCACTGCCCTGTCCCTCTGTGTCCTGCTATGTCCCTCCTGCAGACCTTAACTTACCTGTTTTAGGGGACAACATGCCTGCTGCCTGTTGGGGCTTTGCCTCCTGCTTGCCATCTGGGTCATCTTTGGCGGCCAGAGTAGAGGAAACTGAGGGGCTGGAGTCTAGCTTGGGAGTGGCTTTTGAGGCCTGGGAATTGGCTGGGGTTAGTCCAGGGGTCATATAACCTGAGAGGAGAGACTGAAGAAGCCCATTGTGAAAGAGGCTGCCACCACCCCACCCCACTGCCATAACCCAGCCCGAGTCATGGCCTGCTGTGAGGAAAGCAGCCTGGGGCCTCTAGGATCACCCTGCCCTATCAGTGCAGAGTGGGTGGACAACAAGGCACAGAGCAGCACTTCAGCCCTTGGCGTGTGCCTCCTGAACTATTTTAATTAATACACTTTCTAGACAGGCACATTTAAAAAGGAAATTTCTTATTAATACAAATGGAAAATTACTAGCTTTTGCCACATACAGATAGTAACCTTAAAATAAATCTGCTAAAGAATGTTTTTGTCCGGACATCACCCAGAATCAAGGTCAATCCCTTCTACAGACCCCAAGGGTCAGCTACTCAGGGCTCTATGAGGGGACGGAGGCAGCCTGGCTGTGGTCTGCTGGCTGGGCCACACGTGGTGCCTTGCAGACAGGACCTTGCCCAAGGCCTCTGTGAAGAGAGGGGACCCAGACCCCTGACCTGAGGGATCGGGTAGACAGGAGCCTGGCCTGGGGCTCCACCCTAAGGCCTATGGGCTGCCAGTCCTCTCCCTTGCAGTTACCTGGGATGGCGCCACCACATCATCCTCGCTGGACTCTGCTGCGGTCTCCTCCACCAGGGTCTCTGTCCTGGAGGGGGTGGGACCTACTGGAGAAGCACAGTATCCTGTTGGTAGCCCCAGGTGGCCCCTGCCAGCCGGGAAGGGCAGAGCCCTTCAGGAAGGCCCTGGTCTCTCTGCAGGTCCCTCACCCCCATCCCCTGCCCCGCCTCACCACAAGTCTTCCTACTGCTTCAACACTCCTTGCACACTTATCGCTAGTCACAGCATGCTAGGTGCGACATTTGAATGCCAAAGCCTTATTTCTAATTCCTGAGGCCCCATTTCTATTTCCCTGCTTTCCACTGTTCCAGAAACATGGCCCTGGAGTTTTTGGGAGCCAGTGAAGGGAGTCTGATACCAAAAAGCTGAGAGTGGTCAAACAGCAAAGTCAGGTCTCTGAAATCATTTGGATTGACTTCCTCATGAAGTTGTACAGGTGGGGAAACTGAGGCCCAGGCTCAGCCACAGGTGCAGAATGAGTCTGAGATATGGAGCTGAGGCCAGAGCTATGGCTCCACCAGGCCACACAACACCCTCTTCCTGGCCCACCCTTGCCTTTCCCCTGGCACCCTCACCCAGCGTGTGGGCTGACTTGGCCCCCTGGGGCCCTTCACCATCTTCCTCACTCCCTGAAGAACTGTCGCTGCTGTCCTCACTGTCATCTGAGCTCTCAGGGGCTTTGGTGGCCTGCTGGACCTCAGGAAGCTTAGGTTTTCTGAGCTTGTTGGTCCCTTTGGCCTGGACGGAGGTGCTCTGGGGACTTGTTGCAGGGAGTGTTCCCACAGCACTGTCAACCTAATTCGGTGAAAGGAGAAGGAATGGAAGGAAAAATTAGGGCAAGTAAGACCTGGTCCTTCCTGAACACTTCAGTAGGGCCAGGAACTGTGTTAGATGGGGCACACATGCAGCCTCATTTGATCCTTCCAACTACGAAAGGTACTGTAATTCCTTCTTACAGATTAGGCCACTGAGGCCGAGGGAGGCAAACCAAGTGCAGAGGTCATGGGGCAGATGAGTGCTGGTGCCGCGATGCAGGGCCACGCCTGCACCTTCTACGCTCCGTGGGCTTGCTTCCCCTGGCTCCCCAAGCTCACCCCACTTGAAGGCTGGGTCCTGGCAACAGGAGGCTGAGCCTCACTGGCTTTCTGGGCGAGGACCTTCAGGGCAGCCTGGGTCAGTGGGAGGGAAGCTGGGTTCTTCTTTGACACCTGTGGGTGGCAAGAGGTAGCCCTCAGACTCACAAGTCCTTGGGATGCCAGCTGTGCCACACCCTGGTCAGATGCTGTCTGGCTGGGGTGAGGGCTGGAGCAGGGACTGAGGGGCAGTCAAAGGGGCAAAACTGGTGGCAGGCTTCAGGTTATGAGCGAATCACATTGTTCTCAAGGAGCAAGGGACAGTTCCCAGCCCAGGGCAGGGAAGCAGCTTAGGCCCCACTACTCAATCTGCACCTTCACTGGGGATAATCTCCAACCTGGTGGACCCCCATCTCTACTTCTTATAACCACTAGCAGTCAGGGAGAGTGGTGGGCATGGAAATTGGGCATGACCCCTTGCTGAGAGCCTTCAAATGTGGCGTGGCTCTTGCCACGGCCTGGCTCATCTCCTCTCCCCCAGCTCCTCATCCAGCTGTCCCCACCTCTCAGTTTCCCTCATTCCCAAGCGCTTCCCCCGAAGACCTGGTACCTGCAGTTTCCCTGCCTGGAGGGTGGCCCAGCTCATCCTGTGACTGGCTGCTTTTTCTGCTTAAGCATCGCTGTCTCAGGAGGCCTTCATATAGCAGGTCACCCCACTATTCTCTAGTTTTTATTGTTTCCTCTCCTACCAGCTGGTGAATACTTTTTATTTATATGTGGGTTTCCTTGTTTAATCGCTGCCCCTCACCACTCCCTGACTGGCCTGGGAATTCCTTGTCCCTGTCTTGGTTCCTGCAGTATCCCTAGGGCCTGGCAGGAACCGATGCTCATGGATGCAGTGACCACAGCCTGACTTCCCATCCGACACCCATGTTCCCAGAAGTTTTTGACCTGGAGCTTGTGATGAGCCCAGGGAGTGGGTGGCACACCAGCCCCACCGCCCCCCAACACCCCCTTAGCCCACCCCTCAGGAAGAGAGGTCAGAGTGTGTCATGGACTTCATCCTCTCAGTGGGATGGGAAACCAGACTGATATGGCCCAAAGAGCAATGAACTGGGTCTCAGAAGACCCGGGTTCCGGCCTTGCTGAATGCTGGTCACATCGCAGCCCTTGGGGTGGGGATGTGTGCTAAGTTTTATGATCTAAACAATGCACCAGCCATTAACCCTAAAATGCCCAGCTTTTAGATTCAGGCAAGGACCAAATAAAAATGCACTGAAGATGGTAAAGGCTTGGAAGAATGCTGAAGTCACTATTACAAACACCAAAAAAGGGCAACTTTTGTTCATGGCATTTCAAAACTGGAAGAAAAAAAATCAAAAGCCCCACTACGCTGGAAAATCTCATGAGGGACTCGAGTGCTGCAGGGCTTGCTTGGCCAGGAGGCTGTGTCCCCAGATTACTCTTCCTCATAACTCAAAGGTGATTTGGGGGGTTGTAGCTAGGAGGCCAGAAAGCCTCTGGCTGTGAGGCCACGACCTCTGGAGTGTGGGCGTGACAGCAATTGCAGGCCATCCCATCAGCACATGTGGGTAAGTATGGAAGTAGGGCCCCACCCCACTGGCCTGCATTACCCTCCCTTGCCCACCAGGTACCTGAGTGGCTGGTCCCTCCTGTTTCTTGCCATCTGATATCCGACTGGACTCCTTGCTGCTGCTGGCCCCAGCCATGCTGGCTTTGGGGGCTATTCTTGGGTGGGCAGTGGGCATGGTCACCACATTGGTTCTGATGCCTGAAATGGAGCGAGATGGGGGCACATCAGGGCACAAAAGCCCCATCGCCTCCTCAGCAGCGGCAATAACCCAATTTACCGGCCTGTGCTGGTGATCTAGAGCTGTGCTCAGGGCTTACAGAGGTAGAAGCTTGTTTACTTCCCTCTCCAAGCCTCCCAGGCAGGAGATGTCATTATGTCATTTGACAAGGCTCAGGGAGCTCAAATGGCTGCTCTGGGGGTGACCCCAGGCTTCCTCATCCCCTCCCCTCCCAACTGGTCGGGCTGCCACTCCTGAGCAATGGGCCAGAGCACCGGCACCAAACGACTCTCCTTGCAGTTAAAATCGTCTCTCCTAAGAGTCCCCGTGGTTATCTGCAGAGGCCTGGTTACATGCATGTTCTTCAAAGCACTGTTTATAACAGCCAACTCCCTCACCCCTCCACCCTGAAACAAAACCCTCTGCTTCCTCCAACATGGTGCTGGCTACACACACTGTAGCATGTCCACCCAAGGGATTTCTCTGTAGCCATTAGGAATTGTGCTGCAAATATGTAAAGATGAAAAAAACCCGATGTCATAAAATATCCAGTGAAGGTTACTGAACATTAGATACAGTATGGTCTTGCTTTAAAAACACACGTATATTTTAGGTTTTTATAAAGTTAGCATTTGTCAAATGTTAACAGTAATTATTTGGGGCAGAATTACAGGTGATATAGTTTCTTATGTGCTAATCTGTATTTTTATTAAAAAAATATACACACACATACACACATATATGTATAAGTATATGTATATGTACATATGTATGTAGGTAGGTAGATAGGTAGAGATAGGGCTCTCACTATGTTGCCCAGGCTGGTCTTGAACTCCTGGGCTCAAGCGATCTTCCTACCTTGGCCTTCTAAAGTGCTGGGATTACAGGTGCGAACCACCATGCCCAGCAGTAATCTCTATTTTGCCTGCTTTCTGTTTTTTTGAGACAGTCTCACTGTCGCCCAGGCTGGAGTGCTGTGGCACATCTCAGATCACTGCAACTTCTGCCTCCTGGGTTCAAGCGATTCTCGTGGCTTACCCTCTCAAGTACCTGGGATTACAGGCGCCCGCCAGGCTAATTTTTTGTATTTTTAGTAGAGACGGGGTTTCGCCATGTTACCCAGGCTGGTCTTGAACTCCTGATCTCAGGTGATCTGCCTGCCTCAGCCTCCCAAAGAGCTAGGATTATAGGCGTGAGCCACTGCACCCGTCTGCATTTTTAAATTGTCCTATCAGGATCAGGTATTATTGCTTGTAAAACTGTTACAATAACTGTAATAGTAACATTAACCCTTTTCCTGTTGTCATTGGTAGAATCACAGATTCTCAGAAGTCAAAGAAACCTCAGATTGGTCCTGTCTCTCTGATAGATGAAATCTATCCCTGTGATGTCTCTGGCTTAGGGATTGCCTAACCTACTTTACATGCCACCAAGGACGGGAAGCTCACTACCACCCTGACCACTTGTTCCACAGGCAGTCAACTGATACAGAATTCTTTCTTAGACTATGTAGGAACCTGGTCCCTGCAGCTTCTAGCCACTGGTCTGGGCTCCATGACTGGGGCTGCCACAAAAAAGCTCTGGCAACTATTCCCCCAGAACTGCAGGTCTGAGCCAGGCCCTAATCAGAATGGCTAATGCAGGGCCCAGAGACCTGACCCCAAGCCCCTCCCGACCAACACCTTGCTATGTGACTCAGCCAGTGTCCTGTCCCTTCTGGGCCTCAATGTGGGGCAGTGCTGGCAGCCCCTCCCACCACTGCATAAGGGCTGCGCTCACCAGGAGTCAAGCACTGTGTAGCGGGGATCACGTCCTCATCCTCGCTCTCGGAGGAGGAGCTCCTGGCTGTGCTCTCCGAGGCTCGGGCCTTCCTCGGGGTGCTTGCAGCCTGGGCTTGTGCGGGTGTAGCAGCTGGGCCAGCTGGACTACGATTAGGGTCGACAAAAATCAGAGGGGGTTTAATCACCTTGAAAAACAAAAACAAAACACCCCCCCAGTGATTAAAGGCTTGGCCAGGGAAAGGAGGTGATGGGGTTAGGGAGTGTTTTACAAGGCAAAGGGTCCACTGAGCTCAGGGGCAGCTGGGCACAGAAGCCATTCCAGCTGCCCAGGGTGCCCCCTCCCACCCCACACATCTGCTAAGACCCAGCACAGCACTTCACAACTCCCAGAGCCCACCTGACCCTCACAGTGAAGCCCTACATTCAGCAGGATCAGCTCCCTTATACAAAGTGGGAAAACCACAAGCCCAGAGGGAAAGGGAGCGACCCAAGGCTGCTGTCCCTACTGGAAGCAAAGCCACGGCCAGAATGTCCAATTCTGCCTTCTTTCCCCGGCTGGCTTCAGAAACAGTTACTTGCTGAATGCAGGGAGTGGTCTAAGCAGTTTTCCAAGGCTGCCTGGTTGGAATATGCAATTCACCTGGGGAGGTATTTACAGTCTAGTTGCCCCAACCCCAGAGGTTCTGATGCAGCCCTCCTGATACATGGCCCAGGATGAAACTCCCCAGCTATACCAATTCAGTTTCTTCAACAAAAAAATGCACAAGAGAAACAAGGGTTGGGTGAGTGGGTGAGAACCAACAGATTAAGACTTAGAGGATTAATAACTCAATGCCGTACGTGGCCTTTAACTGAACTCCATGAGACAATCAGGGAAATAGGGACACTGACTGGGTAGATCAACTTATTAGGTGTGACACTGTATCGTAGTTGTGCTTAAAAAGGTCCTTATAACTGAGAGCTGCATACTGAAATCCTGGTGGATGAGCTGACATGTCTGAGACTGGCTGCAAAGTAATCCAGGGGCGTTGGGGAACTGAGTGGAGGGTTTGCGTGAAACGAGCCTGCTCAGGAGTTCCTAACTGTTGAGGCTGGGGATGGTACGTGGGGGTTCTTTACATTATCTATCTTTGGGTATGCTTTAAATTTTCCAAGGAAACAATAAAAGAAAAAGCAAACAAGCAACAGCAGCTCCCTGGTATTCTGCAGGCCAGTCTGGTTTTGAACTGCACCATCCCTGAACATGTTCACCGCACACGAGGGCATCTCCAGGCCCATTTCCTTCCTGAACCTCCAGCTAACGAGAACACACATGGTTGTGAGCCAGGGAGCTGGTCAGGTCTACTTTCCATTCCCCAAATGTCAGATCTGGTTTGAGCTCTGCTCCCTCTCTGGCCAGTGAAGAGCTGGAGGGCAGGAAGAGGGAGCTGCCTGAGGCTAAGAGAGGAGTGGAATCAGGTCCAGACTGGTCTCTGTTTCACCATCCTGTTTACCCCCTGAGCCTGACTTAGCACACCTGGCTCCTCAGGGTGCTAAGGTGCTGTGGAGAGGCATAAAGTAAAAAGTAAAACAGAAAGGTGCCTGCCTGAGGGTGGAAGCTTCTCTGGGCTTAGGCCTTTCCTACCCCTGCCAAATAGCCTCCCCCGCGGCTGCTCCGATCTGCCACTTCCAGAGCCTTCCTTCCCACGATATAAAAAAGAGAAGGATGGAAAGTGGGAGAAGGCTTACAGTTGAGGGAGGGGGGATCTATATATATGTGAAGACAGGAACAGATTGTCGGGGACGAAGAGAAGCAACGAACCCACTGAGGCAAACAATAGCGTCTTGGGATGTTAAAAGCAGCTCAGCAGCAAAAGCCTCCTGTTAGTTCCACCTGCCCACGCCACCCCACTGGGCCTCTGGGCCGTAGGAGGGAGGTGGTGCAGGGGGCTTGGCTGTGGGGGGTTGGGGCGGGGCATTAGCCTGTAGAGTTCATAAAGGTGGGCAGTGAAGCTTGCCCAGGGTATAGGAGAAGACCTGCTTCTCATTACGCCTCTCTCATGACTTCACTGTGTGGTCAAGCCCCTCAACTTTCTGATCCTCAGTTTCCCGTTTAATGAAACGGCTAGTAGTTATCCCAGCCTGGGCTCATTCACTGGAGGGGTTCCAATGCACTGTGGAAACTGGAAAGCACAGTATACACAGGAATGTAGTTCTGGGGTCAGTTAGAAAAAAAACTGATGGGAGTGAAGCAGCAAAACCAGCACTGGCCTGAACATTTGGTTGTACCTCCCTATAGGTGCTGGGCAGTAAGGACCCAGAGGGAACCCTGGGATACCCCTCCTACCTGTAGGTCTGATGCCTGCAGAACCAAACCTAGGGGCTTTCTGGACAGTGCTCACCCCATCCTGTCAAAGCTGAGCTCATTCTAACTGTGCCTTCATTCCAGCAAGTCACAGAGTGGGGAGAGGGGGCTGATGGCCTAGGCTGCGGACCCTGGCAAGGGACATGACCACAAAGGCAACAAACACTCCAAGAACCTCTCTCAGAATTGCCTGAGGCTGCTTAACAGATCTAGGCCAGCCCCACTCCAGGGGACTGAGAAATTCTACTCTCTGGGGATGTGGCCTGGAGCCTCAAGGTCCACCCCACCAACCCAGGAAGTCTCATCCCAGAGATTGAGATGAATGAGGCTCAGAGAAGGCAAGTGGCCTCACCCAGGGCAACCAGCAAACTGGTGCCAGAGCCAGGATTAGAAGTTAGTTCTCCAGGCACCAGACTGGAGCTCCTTCTAGAACCAATTATGCTAGGCCTCAATGTAACACCAGAATTTAGTTTCTTACAGGTTTCCTTTTTCTTTGATTCAACCTAAAACTTTGAGAGCAGGGCCTACGTCTTTGACAAACTAATAGAAGAAGTTGGCCTTAAAAAATATTACCGACAAGTGAAACTGCATATATTTGTGGTATATAACATGATGTTTTGATACACATATACATTGTGGAATAGCTAAATTAAGTTATTTAACATATGTATCACCTACTTGTTTTTAAATCTGGAAGCTGTCCTGACCCCAGCACAGACTCTGGCCTGAGGTCTACTCTGCACAACAGGGCGGAGGCACAGTGAGGGGTCTAGGAATGGAGCCAAGGTATCTATCCCTGCCTCCCAGCCTGGGACTCTGCCCACCACCCTGGCCTCAATCCCTTTCCCCACTGATGGGCTAATAAAATCAGACTGAAACTTGTCAATAGAGAGGTGCTCAATAAATGTACAATAATGAAAATAATCATAATTAGTGAGCTGGGGATTAGGAACTAAAAATCTCTCAATCAGGAAGAGGCTGCAGCTTCCCCGGGCTATGCCCGTCTTCCCCGAATCCTCCTGGGGGAATGTACAAACCGCTGACTTCTTTTCTGCTTTTTAAATAGACTCCAGAATCTTCAGGACTAACATACCAATTAAATGGTTCAGTTTAAGCAGGATGTTCATTTTAATTGTGTTAGTCCACCCCCACAGAGAAAGGGGGAGCGGTCCCCTCCCTCCCAGTTGTTTAGATCCCTCAGAGAGGCAGGTGGCCTCGTAAAGGCTCCACACAGAGCCAGAGGGCAATGCCCAAGCCCAGGAGAGGAGAGTGTCGGGGCAGCACCAGGCAACGGGTCAGAATGTGAATGGCCTGTGCTCAAACACCAGGTCTGTCCACTTGTCATCAGCCATGTGATGCTGGGACAGGTCCCTCAACTTCTCTGAGCCTCACTCCCAGTTCCTTAAAATGCAAACAACAAAGGGAGCCACCCTCATAGGGCTGTTGTGGAGATTAAACAGAAAAATGAGAATACAGGGAGTTACCGATGTTGGTGGTGGTTGTTCTTTACTTTTGTAATCTGTGCCATTGGAAAGTGAGAGGCAGTGAGCACCCTATTGCTGGAGGTGTGCAAACAGCATCTGACCTTACTGATGAATTGATAACAATGTGGTATGTGATATTCAAGGGGAGGTGGTTCATGAGACCGCTCTGGTCTGGAGGTTGCAGAACTCCAGGATCTGTGGTTAGGCCCTGGGACAGGGGAGCTGGTGCTCTGAGGTGCCTGGCAGAAGCTTCTGGGAGCTTGGGGCTAGAGGAGGACAAAGGGTAATGCTGTCTGATGGAAGGGCCAGGGTTCACACAGAAGCTTGGACCACACCAGCATGGCTGACTTGGGCCTCTGGAGTACAGGAAGATAAGGTGGGCCTGGTCCCACCCTTGGAGGTGTAGCCTGAGCAGGACTGTGGCTTAAGCTCTGGGTGCAGTGGAGCACATGAAGGTATGCCACAGGTGCTTGAGAGAGGGTCCTGGGCAGAGCTCATGGGATTCAAGAAGACTCCTGGTCCTAAACAGAAAACAGAGAGATACAGGGAGCCAGGGGACCAGCGTTTGGACCTTTCCTCAGCCTCTTATGAATCATGAGAATTTGGGGAAACTGCTTCAACTCTAAGGCTTGATTCCCAATCTGTCAAATGGGGCAACACTCCCTGCCCTTCTCACAGTTAACAGGCACCCTTTCTTAGGCAGGGGACTGTGGCAAGTACCTTGTGTGCTGGCACCAGTGCACAGAGGCAGGAGAGAGGTGCCAGTACTGTCCCCATTTTATGGCTGAAACATTGAGCCTCACACAGGGGAAAAGGCATCTGCCCAGGACCATGGGGCTGTTGGGTGGAAGAGCTGGGCTTCGCCCCAACACCACCTGGCTCTGAAGCCTGTATGTTTAACTGTGTACTGCTGCCTGCCTCACAGGGCTCAGATGAATGTCACAATAGAGGAAAGAGCTCTGGAAGCTGTGAGGTGCTGTTTAAATATGGCGAGATTTTCCCTATGGGCAAGATCTGCCCTCTCCTGCAAGGCCTGCCAGCCCAGCTCTGATCCTGCAGCATCTGCAGAGAGAAGGCATGGCGCACCTGGGTCAGTGGCAGCTCTTCCTCACTGCTCTCCGAGGACCCCTCCGTGTTCCTCTCTGGGGGTGCTGGGGCCAGGGTCTTGCTTCTGGCAGGTTTGGAGTTACTGTCCTTCTGAGGGGACAAGACCTGGATAAGCACGTGGTCGGGGAGTGGGGCATTTGCTGAGGGGGAAACAGCCAGTAGGCAATGACCCTCAGGCACTCTGGTTTCCAGGGGAGGCAGCGTGGCCCCTTCCTGCACATGCACAGGGATACCTGCTGGCCTGACCTGCCCCACAGCCACTGGAAACATGCTTCCACCCTGCTAGCTCCTTCCAGAGCTGACTCCGAACATGAAAGGGATTTATGACTCCGATGCAGCTAAAACCTGAGGGCTGCAGGGCTGTTGGCCCAATGTCTCGACAAGAGGTGACAGCAGCCTGGGACAAGGTTGCAGGCACAAGCCAGTGGTCCCAGCACAGCTCACCTCCGGTTGTAACACCCCCAGCCAAAAGCAGGAGCCACCTAGAAGTGTTCCACTGGCTACCATCCCCTCCTGTTGGGGCAGGTGTGATGATGGGGGCTGGAAGGATGAGCAAGCACTGCAGTCAGAGGAGGACTCAGAGATCTGGGTGGAAATGCTGGTGGTGATGGCAGCTCAGTGGTCCCTATTGGAATGGGGGCCCCCCTTTTCCCTACTCAGCCTAGCCAAAAAAGTAGGACCCAGGCTGCCTGAGCTTCCAATTTATCAAGAGAAGCTGGAAGATTTGTACATGTCATTTCCAATTTTTAAATGGGGCAACTACAATGCACACTGCAGGCTGCCTCCTAACAGCCATGCCCCCATCTGTTCCTTGCTAATAGAACCCTCACTCTGTTCAGTGGCCCCTACCACATGCTTCAGGGAGGGTGGGCCCTCCTCCCAGCCAGTCATGGGAACTACCGGCCTCTTGTCTATGGCTAAGGCGGTAGAACGTCCAGCCTGAGGTCTGAGTAGCCTTAAGTCTACCCCCTAATCTCTTTTTTTTTTGAGATGGAGTCTTGCTCTGCTCACTCTGTTGCCCAGGCTGCAACCTCCTCCTCCACAGGTTCAAGTGATTCTCTTGCCTCAACTGGGATTATAGGCTGGTGCCACCAGGCCCAGCTAGTTTTTGTATTTTTAGTAGAGATGGGGTTTCGCCATGTTGGCCAGGCTGGTCTTGAACTCCTGACCTCAAGTGATCCGCCTGTCTCAGCCTCCCAAAGTGCTGGGATTACAGGTGTGAGCCACCGTGCCTGGCCTGCCCCCAGCACTTTAGGAGATGCTGCAGCCCTGCTATGACCATAAAGCTAGTGGAGTGCAGAGATGAAGAAATCTGGTTACCACTGACGCTCAGCTAAAGGAACCAGCTTTTCAGCAGCTGGAACCTGGGACTTTGTGCACTTTAAGACAGTCAATCCCCTTATTTAAGCTCTTTTGAATGGGGCTTTCTCCTACAGATTAGGCCATTCTGACTAAGAACTCATTGAAAACTTAAAAACAAAAAAACTACACAGCCCAAAATATGGCCGGGGCCTATGTCTTAGTCTGGCATTTAGGTCCTCCATAAATCTACCAGTAACAAGCACCTGGGAGGGCCTACGGCCTGCAGGACAGCTGCCTTCAGTGACCATGTGCCTTCATGCCCAGCCCCTCTGCACACACTGAGGGGCCTTCTCCACTTTTGTGCCTGGTCATCCTTCAGGTTCAGCTCAATCATCTCCTCCTTTTCTGGCCTCTCAGAGACCTGCTCTTTCAGCTGTCAGCACCACTAGCATAGTCTGCGATAATCCGGTCACCTGTCTTGCCCCACAGACTGTGAGCTCCTTGAGGGTGGGGCCAATGTCTTTCACCCCCAGTAATTGTTGGTTTGGTGTATCAAAGGCAGAGGTTAGGGCTAGGGAGCATTCATCTCAGTGCTTGTTTTACTCATGAAGAAAACAAATCTAAGAGGTTATGGAGCTTGGCCTGGCACAGGGACTTCCAGCTTCCCTTAAGAAATGGAAGACCTGGCCACACAGAAGGTCCATCTCCACAGTCATGACTGGCTGAAGCTGATAAGAACTGCCCCTCTGGATGGGGCAAGGGCTCTCCGGTCTGCCCTACTTGCTACCACTATCTACCATCTCTCCTGACATTTATCATCTCTTTTTTTTATTTTTGTGACAGAGTCTCACTCTGTTGCCCAGACTGGAGTGCAAAGCAATGGCATGATCTTGGCTCACTGCAACCTCTGCTTCCCGGGTTCAAGCGATTCTCCTGCCTCAGCCTCCCGAGTAGCTGGGACTACAGACGCCTGCCATCACGCCTGGCTAATTTTTGTATTTTTTTAGTAGAGACAGGGTTTCACCATGTTGGCCAGGCTGGTCTCGAACTCCTGACCTCATGATCCGCCCGCCTTGGCCTCCCAAAGTGCTGGGATTACAGGCTTGAGCCACCGCACCCGGCCGACATCTATCATTCCTGCCAGGCCTGCATCAGTCATTTCCATCACACACCTGTGCCTTGGCAGTGCTGGAGTTTGTCATCCTACACTTCTGTAGGATGTAGCAAGCCCTGCTATCTTCTGCAAGCAGACAGAGGGAATTGTTCAGATTTTCTTTCTCCCCACTCTCCAGGGTCCAGGCTTTGCACTAAGCTAGACAAGCCCTGCCTGAGAAGATGCGCCTGCCTATGTGAGGCTCCGGGCCAAGGTGCAGGATGAGACTTCCTCCATCTCTCCAGGACCTCAGGGGGACCTGTGCCACACTCCAAGCTTCCCTGGGACTCTGACAGGGAGAGTCATTTTGTATAACGTTAACGTATGCACAATAACTAACATGTAGATTCTTGGTCTCATATGCCTTGGTGGGAAATACTGGCCTAGCTTATAGAGCTGGTGGAGACCTCGACCTAGATATAGACCCAGGACACTTTTAGCTACGGAAGTCTTCGTTTGGGGGGTTTTAGTAGCAGGTTTTACCTAAGGAGATGTGGATGACAGCAGACGGAGGAGGGCATGGTGGAACTGGAGCCTTAAGCCTTAACCTGGCCTTCCTTTCTTTTCCTTACCTGGCCCTAAACCCTGGTTTTTCACTTTTCTTTTTTTTCTTTTTTTTTTTTTTTGAGACAGTCTCACTCTCATCACCCAGGCTGGAGTGCAGTGGCATGATCTTGGCTTGCTGCAGCCTCCGCCTCCCAGGTTCTAGGGATTCTCCTGCCTCAGCCTCCCGAGTAGCTGGGATTACAGGCACCCGCCACCATGCCCAGCTAATTTTTATATTTTTAGTAGAGACGGGGTTTCACCATGTTGGCCAGGCTGGTCTTGAACCCCTGACCTCAAGTGATACATCTGCCTCGGCCTCCCAAAGTGCTAGGATTACAGGTGTGAGCCACCACGCCCAGCCCTATACCCCCGTTCTGAGGAGTGAGTGTTGGTGGCTCAGAGGCCTGGCAAGTCTTACCTGGGCAGAGGTCACAGCTGCCGGTGCCTCCCCATCACTGTCTGATTCCTCGCTGCTGCTCCCTGAGTCATCCTGCTTCCCTGCCTGGGCAGCCGAAGGCCCTGTCTTCCCAGGAGGTGTTGGGGCAGCCCCTTTCCTGGGGGACTCCTTGGCAGGAGCCAAGGCAGCTCTGATCTGGTGGGTCTTCCCTGAAGGCTTCACCTGGAGGGAGAAACAGGATGAGAGGAGAGAGCCTGGAGGGTGGACGTGTGAGAAGACAGGAGCTGGATGTGGCAAAGGTGTTACATCCCATGTAGGGGATGATCTCCATTCCCTCCCCCTCACCTGAGCCAGCGTCTCCGCCTCCTCCTCACTGTCTGACTCCTCCTCACTGCTCCCTGAGTCCTCCTCTGGCCCTGTCTGGGCCTGAGCTGCTGTAGCCACGGCCTTCCCCACAGATGGCACAGATGCTGGGCCCCTCGCCAAGACGGTACTGTTCTGGGGGTTTCTCACTGGTGGCTTCACCTGAATTGCAGGGGGATAATAGTATTGGAGGCAAAAGTGATTCCTTTCAGGTCCCACTCCCCACTATGGCACAACTCTGGGTGGGTGGCCTGCCCATGCACGCACCTTCTCCTGGCTGGGCTCAGTGACTGGTCCTCCTCTCTACCCCAACCCTCCACACCTCCTGTGGCTTCTGGCCCCACTTGCCTTGGATGGAGACCTCTGCTTGGCTTGAGCAGCTGCAGTGACAACTTTTCCAGGGGCTGAAATTGTCCCTTTTGCTGAAGGTGCTCTGGCGGCAGCTGGGTTGGCTTTGGCCTGGGTTTTCTTTACTGAGGTTTTCACCTGAGTGGAGAAAAGGGAATTAAGGAGGGAGAAGGTGAGATTGAGTAAAGCAGCTAGCCAAGAATACAGACTCTGGAGCTGGAGCCCGAGTCTGGATTCTGGCTCCTCCATGCAATAGGCGTGTGAACCTGAGCTCATCACTTGATCTCACTGGGCCTCAGTTCAGTCCTCTATCAAATGGAGATAATAATAAGGCCCACCTACGGGTTATGATGAAGACTAAATAGGAGATTCAGAGTTTAACATGATGTCTGGAACATAATAAACACTCAAACTCATTGTGCGTGCCTTCCTTAGCATTAGCTAAGCACAAGACTACCTAAAACAGATGTTTTCCAGGCTCCCTTTCAGCTAGGTGGCAATGTCATTAAATTCTGGCTCATAGGATGTAAGTTGAGTGCCATAAAAGGTCAGAAACATGTCTCTTCCTCCTCCAGGCTAGATGGAATGCTGAGGTCAGAGCTGGAGCTCAAGCAGCCACGGCAGAACAAGATACTTGTTGTTTAAGGTTTTCTTCAGCTTAATCTAGCCTTAACCGATATCCAGAGAACCCCCAAAAGGCCTGTCAGGGATTCCAACAAATAGAAGGAGAACAAAAAAAAAGGGAAATTCCCAGAGTGAGATCCTTAACAGGAGTGACAGCAAGCCTAATGTGAAACAGAATGAGGACTCTGGCAGCATCTCAAGGCCCCTGCCTCACTCAGGGATGGCATCTGGTCAGTGTCAGAAAACAACCCCATCCCCCAGCATTCCTCAAACACATGAGGTCAAATGAGGTGAAGAATCAGGACTTCAAGAAGATTCCCTACAGTGTGGACCAAGTATGACTCAGGCCGAGGTGCTCATCAGTAGAGCACGTAAATCCTCCAGAGGGGAGCCATGTTTTCCACAAGAAACAAGACACAAGACTGACTTGACCTAACAAGTCTCAATACACAAAAAAGGATTTAAATCATACAAAATATGTTCTCCAACCACAATGTGACTAAATTAGAAATCAACAAAAAGAAACCTGGGTAATCCCAGATATTTGGAAATTAAACGGCTTACTTCAAAATAGCCCATGGTTCAAAAAATAAAAATAAAACACCCACCTCATGGTACAGGTGGGAGGCTCAGAAGGGAAGACAAATATTTAAGTGAGCTGCATAATGAAACTCTGTAAGGCATTGGGTCTGGAATGTGCCTGCAGCTTGGGAAAGAGTAGAGGCGGCTCTGGAAGGGGCCCCTGCAGAGCTTAAAAACCTCAATGGAGGAATTCTAGAGCCCTGAGGTCCCACAAGTCAACGAGAGGAGGACAAAAAAAAATCAGTAGAAATGTGTGCTCTGGTACAGAGAAAAAAGAAATGACTAATTTCTGAGTGGTTACAGAAAAAAACAGAGCGACAATTAAAAATAATAAACAGTGGGTGGGTGAGTGCAGGGAGTGAGCCATCTTCTCTCAGCTCTTCCAGGCTTGGAGACCTCACTCCTGATCTGTTCCACATTAGCCTGGCCCATCGTCAGGGTGACAGAGACAACTTGCTGTGTGCAGCTCCCTTGCTGGGTGTAGCAGGTGAGATCTCACCTAAATTCTCACCCAAACCTGTGAGGGCTGATTTCCTGTTTATAGGAGAGTAAGGGCTCTGAGGGCTTACAGCACTTGCCAGGCTGTGGAGCTGAAACTTGAACCCAGGCGGTCTGGCTCTAAACAACTGCCAGCCATCCCACCACAATGTGCCGCCTGTGGCAAGGCACCCAAGCCAGGCACTCTCTCATTCCCTGGCCTCGCACAGACTGCTTCCTCTGCCTGGAACACTCTCCCTGCCCATTTCACCTGGCCAACTCTTTCAGCCCATGGCTCAGATGCTGCCACCTCCTGTAAAAGGCCTAGATGCTCTCACCTGTCATGCTGCGCAGCCCAGGCTCACACCCTCTATCTCAACCCCATCGCTCCACACTGCAGGAGCATGTCCATGCTCCACAGAGACAGGACTTCCCTGAGGAACAGCGCCTCAGCAACCCCAGACAAGGGCAGCACCTGGCAGGGTGGGAACTCCAGAGCTTGTGAAAACCACAGGGAATCAATCAGCAGGAGGACCTCAAAAGGCAAACAAGACAGAGACCCTGGAGCTCTGATGGGCAGAGGAGACATGGAGTGAAAGATAGGGAAGGAAGCTGTGTTGAGGCTACCTCTGAGGCTTCTGCACACCTGCAGGCAACACTAGCCCCCAGTCAAGCCCATCCTCAGCCCTGGCTCAGGAACAGGTGTGGGTGGGATGGGCCTGCTCCTTCTAGGCCTCACCTGTGCTGGAGATGCAGCTGCTTCCTCACTGTCTGATTCCTCCTCACTGCTCTCAGAGTCTTCCTGCTTTTCAGCTTTCACCTGGGTGACTGTAGGCCCCGTCTTCCCAGGGAGTACTGGAGCAGTCCCTTGCCCCAAGGACCCCTTGACAGGCACTGAGGCTGCTTTCACCTGGAGGCCTTTCCCCACAGACTTTGCCTGGGATGACAAGGGGAAGAGAGGTGTCTCCAGGAGTCCAAAGGACCACGTAGGGGCGGCCCTGAGGCCCGCCCAGAAAACACAGGCCTCACCTGTCCCACGGTTACTGCAAGACCTGTCTTCTCTTCCTCACTATCTGATTCCTCACTGCTTGAAGAATCCTCTGCTGGTCTCTGGGTGCCCCCAGCCACAGCTGGGGATGAGCCTGCTGGAGAAGTCGCAGTTCCTGCTTTCCGGGGGGCTTGGGTGCCCACTCGCACAGGGGCGACCTTGGCAGATGCAGTGGTATTGGTTTTCTTTGGGCAGGCCTTGGTCTGAGGAATTTTCAGAGCTGGTTTTGCCTGAGGGGACACCAAAGAAAGGCTGGAGAAGGTTCCTGAACTCAGAGTCCCCCATCTGTTCTGCCCCACCAGCCAAAACCCATGCTCTGCCTGAGGGAGCACAGCTCCCCGGGGGTGCTGACTGTGGTGTGGCAGATCAGGCCATGTAGCAGCCTCCTTCCCCAGGCCTCACCTGAGCTGCAGTCATGGCTGCTGGTGCCTCCTCACTGTCCGCACTGTCCGATGACTCCTCGCTGCTCTCCGAGTTGTCCATGGGCTTTTCAGCCTTGACCTGGACGGCTACAGGCCCTGCCTTCTGAGGGGGCCCCTTGGCAGGACTGGAGGTGGGTTTGGCCTGGAGGATGTTCCCCAAGGACTTTTCCTGGAGTGAGATACACAGGATCGGGAGAGGGAGCCCAGGGTAGGTGTGTGCAGACATTAAGAAACTAAGATTGTAGACAGAGTCCCAGTGTGAGGTTGGGAGGCCACAGGCAGCTCCACTCTGAGTGGGGGGGAAAAAGAAAGAGCCTTACAGGAAGGGGCCTCACCTGAGCCGGGGCCACAGCTGTGGGCACCTCTCCATCACTGCTGTCTGATGACTCCTCACTACTGCTCTCTGAGTCCTCCTCCCACTTCCCCACCTGGGCTGAGGGGGTTGCAGGCCCCACCTTCCCGGGTGGCACTGGGCCGGCGCCTTTCCCCAAGGGCCCCATGCCCATGGTAGAGGCAGGTTTCACCTGGGGGCTTTTCCCCAAGGGCTTCACCTGGGAGACACAAAGGACAAGATTAGGGAGGGAGTCCAGAAGGAGAATGTGAGTGAGGGGAGGAGAGCAAACGAAGCCAGCCGCACAGGGCTCTAGGTTCAGAGAGGAAAAGTCAAAACCACAGGAGGTCTTTTGAGGCAGGGCACAGGCCATGCAGGGCGGCTTCCAGCCTCACCTGAGCTGCATTCATGGCTGCCAGTGCCTCTCTGTCACTGTCTGACTCCTCGCTGCTGCTTCTTGAGTCCTCCTCCTGCTTCCCCACCTGGACCTGGGCGGCTGCAGGCCCTGTTTTCCTAGGAGGTGCTGGGGCAGCCCCTTTCCTGGGGGACTCCTTGGCAGGGGCCGAGGCGGCTCTGACCTGGGGGGCCTTCCCTGAAGGCTTCGCCTGGAGTGAGAAACAGGATGAGGGGAGAGCCCAGAGGGTGGACGTGTGGAGACAGGAGCTGGATGTGGCAAAGGTGGCCACACCCATGCAGGTGCTGGGGTTTAGGCATGGGGCTACTCTCCACCCCTCCCCTCTGCCTCACCTGAGCAGGCGCCTCCTCCTCACTGTCCGATTCCTCGCTGCTGCTCTGCGAGTCCTCCTCCCGCTTCCCCGCCTGGGCCTTGGCAACTGCAGGCCCTGTCTTCCCAGGGGGCGCTGGGGCAGCTCCTTTCCTGGGGGACTCCTTGGCAGGGGCTGAGGCAGCTCCGACCTGAGAGGTTTTTCCTGAGGCCTTCGCCTGGAGAAACAAGACAAGGGGAGACAGCCCAGAGGATGGACGTGTGAGGAGACACAGGACACCACGTACAGAAGACCAGATAGGGCAAATGATGCCACACAGTGAGAGGGGAGTAAGGGGCTGGGGTCTGAGGCACGCCCGGGGCTCTGGCCCAGAGTGGGAGAACAAGTCCTGAGAAGGCCTTCTGGGGACGGGCCTGGCTGCATGGAGTCTCCCTCCTCAGGCCTCACCTGAAGCAGGGCCTTGGCAGCTGGCGTCTCCTCCTCACTGTCAGATGACTCCTCGCTGCTGCTCTCTGAGTCCTCCTCTGGCTTCCCTGCCTTGGTCTGGGAGGCTACAGCCCCTGCCTTCCCAGGGGGTGCTGGGGTAGCCCCTTTCCCAGGGGTCCCCTTGGCAGGGGCTGAGGCAGCTCTGACCTGGAGAATTTTTTCAGAGGCCTTTACCTGGTGAAAAAGAAAGGGCAGCTTGCTCTCCTGCTTGTGAAAACTCTCTGGTGATGCCTTTAGGATAAAGTCCAGAGGCCTTAATGAGGCTCCTAAGACCTCCCCTGCTTCCCTCCCCACTCCCCACCTTGACTGATACTTTGGCCACACTGGCCTCCTGGTTTCTCAAAAATCGATCAGCTTCACACACTCTCACTCCTGGAGCCTCCATGCCCCCTGTTCCATTTCACTTAGCCACTGCCTCCTCTGTCTCTGGCTCCCTAAGAGACACCACTTCCTTAACATGGTTCCCCCTGGTGCCCCAGCACACTGGGTAGTTAGAGCCTGTCCTCTGCTGGGCTCCCACTGGCCAGAGAGCTCTGGAGGCACAGGCACTGGCTTATCGGGAGCATCATCAGACTGGGCTGTGGGGAGGGGGTGTGCAAAGGCCCAGGGAAGGGAAGGAATGAAGAGGCAGTCTGAAAGTGGGGAAGGGACTGAGGGAGGCCCTCACTGGACTTTCTGCACATGGACAGCAGCAGGACCCCTGGAAGCCCACCCTCAGCCTCATGGGGCAAGGTTTGCACACCTGGCCCCCTCTTCACTAACTCCTCGGTGGGGCTCTGCACTGTCTTGGGGCTTTGGCAGGGTGGCTGCAGGCCCTGTCTTCCCTGGAAGGCCCTGGGTGTTCAGCCCTGGGCCAACAACCCTAGAAAACAGCAGCTCTGATCTTCTAAGAAGCTTCTCATGCAGAAAGTGCAGGCTGCTCCACACAGGTCTTGCTTGGCTAGCTCCTTTTTAAATTTTTGAGCCAACATGGAGAAAGCAGATTTTACATAAAAGTTCACATTTATGGCCAGGTGCGGTGGCTCATATCTGTAATCACGGCACTTTGGGAGGCCAAGGTGGGAGGACTGCTTGAGTCCACAGCTTGTGAAACACAGTGAAACCCTGTCTATACACACACACACACACACACACAAGCTGGGTGTGGTGGTGTGTGCCTGTATTCCTAGCTACTCAGGAGTGAGGCTGCAGTGAGCTATGATTGCCGCTACTGCACTCCAGCTTGGGCAACAGAGCAAGACTCTGTCTCAAAAAAAAAATTCACATTTGTGTTCCTTCTCAAAGTGGATGCCCATCCAACACTGTGTAGCCCCCAGACACTGCAAAATAGACAGCCGAGGCGTAGAAGTTCCCTGTAGATGGGGTGGGAACAACAATTTGTCACAATTCGTAGTCCTACTTCTACCTCAGGGCCTTGACACTTGCTGAGCCCCTGCCTGGAATGACCTTCCTAAGAGTGCTTCCTCCTTCTGGTCTTTACTGAGACGCCTTCTCCCAAGGCCAGCCCAGAGCACTCTGCTTCAAGTTGCCATTCCTATGTCCCCCACTTCCTCTTTACCATTTACCAGCAGCTAACGCAGGGGATCTGCTTATCTACTGCATGCCCCCGCCTTGTCCTGCCCCAGGCCTGGGGCTGGGTGGGTGACCCTCACTCTTCCTCCTTCCTGCTCTGACTTCCATTGCTTTCCAGCCCCCCTGTCTTGCCCTTGGGATACACCCAGGGCCTTGGGGCTGCAGCCCTGCCCACTCCCAGCAGATGGGGAAGGGAACTGGATTCCCTTTAGCTAACGTAGTGTTTGCCTGCTCAGGGTCTGGTTTGTCCTGAGAAGTCAGAGGATTAGGCAATCAAAACTTCTCAAGTCCCTCACAGCAGGACTGGCTGGGACGAGGACAGCGGCCCATTTACTAGGCAGAGAAACTGAGGTAAAGTTGGTCACAGACAAAGTGGAGTGCAAGACTCCCCTGTGGGAAGCAGGCTGTTCTTGCTCTTCAACTTCACACCATAGTCCTCCCTCTCCCCAACTCCAGTGGCAGAGGTGCTCATGGCAGAGTGCTCAGGCTGCTGGGGGACCCGCAGGTCCTCCAAGGGGCAGCCCTCCTCCAGGCCTCACCTGGCTTCGTGTCCCTGCAGGGGCCTCCTCCTCACTTTCAGATCCCTCCTCACTACTCTCTGACTCCTCTTCTGGCTTCTTGGCCCTCTTGGCTGGGGGCAGGGCCCCTCCTTTGACCTGGGGTGTCACATCCCCCACCTTCCCAGGGGCTGGGGCCGCCTTTCTTGCTGGAGACTCCTTAGTAGAAACTGATGAGGCTTTGACCTGGGCTGGTTTTACTGAGGGTTTCCCCTGGAACAAGAGGATGGAATTAGAAAATGAATAATAATTACTGTTTCCCCCTAAGGTTCTGTATTAGGGGCTTCAGCAGTTGATAAAGCTCTTTCCTAATGTCACTGGATTTTTAAGCAACTCCCTGAGACGGCTATTAGCTTTAGATCCATTTTCCAGAAAAGTACACAAGGCTTAAAGAGGTAAAATCACTCATGATCAATATGAAGGGACAGAGCCCCACTGGAACCCTGGACTGTCTGACTTTGGAACAGATCTCAAAACCATTACGTTCATCTCCCACCTGGCACACACCGGGCTTGGCCTGAGAGAAGGGCTTGCATCTCAATCAGGAGAGCGCATCCTGTCTGCCCCTTAAACTCAAGTATCTGATCACAGCAGCCCTCCTGAGGGCCAGGAGTTCAGGATGTGAACACCACCTCTGCCACTGGCTTGCCACACCTTGGGCAAATTCCTTCCCTCTGTGAGCTCTTTCCTACACTTCCACAATTCAGACATTTCCCAGGCAGTCAGTGCCCTACTTCTACCTCTGAGATCCATCAGACCCCTTGCGGCCCTGGGTTTCTGGGGCGTCTGCTACTGGAGCTCTGCACAGCCTCAGCCCATTGAGGTTGTGTGTTTATGGAGGGCTGGGAGTGGTCTTCTTCCCTTTGGCAAGGCCTGGGGTGACAGAAGCCAGGGATGTCCTTACAGCTGGTGGTATCTAGGGCGCAAGGGTGAGGACGGAAGGTGGAGGGCAGCCCTTGGTAAGGCCTGGGGTAGATGGGGGTGAGCTTTCAACCTTCACAGGGTTACTGGGCCAGGCAGCACAGTAAAGTGAGAAGTTCCCTGGGCACCAGATCAGTTCATCCCTGACTTGTGCTGGTTTTCCCTTGAAAACATCTTTCCAACTGTGGACACCTTGGTCTCCCAGCCCCCAGCCTCTTATGCCAGTATCAGTATTACTCCAATAGTCTCCTACATGGTCTTACTGCTTTTATTCTGCACTGCCCTCCAACCCAGGCTGCAGCCAGCAATCTTATTAAATGCAAATCAGGCCATCTCTCCTTGCTGGCATGGCTTCTCACAGCCCCTAGAATAAAACCCAAATTCCTTATGGTGGTCCTCAAGGTCAGACAGAAGATCTGGCCCCTGTCTACCTAGGACTTCATCTTGTGTCACTTTCCCCATAATTTATTTGTTTTTTTAAAAAATAACATCTTGTAGAGACAGGGTTTCACTATGTTGCTCAGGCTGGGTTCAAACTTCTGGCCTCAAATGATCCTCCTGCCTTGGCCTCCCAGAGTGCTGCACTTACAGGTGCGAGCCACCGTGCCTGGTTTCTCCCTCTCATTTAAAGATCAAGGTTTTGGCCAGGCGTGGCGGCTCATGCCTGTAATCCCAGCACTTTGGGAGGCCAAGGCACATGGACCACTTGAGGTCAGGAGTTCGAGACTAGCCTGGCCAACATGGTGAAACCCTGTCTCCACAAAAAATACAAAAATTAGCCAGGCGTGGTGGCGTGCACCTGTAATCCCAGCTACTTGGGAGGCTGAGGCACGACAATCGCTTGAACCCGGGAGGTGGAAGTTGCAGCTAGCCAAGATCGCGCTACTGCACTCCAGCTTGGGTGACACAGTGAGACTGTCTTAAAAAAAGATCAATGTTCTTTAAAAGCACCAAACTCTCTTTGCCGCCTTCTCTGCACATGCCATTCCTTCTGCTTACGCCTACTCATCAACGTCAGGTTCCTGCCCTGCGTGGCCCTCTACATTTCCACTTCATAGCAGCCATCACCAATTAAATATCTGAGGGACGCTCCCTTGCCCCATGGCAGCAGGAACTCTGCCTGTCCTGCTCATCACTATATTCCCCAGGTCTGCCACTTAGTAGGTACACAATAAAAAGTAACCTGTGGAGACCTTTTCCAGGTCAAAGTTCACAAACCCAAGAGTCCTGCCCAACTCTAGCCAAGTGTCTAGGCCTGGCATTCACCAGTTGGCCCAGAACCCTCTCAGCAGCCGCAGCCCTAGCCAGACCACGACAGCCACACTGTTGCCTCTGGGCCCTGTTCTTGCCCCATTTCCTGTCTGGAATGCCCTGCCTCCTCCACATCCCTTCCCAGTGAAGCCCACTGTGCTTTGAGGCCCTACTCCAGGGCACCTCTCCCAGGAAGGCTTGTCTAGTCTCACAGGCAGGAGGGTGTCCCTCTCCTGCCCCCAGGGCTGATCTCACACTCAGAGTGCAGCAAGCAGCACCAGACTCCTCTCCCTGCCCCTCTCCGGCTGCAGCCTTTCCAGCTCCTGGTCACCCTACCACAGTTGCTGAACTCATCTGGGCCCACTGGTGTCTGAAGCCCCAGACAGGTTCCTGGAAGGGTTAGAGGCTGGGAGAGGGCAACTCCTAGGGATGGGTGGCAATTACCTCCACGTCTGTCTCATCACTGGAGCTGGAGGTGTCCTCGCTGGAGCTGTCGGCCTGGCCCGCTGACACCATCCCTGAGGATCGGACACGGAGGGGACTGAGGGACTCCCTTTCCAGCCTCACCTGCCCCTCCCCAGCACCTCCCCACAAACCAGCTGCTCATCAAAGCCAGGTGCTGAGCGCTCACCCCTCGTGTGCCTCACATGCACTGAGCTGTGAAGCCCCCTTCTGAGGTGGGTACCATCACCATCCCTATGTTCCCACACATCTCTGAGGCCCTGGGAAGGGCTGTGAGGGGACCCAACAAATATGCACCAGCACCTGACAGTCTACAGAACCTCCATCCACCATCATATCCACTGATGCAGGCCAGACAGATGTCTACTCTACATAGGAAACAGAGGCAAATCAGGCCTTTCAGTTTAGTCTCTGAGCTGCCAGTTGTCCCTGTAACTCACCAGGGAGTCATAAAGCAGAAAATGCTCCAACCACCAGGTGGGCTGTTCAGCCTGAGGCCAGGTCCCTGTAAGCTGACCCTCCCTCGTCTAGGTGATGAGAAAAGTCCTAAGATGCAGGAACCTGGCTGTCCTGGAGACAAACTTTTGATTCCAGAAATGTCCCAGAACTTAAAGCAATGCCTAGGCCTGCCTCACCAGCCCAAGTTCTGGGGACTAGGTTCCTAGAGGTGGGGACTTCTTACCAGGCTTGGCAGCAGCTCCAAAGGCCGGGACGCTGCCCTCCTCCTCAGTTTCTGAGACCAACGTAGTATTTGCTGAGGGCTCTGCTGACTTCCTGGGAGACTTCCCAGAAAGAAGGTTGGCCACCGTCTTCCCAGTGGCAGGGTGTGGCATGGAATTCCCAGTCTTGCCAGCTTTCTCTGTCTCTGCCTACAGAGAACAAGAGTGACAGACACATCTGGTATGGCATGGTGAACTAAGAGCACAGGCCACTTGCATCTGAACCCAATCTTACCACTTCTTAGCTGTGTGAGTTTGGGTAAACTACCCCTTCAATCTGTTTCCCAATCTTTAAAGTGAGGTTAAAAACAGCACCTCCTCTCACCAGAGGTGTTGAGAAAACAGAATCCCAGTTCTTGGGACATGGTAGTTATTTACTAAGTGGTAAGTAGCAGTTTGTTGTTGATCTTATCATTACTTCATAATTACTTTGAGACATTGTTGCTAATGCTCCAGGCAATCGCAGAGGCACAATTCTTTATACATGTATGTATCTAACTCTGCTTTCTGGATTATTAGAAAATGACACCTTGTTTTTTGAGCAGTTTCCAGTTTGGAAAATGCTTTTAGAGTTTCAGAACCACAGATGTCTTGATCACTACGGTGCCTCCACACCTAGCACAGTGCCTGGAACATAACAGGTATTAGTCAAGATCTGTTGAGTGAACGGGTGAACGCAGGCATGAAAGAGGAAAGAAATCGCCTACCCCAGGTGTAGAATGTGCCCAGTGGCCCACTGCAGCAGGCATCATCCTTATCTTTATAGAAAAGTAAACTGAGGCCCAGAGAGGTGAAGGGACTAAGATCCCACAACTGGTGACACAGGTTGAGCTCTGAATCCAGGTGGGGCAATTACTCACAACCCTATCCTTCTCTGACATGTAAGACTGTCCCCTACCAGGCACCTTAAATCCCATAGGCAATAGCTTGGAAGGCAGTCCCACTCACCTTGGCTTTTTCTTTCATGCTTGATGGCAAGTCCGCCCCCAGGACTGAGGAGTTGGTAGATGCTAGTCTTGGGGCTGCAAGAAACAAACATCTGCTAAAGGAGCCAGATGAGCTTTTCTCATCTATGAATGGCAAACAGGTTTCATCTCACCTAACAATTCTATTGGTATTGGCTGCCTGGTGCTGGCAT
Organism: Homo sapiens; assembly: GCF_000001405.40. Lineage (NCBI taxonomy): Eukaryota > Metazoa > Chordata > Mammalia > Primates > Hominidae > Homo > Homo sapiens. The sequence continues at coordinate 150,367,727 of NC_000005.10, read as the reverse complement.
GAGGATCTGAGGCTGAGCCCAGACTTGCAGGAATGAGCTCTGTGATGCATCAGCCAGGTCCACCAGGAGCAAGAGAGAAGAGGATGGTAACATGAAGCTATGTGTCTGCATCCTTGATGGATTCCCAACTCCCCCGCAGCATGAGACGTGGAGGCCCCTGGAGGGAAAAGGACTGGCCCACATTCTTGCTGCCTACTGGGCACTGCACACTGCAATGGGCACCATTCACACAGGCCACCACACTGTAGCCCTGAAAGCTGTTCGGCAAGAAGGGGCAGTGGTCAGGCAGGCAGCCAGCCTCAGGTCCACAGAGAAAGTTGCCTGGAATTCAAATGGCTTCTTAGTGGAGAGGTGGCTGAACCATGCCACCTGGGCCCCGTTAGATATCGATATTCACTGATTCTCAGTGCTTATTTATTTACTGGGACAGAGTCCTGCTCTGTCGCCCAGGCTGGAGTGCAGTGGCACAATCTCGGCTCACTGCAAGCTCCGCCTCCTGGGTTCACACTATTCTCCTGCCTCAGCCTCCTGAGTAGCTGGGACTACAGACGTCCACCACCATGCCTGGCTAATTTTTTGTATTTTTAATAGAGACGGGGTTTCACCGTGTTAGCTAGGATGGTCTTGATCTCCTGACCTCGTGATCTGCCCACCTCGGCCTCCCAAAGTGCTGGGATTACAGGCATGAGCCACCGCACCCAGCTTCTCAGTGCTTTTATACCAGGGTATTGTCTCCTTAAATCTCAGATTTCTTTTTGTTAAGAAGAATGTTGGGCCGGGCGCGGTGGCCTCACGCCTGTAATCCCAGCACTTTGGGAGGCCGAGGCGGGTGGATCATGAGGTCAGGAGATCGAGACCATCCTGGCTAACAAGGTGAAACCCCGTCTCTACTAAAAATACAAAAAATTAGCCGGGCGCGGTGGCGGGCGCCTGTAGTCCCAGCTACTCGGGAGGCTGAGGCAGGAGAATGGCGTGAACCCGGGAAGCGGAGCTTGCAGTGAGCCGAGATTGCGCCACTGCAGTCCGCAGTCCGACCTGGGCGACAGAGCGAGACTCCGTCTCAAAAAAAAAAAAAAAAAAAAAAAAAAGAAGAATGTTGCTGAGATGAATGGCATGATCTAATTCTTTTCCTGGCACTTCACTCCATCTCTCTCTTTCTGTAATTATGGAAAATTTTTAAGTAGTAAATAGAAAGGAAGAACCAGGCAGCTCCAACCATTAACAACTTGTGACCAATCTTTTCATCTCATGTATTATCTCACTCACCCTTCCCCATCAAGCATTACTTTGAAGAAAATGCCATAGATCCTACCACGTTGCCCACAAATACTTCAGCATGTTTCTCTCTCAATGAGGATGCGTTTTTAAATTTTTTTTGAGACAGGGTCTTGCTCTGCTGCCCAGGCTGGAGTACAGTGGCACATTCATAGCTCACTGCAACCTCCAATGCCTGGACTCACATGATTCTCCTATCTCAGCCTCCTGAGTAGCTGGGACCACCAGTGCATGCCACCATGCCCAGCTAATTTTCTTATTTTTTGCAGAGACGGAGTCTCACTATGTTGCCCAGGATGCCAACGAGGACTCTTCTTCCTTTTTTTTTTTTTTTTGAGACAGTCTTGCTCTGTTGCCCAGGCTGGAGTGCAGGCACAGTCATGGCTCACTGTAGCCTTGACCTCCTGGGCTCAAGTAATCCTCCCACCTCAGGCCTCCTAGGCAGCTGAAACTACAAGCACACGCCACCATGCCTGGCTAAATTTTAAATTTTTTGTAGATACAGGGTTTTGCCATGTTGCCCAGGCGGGTCTCCAACTCCTGGGCTCAAGTGATCCTTCTACCTTGACCTCCCAAAGTGCTGGGATTACCGGTGGGTGTGAGCCACCATGCCCAACCCAGTGAAGACTTTTAAAAAAATAAAATTACATACCCGGAGGCTGAGGCAGGAGGATCACTTGAGGCCAGGAGTTCAAGGCCAGTCTAGGCAACATGGCAAGACCTCATATCAAAAAAAGCCCCAAACAAACAAACAAAAAAATGTAATTACACCTCCATTATCACAGCTTATAAAATTGATTAATACCAAATAGCCAATCAGTAAGAAATTTTACCATTTGTGTTTCAAATAGCATGCAGGTCTGTATATATGCATGTAAGAATACATGTTTGAATGAATATAGAGGCAAAGGAGGAAGTTTTAAAGGTTACCTATGAGGAGATGCACTTAGGAATGATAGGGAACAGGGTAGGACAACAAAAAACCTTTAAGTTTTCTTCTATATGCTCTTCTACAGTTCAAAGTGAACTCGTTTTGCATTTATAATGTAAAATTAAGCGATATATAATATATATCCAGGGCGCAGTGGCTCATGCCTGTAATCCCAGCCCTTTTGGAGGCCAAGGTGGGCGGATCACCTGAGACTAGTCTGGCTAACATTGTGAAACCCCGTCTCTATTAAAAAAAAAAAAAAAAAAAAGAAAGAAAAAGAAAACCCACAAAATTAGCTGACAGTAGTGGTGCATGCCTGTAGTCCCAGCTACTCGGGAGGCTGAGGCAGGAGAATCACTTGAACCCAGGAGGCGGGGGTTGCCCTGAGCTGACATCACGCCATTGTGCTCCAGCCTGGGTGACAAGAGTGAAACCCCGTCTCAAAAAAATAATAAAATATATACCTAGTATGATCTCAAACACTTTAAAAGCAGACTCAGGAAGCTGGGCATGGTGGTATGTGCATGGAATTCCACCTACTCAAGAGGCTAAGGCAGGAGGATCACTTGAGCTCAGGAGTTCAAGACCAGCCTGGACAACATGGCAAGACTTTGTCTTGAAAAATAAAAAATAAGTATTAAGAAATGTGTCTTCTATGTAAGCAAAAGAAGATAATACGATGCAAAGGAGACACAGCAATTCCTCTGTAGAGTTATGGCTGCTGTTGGGGAAAGTACAAGGAGCCCTGGGACCTTAGGAGAAGAAGGGGCTATAAAAGCTTTGACTGAGTTACTCCTGCAAACGGTGTAAAACCAGTGCCCAGTACAGCGTTCCAGTGCTAATGGGTACAATTCTAAATGAACATGAAGATCAGCAATTCCTAAAGCATCCCACAGGTCACACAGAAAATGTGTCCGCTAGCTGCTTTCTGAAATCCCTCCAGCAGTACTTCTGAACGTGTGTCTTCTTTCCAGCTAATAAGAATCACCTGGGAGCCTGTAATAGGGCAGCTCCTGGGCCCCATACACCAAATGAGACTGGAAGGGCCCATCTGGTTGTTTTGGTTCGGCCTTGCACCCCCAGAGCATGGAGATATAATGCCTGGCACGGAGGAAGGGCTCAAATACTGCCAAAGATATGTGGTGCCCTCCCAATCTCCTCCCCAGGGTCTTTTAGGTCTTCTAGTGATAAGAGAAGAAGCTGGAGGTAGACTCTACCCTAGAACAATCAATATTCCATAGCCTGTTCCCAAAGCTGCAAGGCTCTTACTGGCTTTGGCGGTTTCGGCTTCTGCTTCTTCCTCCTCTTCCGAGCTCTCCGAGGTGCTGATGGGGTCTGACACACGGGTTTTCTTAGCTTGCAGTGCCGCATCTTCCTCTGCCTTCCGCTTCCGACCAAGCTCTGAGGTTCTGCAGGACAAGGGTGACTGTCTATACCAACTGGGTGACAGAACAACTCCACAAGAATTGACTAGACAGACCTTCCCGCATCCTTCCAGCTCTTAAAGGCAATGTGCATAGAATCTAAACAGTGGTGAAAACACAGTATAGGCACAATTTTGTATTCTGCATTTTCACTCACTTCATAAAGTGCTTTTACAATTCTTGATTAGTCTTTAAAATAATCAGGAATGCTGGATAATGTTATATAACAGCTGCAGCAGCTACCAGTCTTTAAGTGATAGGAGCTGACCCATGCAGGCACCTCACAGAACCGCCCAGGCTCTTCCCCCTGCAGAACATGCTGTGTGTACTGTGCCTTCTTGGAAGACTCTGCCCAGGTCCTCGTCCTTCCCGTCTCAACTTTAATGTAGCCCCCCAAGAGAGGCCCTCGAAGATTGCCCCTCTTCCAAGGCATGCTCTGCCCTGTGATCCTGTTTCATTTTCTTCATAGCTTTTCTCTATCTCCTGTTATTTTACTTACTTCCTAGACTCCTCCCCTACACAGAAAGGCCCAGGGAGGAAGGCAGCTGGCAGCTCACTACAGTATCCTCAGTGCCTCACACATGTCTCAAAAACTGAACAACTAAGTGACTTGCTCATGGCAAAGTGAGTCTAGGGCATGGGTAGGATAAGCACCCAGATGGCTGAGGCCCTGGACTTTGAAGTCTCACGCCCATTGACCCCCATCCCAGGGAGTCACTGTCTAGGCCCCAGGTTTCCCAGCTGCGATGGACTCTGCTCTGTCATGGTTTGGGATGTGATAGTAGGGTCCCTTGTTCCCAGGAAAGCCACTTGTCAGGATTCTCCTGTTAAAAACAGGTTTCATTTTTACATGTATCAATTTATTCTGCCTCTTTTCCCCCAACAAAAATGTTGAGCAGGGATTTTTCTCTGGTTTGTTCCCAGCTATATCAAGAATATTGCTGGGTTGTAGTAGATGCTTAATAAATACTGAGGCGGGTGCAGGAAGTCGGGGAGCCTCCAACCGGTAGTTTTAGCACTTTATATGGAGCACTGTGTCTAACCCTCACAATGCAATGAGATAATTGCCATCATTATTTTCATTTTATAGGTGAAGACAGACTCAGGGAGGCCAAGAAATCCACTCAAGGTCATACATACAGCTAGTTGCTGGGTTTGAACTCTGCAGGGAATTGCTAGGCTAGGCTGCCTTTCGTGGGTTTGAGGTCCTTGTCCCCCTCACCCATAGAAGGGGCCAGTGGCAGGGAAGAGTGTGCAGAGTAGCTCACTGAAGCAGTTTTTTGGGGGAAGGAAGTACTACGAATAACACCCACTCACCTGGGCAAGTCAGGGTGAGGAAGTGTGGGCTGTGCCCTGTGCTCTAAGCTCTCCTTAGCAGCAGAGGACTGAGGGTTGGCAGGGTTTTCAAAGACCTTAGCTCTCCACCAGAGGCTGTAATCCCTTCCACACCATTTTTGCCTTTGTTTACACACCTCTAATGACAGGGAGCCCACCACTTCCACCTAGCCCACCTCATTTTTAGATAGCTCTGATGTCATTATATTCAGAAGCTGAAACCTGTCTTCCTGAAGCAGGTACATTTGGGGCCCACTTCTGTCTCCGGGGCCTCAGAGAACGCACTATTCTTGGTCCTCAAAGATGTGCAGTGGTCCCTCACACCCCTCTCCTGCCTCCTTTCCATCCAAGGCAATTCAGTACTCTCTACCATTCCTCATGGGATATGTCTGCATGTCCTTCACTCCCTTAGTCAGCTGTGGTCAGGCCAGTGCATGAAGAGAACACAATTACTCTCTCCATTTTCCAACCATTCCTCTGTTGATATATCCTTGGATGATTCCCCCTTCCTTGAAGAGTACATAAATTTTACATGTTTAAAAGGCATCTCACACTCAACATGTCATTGAAATCTTTCCCCTCCAAACTGAGTTCCCTTCAAGCTCTATGCATGGGTACACAAGTTAGATGTGGAGTCAATAAGATACTTCCTCTCCCACCCATCCACAGGCCCTGGTTTCATCCCTATGATTCTTGGGAATCCACTTTCTACCCTGTTCTCCCTGTGTCAAGCCCCATCAGCTCTTGCCTGGACGATGGTGACCATGGCCCCACCAGTCTCACCATGGTGCAGAGCAATCTCCTCACTTTTTCACCCTACCATGGCCCCACTGCTCTTGGATAAAGACAAAATTCCTCACCATGGATAACCAGCCCATGCATGGCTATCCATGCGATGACCTAGCCCCATCTGTACTGTCCACCAGCCACAGGACTTAGCATTAGCAATTTCCACTGGCAGGTACACTCCACCTGCCACTCTCTACCCACTGCATAGTTCACTCCTCCAATTCCTATAGCTCTCAAGTCAAAGATCACCTCAGGGAAGCTTCCCCTGGACCCCCAGATGAAGCCAGACTTACCCATTTATGTGGCTGTGGCAACAGATTCCTCTCTTTTGTAATCCTTACTACCACTGTAATTTAACATTCATTTGTTTCATTCTTTGACTTATGCCTACCTCCTTGGCTACAATGTCAGCTGCAGGAAAGAAGGAACCATGTCTGTCTCACTTGTGACAATATTTGCATACTAAGTAAGAACAGGACTTGGCTTTCAGGAGGTGCTCAATATACGTTTGCTGAGCAACTGACAAGCTGGTGAGAAGCTCTTGTTCTTAAGAGATCACAGCTCTCAATGTCCCCTCCCACTACCAGATATCCACACAGAAATACCCATCCATGTGATGTGAGCTGGCTTTCTGGAGGCAACAATGGTGTCCACAGTGGGCTATGGGGACAGATCTTAGACCAGATAGGTATCCCAGCTTATTCCAAGCTGAGTTGCTTGGGGTGTCCGTCCCTACTCCACCCTATAGGCCCCACCACTTACTGTTGCCAGTGTGTATAGATGTCCAGAAGGGTTACGGGCTGAGCCAGGAAACACTTCTGCAGAGAGGTAAAGAGAAAGCCACAATTAATCCCCAGCACAGTAAGGATCCTTCTTGGGCCCAGATCTCCCCAAACTCATGACTTGTATAGACAGGTGGTTCAGAAGAGGGTCTTTTTGGCTGGGCATGGTGGCTCATACCTGTAATCTCAGCACTTTGGGAGGCTGAGGCAGGAAGATCACTTGAGCCCAGGAGTTCAAGACCAGTCTGGGCAACATAGTGAGACTGTCTCTATAAAAAAATTTAAAAATTAGCTGAGAATGGTGGCATGCACTGGTGGTCCCGGCTACTCAGGAGGCTGAGGTGGGAGGATCACTTGAGCCCAGGATATCGAGGCTGCAGTGAGCCATGCTTGTGCCACCGCACTCCAGCCTGGGCAACAGAGCAAGACCCTTTCTTTAAAAAAAAAAAAAAAAAAAAAGAGGGTCTTTTTGCTCTGGGAAGTATGTCTGCTTGGCCCTGCCAGTTCTGTCCCAAACCTTCCAGAGACAAGAAGAACAACCAATCCCAACTAAAACCTTTTTAGACAACCCCTTTGAAAGGCCAGAGGTGGAATGTTCCAAGCTAGCATTCATCCAGCTCCCAGCCTCTCTGGCACTATCCATGCCTAGAGGCCATGAGACAGGGTTTTCCCCACCTTTGACCTTTAAAAAAGCTTTCAAAGACGTGGCCAGCCAATCTTCCCAAAGCACGAATCACAGCCCAGACACCTGAGGCATCCAGGTGGCATGACCACAGTCTACTAGTCTGCTGGGAGAAGACTGGGCCCAAATGGTACCAGTCCCTTGGTGGAAGCAGAGGGAACCAGGTGGAATCCAGGCCTTTGGAGCAGAGGCCAGAGGGCCCAATGTCTCTGTAAATGTCAATAAGCCAGGATATCAAGTACTCTAATGAGGCTAAGCAATGTGGGGCACGGGTGGACTGAACTAATCTCGTCACGTCTTCGAACTTCAGATTTCTTCTTAACATGGGGACAACAGCGATACCTACCTTGCAGGCTGCTATCTGGTTTGAACAAGACCATCTGTCAGTGCCCAGCAGTGAGCCGGTAACACTAAGATTTCAAGAGTCAGTTTCCCTCTGCTCCACCTCAGGCAAAGTGTCCTCCTTGCTGTCCTCAAATGTGTCAGGCCACCCTGCCTCTAACGCGGCCTTGCTATTCTTCTTGTCTGGAATGTTCTCTCCCCTGTTAACTACACAGCTCACTCCCTCATTTCCTTCAGGTCTCTGCCCAAATGACACCTTCTCAATGAGACTTCCTTGACTACCCTACTTATAATCGAAGTCTGACATCCCTTATCCCCCTTGCCTGCCTTTTATAGCAAGCACCAACTATCATTGGATATACTATATCATTAACTTATTAAACTTTTTCTATTTGTCACCTGTCTGCTCCTACTAGAATGTGTGCTCCATGACGGCAGGATATTTTGCTCCAATGAAGATGGGTACTATCTCTTGCTCCCCTTATCTGTGAAGTACCATAGCTGCGGTAGGAAGAGCAAGTGAGGTTCAGAGAAACTGGGAAAAGCATACATAACGTCTTAGGGCCCATCACCCTTTAGTCCCTCCAGGAGGTTCTGAGAGCAAGCATTAGGAGCAGAGCCTACACCACAGGGCAAAGGGATCTGACTACTTAGGATACTGTCTCACCAGTTCAAAACTCTCCATTGGTTTACCACTGCTCTTCCAAGGAAGATCAAACTGCCCACCAGACCACTCCAGCCAGCCCCTGCCTCCATCTCCCCAGGGGCATCTGGCCCTTGTACTTCACACTTCAGCCACTATGGACGTTTTTTTTTTTTTTGAGATGGAGTCTCGCCTTGTCACCCAGGATGGAGTGCAGTGGCTCAGTCTCAGCTCAGTGCAACCTCTGCCTCCTGGGTTCAAGTGATTCTCCTGACTCAGCCTCCCGAGTAACTGGGACTACAGGTGCATGCCACCATGCATGGCTAATTTTTGCATTTTTAGTAGAGACAGGGTTTCACCATGTCGGTCAGGCTGGTTTTGAACTCCTGGCCTCAAGTGATCCGCCTGCCTCGGCCTCCCAAAGTGCTGGGATTACAGGCGTGAGCTACCGTACCTGGCCTGCTATGGACTTAAAAAAAATTTTTTTTTGAGACAGTGTCTTGCTCTGTTGCCCAGGCTGGAGTGCAGTGGCATGATCATGGCTCATACTGTATCCTCAAATTCCTGGGCTCAAGAGAGTGGACTTTCTCCAGGCCAGTGTGTACACAAGTTCCCTCCCACCACAAGGCATTTACACCTCAGCTATTCCTGACCAGGGCAATCTGCCATCCATCTCTCTTTTTTTTTTGAGGCAGAGTCTCGCTTTATCGCCCAGGCTGGAGTGCAGTGGCACGATCTTGACTCATTGCAACCTCTGCCTCCCGGGTTCAAGCAATTCTTGTGCCTCAGCCACATGAGTAGCCAGGATTACAGGCGTGCGCCAACATGCCCAGCTAATTTTTGTATTTTTAGTAGAAACGGTGTTTCACCATGTTGGCCAGGCTGGTCTCGAACTTCTGACCTCAGGTGATCCGCTAGTCTCGGCCTCCCTAAGTGCTGGGATTACAGGCGTGAGCTACCGTGCCCGGCCCATCCCTCTCATTCTTAACACTTATTGCGGTGCTAAGCATATAGTCACTTTTGTGATTCTTTGATTTGTCTACCTTACTAGAGTGTAAGCTCCAGGAGGGCTGAGAGATGGTGCTCACCATTCGAACACCAGGAAGCACCCTGAGTACCGGATTAACAGTTGAATTAATCAAGTAAGAAATGACTGTACCACGAGTTCGAGTACCAAAGCTGACCGTCTCAGTACAGACAATCGCTAAAGGCCTGAGTTCCAGCTCAACTAAGAGGCTGTAGGGTCCCTTTTCCAGGCGCTCCCCCGAGGGGCTGGTCGCAATCCACCCCCGAGACTCGCAGCAACCTCCTTGCCCCAGGGGGGGCCGCGCAGAGCCTAGCCACGTGGCGGGAGACTTAGGAAACTTAAAATACCCGCTACCAGGAAGGGCGTGGAGGTAAGGGAAGCGGGAATTACAAAGTTCGGCCCCTGCGAGCACACTTTCTGGCCCAACCCACTGCCCGGATGAGGAAAGTGAGGCCCAGGGGAACTGAAGTCGCAGTGGGAAGGCAGAGATTGCGGCTCCTCCGGTACCCCTGGCCGCGCCGTCGAGCACTGCGGGACCCGGCTCCGGGCGCCTGCCGGGTCGCCTGGGGACGGGGCGCGGGCCGCGGGCCGCTGATCTCCACATCTTGCACGCGGCCCTCGCACACGGCCCACGAACGCTTACCTGGCCGCTCTGCTCCTTCACTTCCCGCGCCGCACGCACATAGCCAGCCCGCAGCAGATGGTGGTAGATCAGGGGAAGTAGCTCCCGCCGCTTCCTGGCCTCGGCCATACCCGCGACCCCCGGCCGGCCGGCTACCTGCACGCCCCGCCTTAGTCCCCGCCCGCCACTTCCCTCGCGCCCTTAGACCTCGCGCGCCACACTTCCGGCTCCTCTTTCGCTCCGGCCGCGCGGCGCGCCGGGAAACGTAGTCCCCTCTCCGGGAGTGGCCGGCCCCGCCCCTCAAGGCGAAGGGGGCGGAGACTCGTGATCAACAATACCGCCCATTGGCGCGGAGCATGCGGGGCTAGACAGGGACCCGCCCCCGGGGCCGGCCGGGACTTGGACGACTCTCTTTTAATCCTTCCGGCTGGCTTCTTGAAGAGATTTATCTTCCTTGTTAATTCTCTGATGGCTGGGTCTGCGTTTTACTCATCTCTGAACTCCCTAATCTGGATCTTTCTCTAGATCCGAACTTTGTACTGCCATTACCTGCTCATTTATCCATTTCGCACGGTTTTTGGTGCCCATGAACCAGACACGAATTGCCAGTTTATTCATTGATTCATTCGCTAACTGAACAAATCTGTAATAAGCACCTAACTTGGGCTAGCACCCGGCTAGGCTAGGGGGATTCAAAAGATGCATAATACATGGCAGTTGCCCTCAAAGCTCACAGAGACGACTGTCCGTAACCAAGCAACTATAGTTCAATATCTTGTGTGCCTTGTCAGGGACAGATGCAGCCTATGGGCGCCCCAAGGAGGAGCACCGAACCCCAGAGAGATATCTAAGCTGAGGCATAAAGACACCCGAAATTGCTGGGTGCAAAGGAGAGGACTGGCAGAGGGCACTGCATGAGTCTAGGCATGAGAAAACACCCTGCTATTGCCTGGGAACCCTAAACCCAGAACCCCTAGTCTGCGCTGCTGGGCTGTCCAGGTGGGGTGGGGTGAGGTGGGGAAGAGGGAACAAATGAGGGCACATGAGGATGAAGAAGTAGACAAGGCCTACAACTCCCCCACCCCCAACAGAGTTTGGACTTTGCTCTGAGGGCATTAGATAGTCTCTGACTGGCTTTTCCGAGGAGGTTGACCCTGTTTTGTGTTTTTAAAAGATTGCTAAAACCAAAGCACATACCATTAATACTAAATGTGAGGCTGTTGTAGTTGTTGAGGGAAGGATGGCAGGGAAAAGGTGAGGTAGGCTGGAGAATGTTAGAGTGAGCTGTTCTTAACTTCACCGACCCATTGAGAATCTGAGGGCAGCATGTTTCTTACGGGCGCAGGAGTCCCTAACCCTAGGAGGTCCAGGTATGTGGTTATCTTTGTCTTGAACTTGAATGGAAAATGTTATGTGTCTGTACACATTCAACATTTCCCATTTTCTTGAGCAAATATTTATTGAGTACCTACCATTGGGGATGGAATAGTCTCTACTCCTATAGAGCTTACAGTCTAGTGATGGAATTGTCTCTACTCCAATAGAGCTTACAGTCTAACGGAGGAGACACATACTAAACTAATAGTCATACAATACAGTGTTACAAACAGCGGGTAAGTGCAGGAAGGAAAAGGATAGTGTTTTCTTATGTAATAATATAGTGTTTAAAAGCTGCACTGGAGTCACACTGCCTGGGTTCAAATTCTGGCTTTGCCTCATTAACTAGGTGACTTTGGGCAAGTCACTGTGACTCAGTTTCTTTATCTGTACAATGGAGATAATTATAATTTCTACCTCACTGGGTTGTCATAAGGAGTAAATGAATTCTCAGCAGAAATGCTTAGAGGAGCTCTGAACAATAGCGCTCTCTGTGTGCGTGTGTGCTATTATTGTGAAAGCATATAACAGGAAGGAGGGATCTATTTTTTTCTTGGGAGTTAGGGAAGGATTCCCTGAGAAATTAATGGTTATGAGGAAACCAGAACTGTGTGTAAGGGAGAGTCAGAGAGAAGAAACCTGAGCAGAGGGAAGAACCTGTGCAAAGGGCCTAGGGCAGAAGGTACAGCTGAGAGAATAGACACAAAAAGGCCTTTGTAGCATAGTCCGGAGGGAGAGCAGGGGGACTGGGGAGTGTAGAAGGTGGGCAGAGGGCAGACTCCATGTGAAGGATTGGCCACATCAGGGTTTTTTTTCCTCCATCCTAAGAGCCATTGGAAGCCACTGACGGTGTAAGCCCAAGAGGTACAGGATGAAATCTGAATTTTACTGTGACCTGTGTGCCTGCCCAGTGGAGAGTGGAGTGTGTCTGGTGGGTATGAGTAGATGTGGGAAGACAAGTCAGGGTTAGGAGTGCAGGCAGGCATCCAGGGAGAAGACAGTGTATGTGGGGGGGGGGGGCGGGTGGTAGGTGGCGGGGGCAGCGGGGAGGGTGCTGGTGGCAGTGGAGTTGAAGAGAGTGGAAGGTTCCCAGAGTTAATCAGGAACTAAAGTTTTCACAGAGGTGTGTTGGAATGGGAGGGGAAGGAAAAGGCAATGTCAGAATGGACCTTGAGGTTTCTGTGCAAACAAGTAGGCAGTATTTTTCACTGAGATAGAAAAAACTAGAAGAGGACTGAGACAGGGGGGTGGTTTGATTGAGGAGAGGAGGATGTGGACAGAGAGGTGAAAGTATATATTCTATGTTAGACATCTTGAGCTTGAAATGCCTTACAGTCACCACATGCAGATGTTGAGAAGGTTCTTGGAAACCTGGGTTTGGACGTGGCGTGGAGGTCTGGGCTAGAGATGAAGATGAGAAGTTGTCGATAGACAGATGATAATTGCGGCTGTGGATGAGGAGAAGCTTACCCAGGGAGAAGAATGTGGAGAGAGAAGAGAGATGGCCCAGGATGAAGTTTTGAGGTACATCTACAGATTAGGGCTGTGTACAAAAGGATCTGCCTGCAAAGGCTGATCAGGAGTGGCTGGACAGCTTGGAGAAAGCCCAGGAGAGTGGGCTTATGGAAGGAGGCCAAGGGAGACATTTTAGAAAGCTGGGAAGACTTGATGGAGGGAATGCTCTGAGAGGTCAGATAGGAGGAGGGTGCAGCCCTGGGCTTTGGTTTATGGACAGGCGTGGAGATTGTTGGGGACTTAGGGAGGGCTATTTATGTGTGGCATGATGGAGGGGGTCAGATGGCAGTGGTCTGATGAGTGCAGGAGGGATGAGGGAGGCAGTGGGTCTTTCGAGAAGTTTTTGTATAAAAAGGACGAGAAAGATAAAGT